>NC_000010.11:127236305-127547785 GCF_000001405.40 Homo sapiens | reverse complement strand
ACACACACACACACACACACACACACACACGCAGGAACCCAAAAAGAATGCAGAAGGATTTTATTAAGTGATAAACAATTGATCAAGTGGATCTGAGAAAGGTGCTTACTGAAATACCCCCAAAAGACTCAAGTTATTTTTGCATGTAGTGAAGATGGTACCAAAATGGAGGGTTAAGTGGAAATTTGTTTAAGAATCAACTCAATCAATAGCACATCCTCTCCCAACTTCCCATTGCCAGACACTGTCTACTCTCTAGAATTGGCAGGAGATGACAGGTTTATTATTTTTATTTTTTATTTTTGAGACAGGATCTCCCTCTGTTGCCCAGGCTGAAGTGCAGTGGCATGATGATGGCCCACTGCAGCCTTAACCTCCTAGGTTCAAGTGATTTTCCCGCCTCAGCCTCCAAGTAGCTAGGACCATGCGCCATCATACTCAGCTAATTTTTTAATTTTTTTGTAGAGACAGAGTCTCACTGTGTTGTCCAGGCTGGTCTCGAACTCAAACTCCTGGACTCAAGCGACGATCCTCCTGCGTTGGCCTACCGAAGAGTTGGGGTTACAGGTGTGAGCCACTGCATCTAGTCAGAAAGGTTTATTCTAAGGAGAAGGTAAAGAGAAGGAATCAGGTATAGTGAAATGAAAGAGTATCTTTCTAAAAACAAAGATTGAATAAGGATTACACTCAATGCCAAGACTCATGGATCTCTTCCTTGACACAACTCTCAGCACACTGCCAGACAGGTCTTAAACTTCAAGACAAGTCAATGGAAGATCCTCCTATGAGAGGCCCAAGAGGAAAAATCTACAGATACAGACGTTAAGATTTCTAGTAAAAATATCTCAGCCAACTGCAGTACACAGAAGTCCACAGTTGACAATTCCCAATAACACACAAAATCCTGCCATGGGCTTTTTAGTGTCCACTTTTAAGCAGACAACCCAGAGACACACTAAAATGAATGAAGGATATTTATGAAGTCATAATCTAACAAAAACAAAGAAGATAAGAACTCCATAGCCATAGTAATTTATCATGAAAAATGGAGACCAAAACATGCAGAAAAAAATAACTCAAAGGAAGTAAGAGAAAACATAGGAGAAGAAAACCTTAAAAAGAAACACCTTAATATTGTTCACGAAAAGGGAAGATACTGAGATATTGTATCTACAAATAAGAAAAGAAAGCTATAAAAGAGAAACATTGAGGACTCATGAAAAAGCTCATGAAAAAATAAAATGATTTTTAAAACCTTAGAAGAATTAAAAGATAAGGTTAAATAAATCTCCCAGATATCAGAGAAAAAAAAATGAGAGAAAATTAAGATAATAAAAAAATAAGAATAGTTTAACAGGTCCAACACAGAAACAAAAGAATTCTACAAACAAGAATAGAAAAATGAGGGGGGAAGGAATTATCAATAAAAAAAAAATCAGTATCATGTCCCATAACACAAGGCTGTGACTTTCCAGATGGAAAGGACTAATCAAGTTTCCAGCACAATGAATAACATTCAACCCAAACCAAGGTACATCTCATAAAATTTCAGCAAATTGGATCCTACCAGCTTCCAGATGACCTACAGAGTCTCAGAAGTCAGAAACACTTTGGACTTCTTAAAAATAACCCTGGGAGCTTAGAAGACAATGGAACAATGTCTTCAAAACCCTGGAGAAAAAAAATATTTTTAATCAAGAATTTATTCCCAATGATTCAAGAATAACCAGAATGTATTACTCTCCATTAATACTATAATAAATATTTTCAAATATGTAAGATCTCAAAATTATACTTCCCCCAACCCTTTCTCAGGAAGCTACTTCAGGATGTACTCCAACAAAATAAGTACATAAACCAATAAAGAGAAAAACATGAGATACACATAAACAGGCCATGAATACAGGAAACAAAAGAAAAACTTCAGGATGACAGCAAAGAAAGATCTCCAATGAGAAGTGCACACAAGACCTAGAGGGCAACAGATCCATATTGCTGTGGGTTAGAAAACTCTGGGAGACACTTCTGCAGAAGTATGAAAGCCATAGAATGTCTGAACGTCTTGAGTGGAGAATCAGAAAATTAGAGAACTTGGGAATGAATTAGTGATAAATCTATAGAAAACTAAGCAAAAGAAAAGAAAAAAGAGGAACATGTATTCACTCCAATGAAACAGTATTATACACAAAAAAGAAGTGTGTATTTCACAGTTAACCACTTGACTCAGCTTGTAGTAGTATTTACATGGTTATAATAATGTCATTACCAAATAATAATCTAACAATAGAATAATTTAACTATAGTGGGAGCTGGGTTTAGGGAAGGGTATATTTCTGTGGTGAGGTGAATTGCCTAACTTCTATAGAAGGAATTCAAGACATGATGAAAAATTAAAAATCAAAATGTACTATATAATTTAGAAAGAATAGTAAGGTAATCAGCTTAAAAGTTTGAAAGTGATGACTCCGGGGGAGGAAACTGAACAAGAAGCAGAGACTGCTGTTTTTGTAAAAATGCCCCTTAGAAAGATTTGATTCCTTAAATATGGTGCACCATTAACTGCAATGAAACTAAAGCTTTGAAAAATTACATCATTATGGACTAGGTATGCCTGGAGATGCCAGAAAGCACCTGTACAACTGCATTGAGAAAGCCTGCCTGATAAGGAAGCGTACACCAGAAGCCAGAACTGAGAGATGGAGAGGAGAGGGAAAAGGAGGGAGGGGAGCAAGAGGGAGAGAGAGAGAGATAGATGAAGAGGGGGAGAGAGAGAGGGAGAGATGGAGAGGAAGAGAAAGAGAGAGAGGGAGAGGAGGCAAGAGAGATATGGAGGGGGAGAGAGACAAATGGAGAGGTTGGGAGAGAGAAGGAAATGGAGAGGTGGAGAGAAAGAGGTAGAGAGAGAAGTAGAGAGAGTTGGAAGGATGGAGGGGGAAAGGGAAAGATGAAGACATAGAGAGAGAGAGAGACAGAGAAGGAGAGAGAAAGAGAGACACAGAGAGAGAGAAACAGAGATAGAGAGAGAGAAAATGAGAGGTGATGATATTGTTTAAACTTTTGGCTCCAACCATGCTTGAAACTGATTTCTCTCCTTCGATTCCCCATTTACATACACCAGCTCCCACACTCCCTTTATACAAACTAGTGATTGTAACTGAAAAAATTTGACTAACATACCCCAGGCTGAATACAAAATAATAATAATGGGCCTCCCTCCAAGATAACAACTTCTGGTTTAGACATACACCTATAACCAATCCAAATCATCTCACCCCCAGGCAGATGGAAGCTGGACAGATGACAGCTCTTCTCACCTCTGCCATCGTCCTCACAGCATCCATGCATTCACTCATTCATAGGACAAGGTTCATAAAGGGAGCAAAGAGTACAAAGTCTTATCATGAATGAGGCTAATGGGATATTTCTGGCATGTATTTGGGCTGATAGATGAGATCCTTGTTCAGACATATTCACTCCCTCCTGTCTCCCCTCTCCATGCAGAGTGTACTTTCCCACCCTTCCACTTTGAGGATGGCCACGTAACTTGTTTTAGTGTATAGATCTCAGCCAGACATAATGCTACAAAAGGTATGAAAGGCACTTGCTCTCTTGCACGTCTGTTATTGCCCTGAGAAGAACATGCCCATGTCAGGTTGCTGATCCCAGGAAGACAAGAAACTCATGGAGAAGAGCTGCCCAGACAGGCCAACCTAGATCAGCCACCCCAGCATGCAGATTCAGGAGCCATGATAAATGGCTGTTGTTAAGTCACTGAGTTTTGGGGACTATTGGTAGCAGAAGACTGGTACAGTAGGTGTTCAGTAAACAATCACTGAAAGTCTTGAATGCAGCTCCTCCTCAAATGTAATCCCACTGGCCTTCCTTCCCCAAACACAAACACTTGGCATCATGAATAGGGTTAGGAACCTCTCTCCTAACACTGACCACTGACCAAAGAATGATCACCCCTCATACATAGTAATAAAGATTACAGAGTAGAAACGACTTAAAATTAAGTTTTCACTGGTGTAATTGGCAACCCACATGTAGAGAAAGGAAACTAGATTCTTATCTCTCACCATATACAAAAAATCAACTCAAGATGGATCAAAGACGTAAATCTAAGACCTGAAACCATAAAAATTCTAGAAGATAACATTAGAAAAACCCTTCTAGACATTAGCTTAAGCAAAGACTTCATGACCAAGAACCCAAAAGCAAATGCCACAAAAACAAAGATAAATAGATTGGACTTAATTAAACTAAAACGCTTCTGCACAGCAAAAGAAATTATCAGTAGAGTAAACAGACAACCCACAGCATGGGAGAAAATCTTTGCAATCTGTATATCTGACAAAGGAATAATATCCAAAATCTACAAGAAACTCAAACAAATAAGCAAGAAAAAAAACCAAACAATCCCATCAAAAAGTGGGCTAAGGGCATGAATAGACAATTCTCAAAAGAAGACCCACAAATGGCCAAGAAGCATGTGAAAAAATACTCAATATCACTAATAATCAGGGAAATGCAAATCAAAACTACAATGCGATTCCACTGTACTCCTGCAAGAATGGCCAAAATCAAAACATAATAGATGTTGGCATCGGTGTGGTGAAAAGGGAACACTTTTACAGTGTTGGTGGGAATGTGAACTAGTACTACCACAGTGAAAACAGTGTGGAGACTCCTTAAAGAACTAAAAGTAGAACTACCGTTTGATCCAGCAATCCCACTCCTGGGTATCTACCCAGAGGAAAGGAAGTCAATATATGAATAAGATATTTACACACGTATGTTTATAGCAGCACAATTTGTAATTGCAAGAATATGAAACCAGCCCAAATGCCCATCAATAAACACATGGATAAAGAAAATGTGAGATATATATATATATATATATATATATATATATATATAAAACCCAACCATATATATATAACCCAACCATAAAAAGGATAGAAATAATGGCATTTGCAGCCACCTGGATGGAATTGGAGACCATTATTCTAAGTGAAGTAACTCAGGAATGGAAAACCAAACATCGTATTTTCTCACTTATAAGTGGGAGCTAAGCTATGAGGATGCAAAGGCATAAGAATGATACAATGGACTTTGAGGACTTGAGGGAAAGTTTGGGACAAAGTGAAGGGTACAAGACTACACACTGAGTGCACAGGAAGCAGCTGTACACTGCTTAAGTGATGGGTGCACCAAAATCTCAGAAATCACCACTGAAGAACTTATTCATGTAACCAAACACCACCTGTTCCCCAAAGACCTACCAAAATACAAATAAATAAATAAATAAATAAATAAATAAATAAATAAATAAATAATAAAATTAAGTTTTCAAGGCCTGGGCCTGCCCACAGGAACACCTCCTGCCTTTGAAAGTAACCTATGCCATGTGAATCAATCACAATGTTTAGCTCAAGAGGCGTTCAGTCTACCATTTACTCATTGGATCCATATTGTTTGGTCATCACCCACATACTAGGACCTGTGCCAGATGCAGGGGACTTGGAGTGAACAAGATGCCCTCGACCCCTATCTCTTGTCTTCCTGGAGCACTCAGTGAAGGCTCAAATAGCAGGATTTGCTTTTTAATTCTGAGCTTATTAAAAGCAGCACCCAGGAAGCAGCTGTGCATACCTTTGGGAGAGAGCAGGGATGGGGCTCAGGTTACGTAAATGGCCCTGACTTCTGAGGCAAGGCCAAGACCTCAGCATCTCAGCTTCCTTCCCAAATCATTAATAGAGGCTTGGCTTCCTCAATGAGAAGCAGAGACTTTCACCACTCTAATTAGGGTCTAGGATCAGAACGTCCCAACCATCAGCAGCGTCACCCTCTGCTGCAAATGACTAATGCAAGATATTTCTTTCAACCAGGTTTTAATTGTGGGGAGGAGAGAAAGAAAACTGTGCTCTGGATGTTTAAAATCATAGGTGACTACCTGTCACACACGATGGAGGGTAGAAATGGGAACGGAGTGTCAGGAACCTCAAAAGGATTCTGTCTGGTACAAGATCATGAGGGTTTGCCTGGCACTGGACCATCTCTTGGTGCTACTTCTGATGTGTGATGTCTACAATGAGTATTTAGGGTGCAATTAGAATGTGCAAAGACCAACTGTCCACACCAAAAGCGAAGGTCAGCACCCAGCTCCATCCTGGAATTTGCCAGACTTCTCATGGAACGTTGACCCTCTTCTTTGTCATGAGGTAACTGTCTTAGAGTCACCCAAGCCCTCTTCACACGTTTCCTCCTAACATCAGTGTGAGACCAAGAGTGAGCAATTTCTTTCTTTCTTTCTTTCCTTTTTGTTTTTGACTTTTGCTTCTCATTTGTCAATGCTAAAGTGTTTGAGACACTTTCTGAATCACCCCTCAGAAGTTCAGTACGTCAAATCAGGCATATTTTGGACTGAAAATATCAGAGGAGGCCTTTTCTTATTCCCAGAGTTTCCTGTTGTCATACCAAAAAACTTCTTACAAGGGCCAGCTTTATTGCTACTGGGTTTAGCAGCTTGCCAAAAGCAGGACTTAAACAGGTGTTAGACTGATTTTAAGGAAACAAGTGACAAGCTGGAAGAGGTTGGCAGTTCAATATAATTTAGGGTTTTAGTGACTTTGAAACAAATTCTACAATTGATTTCATTGTCCCTAATTATAATGCACATTAAGTCCTGCATCTTTCTGCATGTATGGAAAAATCGATTTAATTTTACTGCTTCTTAATTCATACAACTGTTATATCCTCTGAAAGTATAATTAAAATGCAGAATGTGTCTAAGTGCATTTTCTGGTTTTATACTAGAGTGGGAGAAATAAAGGCTTGTGCAGAGCTTAGTTTAATTTATTGAAATAAATCATGGCTCCAACTCACGGAGGCTCCTAAAATGCTTTGTTAGAGTTTTCATATATGCATTCTGAATGGGCCCAGTGCTTAAGATCAATGCTCTACAGAAAAAAAAGCAAAGAAAATCCAGAAGATGATAGTACTCATGGCAGCAGAATACAAAAAGTGCAAGCAATTCTTGTACGTTCTAGAGCACCGTTTCTCAACACTGGTGCTACTGGCATTTTGGGCTGATGACTCTTGGTTGTTGAAAGTTGCCCTGTGCATTGGAGGAGATGTGCAAGCAATTCTTGTACGTTCTAGAGCACCATTTCTCAACACTGGTGCTACTGGCATTTTGGGCTGATGACTCTCGGTTGTTGAAAGTTGCCCTGTGCATTGGAGGAGATTTGGCAGCAACCCTGAGCTCTACCCACGAGATGCCAGTACCACCAGTACCCCAGTTGTGACAAGTGAAAATGTCTCTAGACGTTGCCCACATCCCCTCGGGCAAGGGGGAAGCAAAAGCACCCCCAGTTGAGAACCACTATTCTAGAGAGAAACTCTATGTTCAGACTCTCCTGGTGGAGGTGAAGAGGCAGGGCAGTCATAATGCTTTACAATCAGGGGTCACAGTTAATTGGCAGCATATTTTTCTTTATTGATAGTGCATAAAATAAGGAAAGGGGCGCATGGCGATCTGAGGACCTGCAGATGGCTGGGTCTCACTGCCACAAGGGCCGAGTGGGAGGACACAGAGGATTCCCACAGTGCAGGGCATGGGTGCCAGGCCACAGCATCTGGACTTAATTCTGAGGACCCCAGAAGCCACCAAAGGGCCACAAGCAGGGATTGGGCCTAATCAGATCTGTGTTTTGGAAGAATGATCTGGCTGCCAGAAGCAGGCAGAAAAGAATAGGAGGGTGAATGAGCGGGGCAGTGCTGAACATAAAATAACAGCTCATCTTATGATTGATGGAGTCTTAGATTCAATGAAAGATGGTATTTATTTTTAGATGCTATGGAAGGCAACAGCATTTGGGACAAAAGGCTTATGTATTACATATTGATTTAAACAATTAGTAATAAAATATGCTATTAGGTTTTCTTTTCACTGACATATGTTCTTAGTTACAAACTTCTACATATGGTCTTATTTTTCTTGTACTTTTTTTTTTAATGATACTCTGAATTTGTTTTTAAGAAGGCAGATGTTACACTAGGCATGATTTCATCGTATCCTAAATGGCATTCTGTTTAGTAAATTCCCATCAATCATTGATGTGGTATCTATGGTTTACTATGTATATGCCTGGATCTTGCAATAGCCTTTTTTTTTTTTTTTTTTTTGACGAAGTCTTGCTCTGTCGCCCAGGCTGAAGGCAGTGGCATCATCTTGGCTCATTGCAACCTCTGCCTCCCTGGTTCCAGCGATTCTTCTGCTCAGCCTCTCGAGTAGCTGGGACTACAGGCCCGTGCCACCATGCCTGGCTTTTTTTTTTTTTTTTGTATTTTTAGTAGAGATGGGGTTTCACCATGTTAACCAGGATGGTATCTATCTCCTGACCTCGTGATTCACCCGCCTCAGCCTCCCAAAGTGCTGAGATTACAGGCATAGCCAAGTAATGGCCTTTCTAAAGAACCACCATAAGAGGGGAAAATCCTGCTACAAAGCACCTTGCCCTGCCAGGGACAGCACAGCCTCCTGAAAGCATTTTCAAGGAAGACTCTTCGCAGGAACCAACACTGAATTTATGCATTTCTCAAAGAACCAGTGAGGGTCCTCTACGTGCCAGGGACTGGATGAGGTTCTGGGGTGCAGTGATAAGCAAACACCAAAGAGGGGTAAAAGCAGGAGATATGGGAATGTCAGGGTGAGACTGGGGTGGAGCAGAACACAGGAGGGGGCAGGAGCAGCATGTGCTACAGCCAGGGCAGGGACGGAGCCCACAGTGATCTGAGGACCTGCATGTGGCTCAGTCTCACTGCTGCAAGGGCCGATTTGGGTGGCCCCAGCAGGTCCCCATCGTGCATATGCGCCAGGCCAGAGCATCTGGACTTGATTCTGAGGGCCACAGAGGCCAAAAAGGGCCGTAAGCAGGGGCGGGGCCAGAACAGATCTGTGTTTTGGAAGCGCGCTCTGCCAGAAGCAAGTGGGATGGGAGGGTCAGCGACTGAGCAGAGGGCCCACCCTACAGGCTGTGGTAGGAACCCAGGTGAGCATATGGGGCCGTGGACCAGGGCGGTGGCAATGAGATGGGCACAGGAGCAAACTGACACTGTTACTAATTGGATGTGTGGGTGTGATGAGGAGATCTTTATCACCAGCTCACTGCAGCCACTCAAAAACCTGCCCCCACCAAATGTCAACTCAGTCCCTTTCCACCTGAAGTGCTCCCAGTCACCCACCCCTCATGCTCTCCTGCCCCACAACACTTCACCCTCATCATTGATGTCTTCATTTCTTCTGTTTGTTTATTTTTGGTATCCTGCCCTATTCCAACCAGAAACAGGTAGTTTACCATCTTGTTCACTGCTTTATTCTGCAGACCAGAACAGAAATATCTCAATAGTCATTTGTCAAATGAATTCATTAATGAAATAAAGAGAAGAGAATGAGTGCATCGTAAACAGCAAAAGGATTATGGCAAAGTTTTGTTTCACAAGGGAGATCATATGTTCAGTTTTACTCTAGAGAAAGTGTGTGTTTATTTATGCAACAAGTACTTTTAGAGCTTCTCTCGGGGCCGTGCCCTGTTCTCACCAGCCACAGGGTGGACGAAGAGGAAGCCTAAACGATGAGAGCAACAGGGATTGTCTTCTTCCTCCTCCCTTCCCTTGCCTGCCTGATGTGCCACCCATCACCCACCCCCACTCTCTTCCAGCCATGGTGGGGGCCAGGCTCGACATGGGTGAGGAGGCCAAACTGCCGTGAAAGTCTGGGGAGACCAGAGTCACCTTTGTGGGATACATCGCATAAGTGTGTTACATATTTTCTCCAGCAAAGACAGCAGCACTGGAAACAGCCCCTGGGAGTTGGCAATGGGTGTCCAAGAGTCTTCAGAGGTAACCTAGGGTAGCCATGAGGACGTGCCCAGGATGCTTCAGGTGAGTGTCATGGCTGAGTAGAGCCAGAGTTAGGGGACAAGGTAGATTGATTAAGGGTGGCAATGGGGTTGAGGGAGAAGAGGGTGCCACAGATGTAAGGGGCAGAAATGAGGAGGAAGAATGGGAGACATGGCCACAGGAGGAAACTGCAGCCCCTCGCCTGGTGGGCATCACAACGTTGGAGAAGCCAAGGGGATGTAAAGGTCCCACCGTGGAGAAGGGGAAGCCAGGATCATGAACGGCCTCTCAAGACATCTGTGGGCCAGGCAGAGGGGCAGAACTGAGCCAGGTGCGGCGTCCCGCTGGAAGGTACAGAACCTTCCTCTTCCTTCTGTGCCTCTCAGAGATTAGACTAAGATGACTGGGGAAGACAGCCGTGTGTGCCGGGCGCCGTGTGGTTGCTTCACACTCACTTCTGTACTGCATCCTCCCCATGGTGATGGGAAGCAGGGGCTGTTCTCATCCCTGCTCATAGATGTGGACACCCAGGCATCATCTGGAGTCCGGCTT
This sequence comes from Homo sapiens, assembly GCF_000001405.40. Classification (NCBI taxonomy): domain Eukaryota; kingdom Metazoa; phylum Chordata; class Mammalia; order Primates; family Hominidae; genus Homo; species Homo sapiens. Next base: position 127,537,327 of record NC_000010.11, on the reverse strand, counting down.
AGACATCCAGGTCACTCTCACGATGCCCCAGCCAGAGCGTGACCCCACACAGCTGTGCCAGAGGAAGAACCGGAGCCTGCGGAGCCACCAGCTCCAGGGGCCCAGCGCTGCCTCCCCTTCCTGCTTCCCTCCTTCCTGCTCCAGAGACAGCTTCCAGAATGATCTCCCTAAGCATGGCAATGCAGATAGCAGGTGACGGGGCAGGGAGCAACGCTGGCCTGGACAGGGAGGCCCAGCCAGCCCCCATCAGCCCTCACCTTCTCGCATCCCAGACAGAATTTTGTCTGGCCTCCAGAGCCAAAAGGCTCAGAAACAACATAACAACAATCTTCAGGCCCCTCGGGGGCTGCTAGCTTCAAAGCCCCTTCCCTGGAGGCAGTGCTCCAGGCCTCAGTGATGCCAGTGAATCCCATCTCTCAGGACAAACCTGCTGGCTATGTTCTGTTTTCCACCTCTGTCCTCATCTCTCGCTCTCTCTTTTTTTGTTTTTGCAAGGTTTCAGACCTCTCATCCATAGATTCTACTACCGAGTTTTTATGAGTACCATAGTTATCTTCCAACTACATACCCCTTTAAACTTTACAGTCTTTTATTAGGGTTGTATTCATGGACACATAAATACCAGGCACTTGAAACTTTATCTACTGGAAGCTTCTGCTTTGGCCTACAGAATGATCCTGATCTCCCAGCTAAAATAATTTTGTGTCATTATCAAGCTCCTCTGAAAGACAGAGCTTTCTGAATCTCAGACCCCTAAACAAGATAGCGATAAATTTATCTCTTCACTCAAACTCCCTCTTGTTATTTTGTGAATTTTTTTTACCATTTTTGAATTTTTTATTTAGAATTCTGCAGCTATCTGCGACTATTAAGTATAATTAATTTCCCTGTGAAATGAACACTAAAGCCTGATTATAAACATGACGTCTACACTACATGTGGTTTGGGTTTCGAGCGGACTTCCGGTGGTTGCCACCTTGCATTTTTAGACAGATTATGAATACAGTTGCTTGTGAAAATTGCAAGGGCATCCAACTAATATTTTAACCACACAATTAGTAACAGATACCACAATTCACTCCTGCACAAATGAGAGGCTGCTGAGCCCAATAAAAGCAGCTTGTTTCCTCTAAATATCTATGTTCTTTATTCTTACCTTGTCAGATGCTTAAGTGGGAAAAATTTGAAATACACATCTGAAATTGGCCAGAAGGAAAAGTTAAATGCCTAATAAGAGTGGGTGTGGCTGGAGGCAAAGATGAGCAAACAGGAAGGCTCAGGCATGGGGTTGCTTTGGCAGAAAATCTTACCAAGCTGGGAGCAGAGCCAGAGCACAGGAATCCCTCCACCAGGACGGGGGCAGTGTCTGGCTTCCTGGGAGGGAGAAGGTTTGTGACGGCTGGTGTTGGGGCTGCTGTGTTTATTCCCTGGCCCTTCCTTCCTCTAGCCGAGGATGTGTCACTGTGATCTACAGATTCTACCCAGTGGCCCCCTTCCCTGAAAGAAGGAGGGAGAGATCAGCCATGGCTGTCACCTGCTTTCTTCTTTGTGCTGCAAGAAAGGCAAAAAGATATGTGGAGGATTCGCCTGCGGGGCTCCAACCTGAAAACCACTAACAATAGTGTGTTTCGAGTCTTGCATTTGGATAACACACTCATTTTTTTTCAAGCTCTTTCAGGTATTTGGTCCTTAAAACAACTTGTAAATTTGGTCATATGGTTTGGCTGTGTCCCCATCCAAATCTCATCTTGAATTCCCACATGTTGTGGGAGGGACCCGGTGGGAGGTAATTGAACCATGGGGGCAGGTGTTTCTCATGCTGTCCTACTGATAGTGAATAGGTCTCCCCAGATCCGATGGTTATGAAAAACAGGAGTCTCCCTGCACAAGCTCTCTGTCTTTGCCTTCTGCCATCCATGTAAGAAGTGACTTGCTCCTCTTTGCCTTCCATCATGATTGTGAGGCTTCCCCAGCCACGTGGAACTGTAAGTCCAATTAAACCTCTTTCCTTCGTAAATTGCCCAGTCGCAGGTATGTCTTTATGAGCAGCATAAAAACAGACAAATATATTTGGTAATGTTTATTTTTATTTTACACATGGGGCGCCTGAGACACAGAGAGGTAAATGAGAAATAACTATTGTCTCTCTATTTTCTCTATCTGTTTCCTCATCATGCTCACACCAGGATTCTTCAAGGGATGAGGCATCTGGAAATGTTTTAAACTTAGCATTGAAAGCTAATTCAGTTGCCAATAAGGGTCTCCTTGTATTTAAACAGTAGCCTGTAGGTCAGCCACGTGTTGGTGGGTTTTTTTCTGCCATCTCCTGCTCCTCTCCCAGAGGCACCTGGGTAAGGTAGGAACAGCTCTGTGGTAGCTGCAGGTAAGGGATTCCTGTTTCTTGGCTGCTCCTTCCTGGAGCAGGGCCATCCCACAGGCATCTGAGACTAGTGTGTTCTCCTGTCCCCACCCTGTCCTGACAGCTCCATCTGCCCCTAGCTTGCTCACCTGCAGCCTCACCAAGCAGCCTGGCCCATCTTGCTCTGGTCCTCTCAGGCAGGGACAATGGCTTTTTGACTTTCAGTTGCCTTCCACTGAGAGCAATAGAAACTTCTCTATTCCTCCCTGTCCACCTGATGGTGCATGGAGCCCTGGGGAGTTATCTTTGGTCCTCTTTCTGGCTTAGAAAACCCTAAGTTGTGGTTTCTGTTCTCCTGTGGTCACCCATTCTGGTTCCGGAATCAACAATGAAGCCCTTCCAGAGACTCAGAAGAGAGGTTAAACCCCTCTGCTTCTGCACCATTTCTATTTATATGAGTCTTTTCTACTGATCCCCTCTGCCACCAAGTTTCCACTGTGGACAGAGCTGTGGATGGGAAGGGGAGACGGGAGAGGGCTGACCTCTCACCACTGGCCTCCTTCCTTCCTTCGGAACTGGAAAGGATTTGTGTGACTTTCACTTTCTGAATTACAAGGAATCCCCTAAGTCATAGCTTCTGCCTTTGTAAGGTGGCATTCATGCTTGCCCTCCCCAGTGGAATTGCAAAAGACAAACATGGCTGATAAGTTATGTAAGCTTCCTTACTTAACTGTCTCTGAAAACATACACATCACACTAGGTCAGCCAACTAGGAAACGTCTTCTAACTGGTGACATTTCAGAGTTTCCTGTGCCTGTGAAAGCAACGATGACCACTGCAGCGCATTGAAATTAGGCGGAATTGGCAAAGTTCTTTAAAACTTGCTTGTATGTCTGCAATATGTAGCTTAGGTGGGGAAAAAATGTTAGGGTTTCTTGTTGACAATGGTAAGTTCTAGATTGTAGCCTTGATCAAGTTGGCCCAAAAGACTGGAATACAAGGGGAAGGCCCCTGAGGGTCAGAGCAGATATGGTTTAGGATTCCGGAGGGTAAAATTGCAGGTCTTTTGTTGATGACATATTCTGTCCCAAACGTTCCTCACACCCCTTTCCACAGCCCTGGCTGAGTTCTCTTGATTTCCCATTGGGAGCTAGTGGGGATTTGCCCGCAGGTCAGTCCTCAGGCCTACATTTGCTTTTCAACTTCCCTGAGAGTGGAGGATGCCCACTCCTCCTGCCAGAACATACCCCCAGGCTTAGTGCTAGACTCTGCACTTACTCAGGAGTGCCTGGGGGCGGGGGCCCCTTCCCGCTGGAGTGCACTGCCCAACAGCCTTGCCAACCACCTCATCTCAGCAGCCAGAGCTCTGCCAGCCTATCTGAGTGCTGCTGGCCTGAGAAATAGGCAGCAAAAACAGCCATGGTGGACACTGCAAAGGAAAGAGGCAAGATTCCAGCCTGGGGAGGAATCGCATTAGGATGGCACTCACTGGCTGCCTGATGCCAGGCCCACCCCCAGGAACCGACCACACTTCCTCTGTGCTGTGGCCATTCCTGAAGGGACTTGCCTTCAGTTTTAGGAGGTGTTTACGGCTTCTTAGCACTGCTTCATCCTTCCCTGATAGTCTGTGATTCCTAAGCAGGGCTGTCCAGTCTTTTGGCTTCCCCAGGCCACATTGGAAGAAGAATTGTCTTGGGCCACACATAAAATACACAAAATATCATTAGGACACTAATGATAGCTGATGAGATTTTTTTAAATTGCAAAAAAATCTCATAATGTTTTAAGAAAGTGTATGAATTTGTGTTGGGCCACATTCAAAGCCATCCTGGGCCACATGTGGCCCCCAGGCTGTGGATTGGACAAGCTTGCCTAAGAGATTTATCAGCCTCAAAGTCCATCTGGTAGTTGCATATTTTTTCTTCTTGTAAATACAGATTTCTGGTGAATCTTCAAGAATGAACAAGGTGGAGGAAGGGTGTACCATATTTTAGAGATTGCTAACTACAAGATTGAGGCAGTTCTAGAGGAAGAGGAGCACAGAGGCACGCAGGCCTCATACCGGCATGGGAGAAGTGAAACCGCCAATGTCTGCCCTCCTCTCTTCCCCGGGCTGCTCTGTGCCAAGCCCGCCCTTGCTGGTAGCCAAGAGCTGGCAGGGCCTCCAACAGCCAACTTCAACTTCATGTCTGAATAGCACCAATAACCTGGTTTTGAAAGATTTGTGAGGACTTTTGAATTTCACTCCTTTTGGAATTATTTTACTTATTTTCCATGAAAGCCCATTAAAGACTTGGCCAATTCAGTCTAAAGAATCAACACATCTACATGGCAGATTATTCATTTCCTTTACATTCATATTTGAAGCTCTGGGAGGAAGGCAGGGGGCTACAGGTAGAAAGTGGGACATTCTTTCTGTTTGGAATATGGCTTAGGAGGCCCAGAATGTGCCTCCTCCACTTGGCAGCAGCTAGAGAACCTGGGAAGTTGGGTCCACCAACCCGGATGATGATTTCGCAGGCAGCTCAGAGAGATTCTACGGGAAGTTGCTGCTTGAGAAAGATGTCAGCGCTATGGAAAAGACACCTGTCAAAGATGAAGCCTCATCACACTTTAGAGTAAAGAGCTCCTTTGGCTTCTCAGCTGAACATGTGATAAACACGGAATTTCTCTGAGCAGCCACAAGAATAAATTGCCAGTAAAGTTGCAGGAATGTGAAAAGCAGAGTCCTTGACTTTCAGCACAAATGGCCACGGCCATCTTTTTCTGAGCACCTACTGTGTGCGGGGTCTGAGCCAGGCACATGGCGGGCATTGTTCTGTCGCCACAATCCAGCATGGCAGTTATTATCACCATGCTCCACAGACAAGCACCCCAGGCCCTGTACAGGGTGGGGTTTTCCACTGTATGACACAGAGATGGGCTCATTCAACCAGACCAGGGAAGTCTGTGGGAGGCTCACAGGAAGAAAAGAGTTGAGCAACGGGGCCTGGCACTGGCAGATCCAGGCAGACCCAGGGATCTTGGTAGCAGAAACGCATGGATGCAGCAAGGTGATAGACCACTTAGCAACTCTGCCCCTGAGGAAAATTCCAGAGAGCAAAAGGTTAGAATGGCCTATCTGGCTCATAAGACTTTGCTAGGGTGGGCTCAGGGCAAGCATGAACTACTCCACTAGAGCATCTGGGAGGGTAGCCAGGCCTTTCCATAGAGTTCACGCAGAGGGCTGCTACCTCAGAATCCCAGGAATGCCAGATGGGCAAAGGCACAGAGAGAGCTCAGGGAGATCGGATACTTGCCTCAGAAGCAGCAGTGTGTGAGGCTATGAGTATTAGACTCTGGAGCCTTGAACTCCCACCTTCTAGCTTTGTGACCTTAGACAAGTGGCTTAACCTCTTTGTGCCTCAGTTTCCTCATCTGTAAAGTGGAGCTAATAATAAATACCAATAACTACCTGATAGACTTGCAGTGAGATGCATGCAGACACAAGTGCCTAGAACAGTGCCTGGCACAGCTCAACGGGGTCGCTATTATTGTCACCATCTTGGCTGAGATCTAGGACCTGTGGCCTATTTGCAGAGCCACCCAGTGAACAATAAAAATATGGGGCTCCTTGTTCAAACATTACTAAGAATTTCCAAACAAGGACAGCAGAGCATTACACAAACGAGGAGCCTATCTGAGCATGGGCCCATCGGACTGCATGGCTCACACACCCATGGAGCCACCCAAGGTTGGAAATAAAATGCTGGCCCATCTCGGCTCCCCCATATCACCTCTCTATAGGGTTCCTCTTCTCATTCTAAAGAACTACAAACAGGAACTAGCAGGGTTCTCTGATGAGCTCAGGGACACACAAACCCGGAAAGAGAAGCCGAGATGAAGCTGCTGCTTTCTCCGGATGACCGCAGAGTGACTGTGGCGTGGCTTAGTTACCAAAATCAGCCACTCCAGAAGCTCTCCAGCTTGGGGTTCTGGGGAGAAAAGGCTGTGGGTACAGAGCTAGGTTTCAAGTGATAGAAAGAAGGTCATGAGGGAGCAAGAAAGGCCAGAAGCAGCTTGGCACCTCACCATCTCAAGGTGACAGGCTTTATTAAGAAGTGACTGGTAGGAGAAAGAGCCACGTGACGGAAAATGTCAGCGGGAGCCCAGGATTTGATGCCTATCGTCTTCTGCAAAAAGGTCCCCTTAAGAGAAAGCAGCCAGCATCACGGCAGCATAATCCCAGCCCAAGTGACACCTTGTCTGGGTCTGAGCTCCTGGCCTGGTTTCCACTCAGGAGCAGACACTTGTCCAAGAATATCATACACCTTGGGCCAGGGAGTGCTTCCCATCTCAGTCCCCTTTTCACCAAATCTCAGACTTCTATTTCTCAGGTGTCTTTCTGGATGGCTGGGTCCCATTTTGTCTGTGTTAGTGATTTGAGACCATCTCTTGGAAGTCAGAGGAGAACCAATGCATGTCCTTTCCTCTGGTGCAGTCTCCCATGTCCCCAGTGTTTTTCAAAAGAGAATAATGAAGCGGCTTTCCTGCTGAGCTTCAGCGCTGCTGCTCATCAGCTTGGGTCCCTGGTGACCATAACAGCCCCATCCTTGCCCTGGTCCCAGCTTCCCCCTGTAACTTCTCAGCACTTCTCTCTCTCTCTCTTTTTTTTTTTTGTAAGACAGAGACTCACTCTGTTGCCCAGGCTGGAGTGCAGCAGTGCGATCTCAGCTCACTGCAACCTCCGTCTCCTGGGTTCAAGCGATTCTCAGGCCTCAGCCTCCCAAGAACTGGGAGTACAGGCGTGCACCACCACGCCCTGCTAATTTTCGTATTTTTGGTAGAGACGGGGTTTCACCACGTTGCTCAGGCTGGTCTTGAACTCCTGACCTCAGGTGACCCACCCACCTCGGCCTCCCAAAGTGCTGGGATTACAGGTGTGAGCTCGGCCCTCAGCACTTCTCTTGCAATGCAAACAACGGGGTCCACTGTCGGCCCTGGCAGCCCTCAGGCCCCTGTTTGCTGATTCTGTGCCCCAGCTCCTCCTCCGGGCTCCCAGGGCCAGCACCTGCTGCTCTCCTTCAGAGGCTGCCCTTGGGAGATCCTGGAGTAGAGAGCCACGTGCAAAGAGTTCACATTGCCTGGACAATTGCTAATCAGAGACAGTCCTTGCACGAGGGCAAAAACCCAACTTTCTCGACTCCCTTAGGGACAACTCTGAGATGTCTCTTTGATGGTCAGCCTGAAGCAAGGCCACGCTGTGACTTTCATGGGTCAAAGCCATTATTGTCCTCATAGGCCCCTTTCTTCAAAAAAAAATGTTTTAAAGGAATATTACAATTTATATATTATGACTATGGTGGCATAAAGACAAATATAATCAAGCTGGTTTATAGTCTTCTGATTCTAAAAACAATTAAAGCGTCTTCACAGGTTCTAAAATGCCATAGGCCCCAGGCAGAGGTCCCACTGTGCCTCCTGGATGAGCTGATCCTGGGCAGAAGTTGCCTCTGGTGCTGTCACCGGAGCTCCCTCCCTTGCAGGTCCCTGCGCTGCTTCCTCACCTGCTGCTGCTATTTCCCAGGAGAGCTTTCTGCTTGCGTCCCCCTTCGCCAGCCTAGATGCCCCGGTGTCTGTAGAACCCATGTTCACCCATGTTTCCCCACACTCTTATCCATGTGTGAGCCTGTCCCCAGCTGTCTAAGAACCCCGTAAGACCAAGACACGCCTTGTCCAAGTGTGTGTCCCAACCACCAAGCATGTGTTGGACCCATAATAAAGGACACATATAAACACTGAAACAAATGCTTGTTAAATTCATTCATTCATCCATGAATACTTCTTTGTGATAAATTAAAGTCTACAGACAATATTTTAACCAAAAAACAATTATCTGAAAAAAACCTAGAGCTTAATTCCAAGTTTGGGAAAATGAGAAACACGATACCTTTGAATTTCCCTTGTGGCTTTCAACCATCTCGCCTAGGATGGTGCTGACTTTCAGAAAGAGGAAAAGTCATTCCGAATCAGGGCTGTGAATTCAGTGGGGGATCAAACCGACCAATACAGTATGATTAGGCTAAAAATAGAGGCACGGCTGGGAAGAGATGAGAATGATTTTCTGGAGTTTCCAGAGTTTCAAATAATGTAGCTCTGAACACCAGATCAAACGGCTGTTTGAGTGATCATAGAAGCCCTGGAAAACATGAGTAGACTCAAAAAATGATGATTTTGAAAGGGGATGGCACTTCCAAAAATGCATCAGTTGAGGGTTATATTAAAAATCACATTCTCATCCCATTGTAATAAAATCTTGTTAAATCTCTGAGCTCTGTCATGTGATGACAATCTGACAGTTCTTTGAAAATGTGATGTACTTTTCAAAGTCAACTAAATCCACAAAATTGCAGTTTATCCAAACATTCTGGCAATCTCTAATAAGGACCTAGGACCTCTCTAACTCCCTATTTCCATAGCAAAGTGGTTGATCACACACACACACACACACACACACACACACACTTCATAATGCTTCACTGTCATAAGCATTAGAAACTAGGAGGAGGAATTTTTTCTGCTGATGTGGGAAGCAGGCCACATTTGGTTCAGCAAGACCAAATCTTTATTCCAATTTGGCAAATGAGTACAACCGAGAATTTCCAGTCTTTTATCTATTGTAGCTATTTGACATTCTCAAGTCCTATTTTCACATCGGAGTGCTAATTCGTGATTTCAGACAACTGCTGTATTATTTTCTTCTTTTAGTAACACTTCACAGCTCACAGTCAGGGCCACATTTTCAGACGAACTTCAGGAGGTTTCAATGCAGTCTGGTTTTCTGAACTGTTTCTAGCGTGGCAGTCCCGCCCACAGCTGGCTCTTCTCTCGATAGAGCTTGGCTGGCTGTGAACATCCTGGCTCCACACCACAGCCCCATGCTGATCACTTCCTCTCATGAAAACAATGATGGCTTGAAACAGGAAGCGGCTTTTCCAAAATATGCCAAAAAGATGCAAAGATACCTTCTCATACATTTTATTTGGCTTTCTATTGTGAATGTGGATTCTCTTACAACCATTTCATCCGACACAGATGAACAAGTTGTAAATCGTAGGGTCGGTTCATCATCTCAATGGGACCCTTAGCCAGATTAGGAAGCCGGTTGTCCTGCTGCCTCTGAAAACTTCCTTCTATCTTGTGTAAGGAAAAGGTGCTCTTTTCTACCCAGAAGAAACTTTGGCATCAGAAGTTCTGTTGCTCATTTGCTGGGACAGCTTTTCTTACTCTTAAAAGATTCTGGTTTTATGAGTTAGGTTTCTTTCCTCTCCTTGAGGAATTGCCAAAAAGCTCTTGTAGGGTTTTGCATTGTGTTGCAGAGCTGGAAAAAGATGGCATAGGTACATGCAGAAGTCATGGGAGAGGCGTGTAGGGAAGGGATGTTGGGGAACTGGAGCCTGGGAGAAAGGCAGACAGAGGAAGAGGAAGGCTTGGGAGAAATACCGCCCTGCATGACTCATGCCATTCAACAAGAGTGCAAAAGACAAGAAAGGAATTGGGTTAATTTGAAATCACTTTCTGGTGGCTGAGCTGTTATTAGAACTTTGATAGTGGCTTTCATAACGTTCCACTCCAAACTTGATCATCTCAAAAGTGCATCTAAAACGAAAGCTTCCCCTTTGAATTCCAGACTCATATTTCAAACTGTTTGGCATGTCTACAAGAATATTCCTGGGAGATCTGAATTCATATGTGTGAAACTGAGCTTTGGCTTTCTTGCCACTCCCCTGTCTCTCTCTCCTTCCTGGGGAAGGGGAGGAAATGTGGTTTGATGAAGAATGGCATCTCTGCTGAGATATGAATTATGTGGCTCCGTGGGCTAGGAGAAGAATCTGAAGGCACCTCTGGTCAGTCACTGCCCATCTGAAAGACCCAGAGAACTGTGCCTTGAGGGCCTTAGATCATCAGTCACATGCGAGGGCTCAGGGAGGCCATGCCTATGTGAGAAGAAATCACGGTTGATGTTTGTTGCACTACGGAAACATCCAGAAGGGTTTGGGGCACCGCTCCATTAAATTAGGCCTTTCGAATATGTTGTCATAAGAGCCTTGTCTCTACATGTCTCATTTTTTAAAATCTGTGATTGAAATGGTTATGCATAGTGTTAATTTTCAAGTTCTTCTTTGCTCCTAAATATTTAATCTCTCACTTGATATTGCCTCCCCTTATTTTGTACCAATATAACCATTCCCAGTTGGAATTTTAAATAGAAGTAATTGAAACTGTATCTTGTAGCTGGGTAATAAGTCAAGAATCTGTCCATCTGTTGGCAAAGAAGGTAAGTACTGTTTACCTCTTCATTGTACCTGCCTCTTGTAATTTGGGTTGCAGACAGCACCATCTGTTTCCAAAATCCACTTATCTGCAGTCAGGCAAGAGCGTAATAACCTTCCTGGCCTGGATTCAATCTGCCCCTCATTCTGACCATCCGCAATACTCCCCCTCCCTTCTGCCTGAAAGTTTGGCCATGGGAGGCTGGGAGCCCAGGTCAGCTAGGTCAGGAGAGCCCCACCTTCCTCCTAACAAATAGGATGTGTCCTACGCCCAACAAAACCCACAAGTCTAGGAAACAAAGAGTCTGAGAAAGGACCCTGAACCCGATGAATATGAAGACATTTCTGTTGCCTGGGAGATGACTCCCTTTGTGTCCTGGGATCAGCACAGACATATTCTATAAATTTCCTCTCAATGATACTCTCATCTTGCTGATGTGCAGCATATTGAGAAAAGCCTGACATTTGATAAAACTTGGATAGCAATCCACTAAATCTGATTAACCCTTTTTAGCATGAACTGTCAATTCCTGACATTCAAAGCAGTGCTAAAAGCTTTAAGCCTGCATACAACGCATTTCCAACAGTTAATAAAATATCTTGGTTACAGGTCCGTCTCCCCAACTGGAATGGGGGGAAAGATGGGGCTTAAGCCATCTGGTGTATACTTAGCAAGCCAGAAAGAACTCTGTGAGGTAAGACAGCTGGTTAGTAGTCAGGCTAAAGAAAGGTTTTAGGAGAATTAAACTCCATCTATTCATTGAGCTGAGTCATCTATGAATGACAGTTAAATATGGGAGGATGATTTAGGAGGAGAATGTCTCCATTGACATTTGTATGATAGTTGATTCATTCTTAACCACAACATGGTTAACAATTTGGGATCATTATTTCTGCTCAATCCAGCATCACAATTGCTACTTTATCGGCATCCTATTCCACATGCTCAATTCAAAAATATGTAATAAAGAACCCTATTAGTGTGTACATGGATTTTCAGTGGTTGTTTCTTCAAGTTGCTAACTACCAATGTCGCTACCCAGTTTAGAGATGTTGTCCTAGAGAATTAACCTGTCCACAACAACTTGAATGCCAGAATTAGAGCTCTGCTATTTGTGCATATCTCAAACTCTAATAGGAAAGCCTTCTAACTCATGGAGGGCAGAATAAAAGGAATGTAAGTGGAACTGGGGGAAATCAGCAGGACATTGTCAGCAGTGATCAAAGCACGCCCATTTGTGCCTGGGCTTCTCGGCAGTGAACAGGGAGGATAGAAACCAGACAAGGCTGCTCTCCAAAGGGTTTAATAACACACAGTAAGAAACTCTGTTTCTAAGTCCATATTTTAATACTCAGAGAGTGATGAAACAGTCATCTATAAAAACCCTACTGTGTGCCAGTCACTGTGTCATGGACTGGGGACTCAAAGAAGCCTACGCCCTGGTTTCTGAACTCAAAAGTTTATAACACAGCTGGAGAGAGGAATGCACAAAGAAAATGGGTGACTCATAGCAGCATAAATGTGCCAACAGGGTGGCACGGAAATGGGAAATTCATTCCCCACCCCTCCTGCCCACAGCAGGAATCACTCATTGTAGCACTCTTTGTGTCTGAACTGAGATGTCGCTTCAGAATTTTCCCCAGCGTGGTCCTCCAGGCAGCCACTATGAATCAGTTACAGCTGTGTACAAAGACACCTGTGTGCCATCCCTGGGGTATACTGTCAGTGCTGGGAAGAAGAAGGAGACTCCTCCACAGATCTGTGTCTGCTGATATTCTTTTTTCTTTTTTTCTCATTAAACTTTTTTAATGGGTCTCAAAATTCTGTGACAAATTTTTGGTCAAGTTTTTTCCATTAAAAAGTACTGATCCTAAAAACTAATAACTTAAAACTGCCACATGCAAAAAAGAAAACCAAAGTGGTCCACAAAACATTCTCCTTTCCTTCTGAAAGTTTTACAATGCGTTGTTATCATTAACCAGTCTTTTACTACTAAACTGAAATGGCCAATTGAAACAAACAGTTCTGAGATAGTTCTTCCACCACTGATTAATAGGGGGGTGGCAGGTATCAGGGATAATATTCATTTAGCCTTCTGAGCCTTCTGGGCAGACTTGGTGCATATCTACTGGTATTCTAAAGGCCAGTCAGCACACCTCTTCTGAGCTAAGTCGGAAGCAACAGAAGGGTTTTAACCCTTGTAGCAAAATGCCTGAGCATGGAAGGATTTCCCCTAGTGGACTGTCATGATTGCTGCAGGCAACCTTAGATTCCCTGATGTTATGTGAAGTCTAGGGTATGGTTCCATCCCAGTGAGAGGTAAAGCCACTTGGACCAGGCCACTGAAGAGGGGATAGGATGAGAGGGTCTTACCTGAGTCCTCACAAATAATTCTAAAGATTGGCAGAGAGTGTAGTCTTGCTTGGAAGGGGCATTTTCACTGTCATGGCAAGCATCCCAGTGCTACCATTTGGCTGAGATAAAGCATGTCACCTTGGGACAGAAACTGGCCCTGTGGGGAGGCATGAGATGGGGGTGTTTTGACTTTGGAAAACAGATAACAACATAGCGGGGAGTAAGATGCTCACATCTTGCAGAGACTACAGGCCAGACACCACGAGAGTGAAAAGGAAATAGGTCCTTGAGATTGGCAGATGGTTATCATCAGAGCAAAAGTTATCTTTGAGAAAGAGAACAATTCACTCATGCCTTTCGTAAATACCTTCTGTGTGCCTACCCCAGGTAGACTACAAGAGCAGGCAAAATTAACCTGGATTCTACCCTGTGATGCTGACAGTCCACTAGGGGAAAGGCAGCATTCTTCACCCAACCCCACCAATAGTGACGTGTCACCACATAAAATTTTGACGTATTACTACACGTGTTTCCTATTGCTGCTGTAACAAATTCCCATAAACTTAGTGGCTTAAAACAGCTCAAATTTGTTATCTTACAATTCTGGAGGGCAGAAGTCCAAAATGAGTCTCATGAGGCTAACATCAGGGTGTCAGCAGGCTGCATTCCTTCCAGAAACTCCAGCAAAACAATCTGTTTCCTTGCCTTTTCTAGTTTCCAGAGGCTGCCTGAATTCCTGGATTCGTTCCTCCCCCCAATCTCCAAAGCTCATCCCTCCAACCATTGCTTCTGTCGTCTCATCTCCTTTTTTTCTGATTCGGACCCTCCTGCCTCCCTCTTATAAGGTCCCATTGATTACGTTTGGCCCACCCTGATAATCCAGGATAATCTCCCATCTCAAGATACTTAATCACATCTGCAAAGTCCCTTTTGCCATGTGGGGTAAATTCACTGGTTCCAGGGAATAGAATGTGGTCGTCTTTTGGGGGCTATTATTTAGCCTACGATAATTACCGTCTGTTTTTCCTTTGAGTTCCTTTTACTTCTTCCCTCCCCTCCACCACTCATGCAGCATGAAGGGCTTTTTTATGAACGCCTCCCTCGCCCTGGAGGAGCTCTAAGAAGATGAGAGGAAGCTGGGGCAAAGGATGGTCTTGAAAGCCACAGCACTGAATGGTGAGAGCTACGCCCTTGAGAGAGAAAAGGCTGATTTGAATTCCAAAAACCTTCGTTGGGAAAATCAAACCTGAAGTCTGAAGGATGAAGGCATAAAGTTAATCCATATATAATAGATTAGAAAGAGAATGTGTTTGCTTCTGTCCAAAAGGGGATAAGGCTTTGCCCAGCTGGTTATAGGAGAAAGACCAGAGGGGACTGGCATGAATTTAGAACTTGTAGGACCTTGAGAAGTCTGAAGCCCTGACCCACTGCTTAGGTCAAAACTCCAAAAGAAGGTTGGGCAATGGGAACCACTAGGTCACCACGGGACTGTGAAGCTGCCCTTGCGTTTCTCCAAGGACAGCCAGGTGTGGGTGCCTCCCCGGCCTCTCATCCTAAGGGCTTTGGAATTCCATGCACCCCACAGTGGGGCAGAAATGCACCTGAGATGTTCTCGTTTCCCTCAAGATGGGAACAGAAGGGCTGAAAAGGAATGAGAGGGCCCAAAGTCTAAGGAAAAGAGAGAAGTCAGCCTTCAGGAGCCATAACTGATGGACAAGCACAGCAGTTGGGTGGATGAGCTACATCCAGAGGAGGTCATCAATCAGGGTGGAAGCAGCCTGGCCCAGGCCGTGCCCCCAGGGCCAGGTGACACAAAGCCCCTCACCACCCCACCCACCCCAGTGTGGTGTCTGGACTGCAACCCAAAGAAGTGGGAGACAAAGAGGGAAGAGGACCCTGAGTTGCTTCAGCTTAAGCCTCGTTTTGACCACATTTAAAGCAAGAAGCCACAAGGTCATTTTTACAGAGACTGAAGTAAAATGGGAGCAGGTGATTTCTGTTTGAGAAAACACCTAAACTATGGACAGTGATGCAGAATTCTTTTCAAAGGATGTTCAGGGAAGATCCTGGTCTAGGCCCGTACAGTGAGGGTCACTCATGGGAGGTAATGTTTGGCCTGAGAGCTGCAGTCTTTTCTGTCATTTGGCAATCACCAGTTCTGTAAGGCCCCTTAATGCTTTTTGAAAGTGTTAGCCCAGTGTTTCGTGTGGGTGTAGGGGAGAGCGAGAATGAGGATGGCGAGCATTGATGGAGGATCTGCCATGGGATCGTCACTCGGCCAACCACTTCACATGCGTCATCTCAGCGACTCGCCACCTTAGGCCTATGAAGTGGGTTCTGTCATTGAGTCTGCTTTACAGATGAGGAAGCTGAGGCTCAAAGGAGCTGTCACTGCCCCAGGTCACACAGTGAGGAATTCTTCATCTTACCAGTTTGTGTCTGGAGTTATTTTTTTTAAAAGGGTCTGTCTTCACACAGTCCTGAAGAGGGAAGCTGGCCTTGGGCATCTGAGGGGGAGGCCACAGGACGAGGGGAGACCCTGAGCCAGGGATTCAAGGTTAACCTTCCTGAGCCCTGGTAATATAGTGTCCAAGGTATCTGAGCCTCAACAGTTTGCCATTCTGTTCCCCACTTCTGACATTACTGTGCCCGCTTTGGGGTAGGGGCAGCTCTTAAAGTTTCCAAAACACACACATTGCACATCTTCCCACGCACCAATTTTCTTTTTAAGATTTGGAAAAAAACAATTAAGTATTTAATTAGAAAATGATTTCCATGTTTTCTTAAGAATGTAAACAAGTATACCCAAAGTGTTTTTGTGGTTATGAATGCATTTTTTTTTTTATTTTTAACTTTTATTTTAGGTTCAGGGGTACATGTGCAGGTTTGTTAAATAGGTAAACTACACGGCATGGAAGTTTGGTGTACAGATTACTTCGTCACTCAGGTAATAAGCATAGAACCTGATAGATGTTTTTTTTCTGATCCTCTCCCTCTTCCTGACCTCCACCCTCAAGTAAGCCCAGGTGTCTGTCGTTCCCCTCTTTACATCTATGCTTTCTCTTTGTTTGTTTGTTTTTTTTTTTTTTTTTGGTTTTTGTGTGGGTTTTTTTTTTTGTTTGTTTGTTTGTTTTTAGTTTTTTGAGATGGAGTCTTGCTCTGTTGCCCAGGCTGGAGTTCAGTGGAGTGATCTTGGCTCACTGTCACCTCACCTCCTGGGTTCAAGCCATTCTCCTGCCTCAGCCTCCCAAGTAGCTGGGACTAAAGGCGCTTGCCACCACCCCCAGCTAATTTTTTTGTAGTTTTAATAGAGACGGGGTTTCACCATGTTGGCCAGGCTGGTCTTGAACTCCTGACCTCAAGTGATCCACCCGCCTCGACCTCCCAAAGTGCTGGGATTATAGGCGTGAGCCACTGCGCCCGAAGCATCCTCTTTGTTTAGCTCTAACTTGTAAGTGAGAACATGCAGTATTTGGTTTTCTGTTCCAGAGTTACTTGCTAAGGATAATGGCCTCCAGCTCCACCCATGTTGCTGCAAAGAACTTGATCTTGCTTTTTTGCCTGCATAGTATTCCATGGTGTATATGCACCACATTTTCTTTATCCAGTCTACCATTGATGGGCATTTACGTTGATTCCACATCTTTGCTATTGTGCATAGTGCTGCAAGGAACATACTCGTGTATGTGTCTTTATGGTAGAACGATTTATATTCCTTTGGGTATATACCCAATAATAGGATTGCTACATGAAATAGTAGTTCCATTTTAAGTTCTTTGAGGAATCACCACACTGCTTTCCACAATAGCTGAATTAATTTACATTCCCACCAGCAGTGTATAAGCGTTCCCTTTTCTCTGCAACCTAGCCAGCATCTCTTATTTTTGACTTTTTATTAGTTGCCATTTGACTGATGGGAGATGGTATCTCATTGTGGTTTTGATTTGCATTTCTCTAATAATCAGTGATGCTGGGTTTTTTTAATATGCTTGTTGGCTGTATGTATGTCTTCTTTTGGAAAGTGTTTGTTCATGTCTTTTGCCCACTTTTTAATGGGGTTGTTTGTTTTTTGCTTGTAAATTTGTTTAAGTTCCATATAGATTCTGGATATTAGACCTTTGTCAGATGCATAGCTTGCAAATATTTTCTCCCATTCTGTAAGTTGTCTGTTTACTCTGTTGATAGTTTCTTTTGTTGTGCAGAAGCTCTTTAGTTTAATTAGGTCTCATTTGTCAATTTTTGTTTTTGTTGCAATTGCTTTAGGTGTTTTTGTTATGAAATCTTTTCCCTTCCCTACTATGTCCAGAATGGTATTTCCCAGGTTATCTTCCAGGGCTTTTATAGTTTTAGGTTTTACATTTAAGTCTTTAATCCACCTTGAGTTGATTTTCTTATATAGTGTAAGGAAGGGGTCCAGTTTCAATCTTCTGCATATGGCTAGCCAGTTATCCCATCTCCATTTATTGGATGGGGAGTCCTTTCCCCATTGCATGTTTTTGTCAGCTTTGTCGAAGATCAGATGTTTGTAGGTGTCCGGGACTCTCTATTCTGTTCCATTGGTCTATGTGTCTGTTTTGGTACCAGTGTCATGCTGTTTTGGTTACTATAGCCTTGTAGTATAGTTTGAAGTCAGGTAATGTGATGCCTCCAGCTTTGTTATTTTTGCTTAGGATCGCCTTGACTATTCGGGCTTTTTTTGGTTCTATATGAATTTTAAAATAGTTTTTCTAATTCTGTGAAGAATGTCATTGGTGGTTTGACAGAAATAGCACTGAATCTGTAAATTGTTTGGGGCAGTGTGGCCATTGTAATGATATTGACTCTTCTATCTATGAGCATGAAATATTTTTCCATTTGTTTGTGTCATCTCTGATTTCTTTGAGCAGTGTTTCATAATTCTCATTGAAGATATCTTTTACCTCCCAGGTTAGCTGTATTCCTAAGTATTTTATTATTTTTGTGGCAGTTCTGAATGGAGCTGCACTCCTGATTTGGCTGTCAGCTTGGATGTTGTTGGTGTACAGGAATGCTACTGATTTTTGTACATTTTTGTATGCTAAAGTTGTTTTATCAGATCAAGGAACTTTTGGGCACAGACTATGGGGTTTTCTAGATATAGAATCATGTTGTCTGCAAACAGGGATAGTTTGACTTCCACTCTTTTTATTTGGATGCCTTTATTTATTTCTCTTGCCTGATTGCTCTGGCTAGGACTTCCAATACTATGTTGCATAGGAATGGTGAGAGAAGGCATCCTTGTCTGGTTCTGGTTTTCAAGGGAAATGCTTCCAGCTTTTGGCCATTCAGTATGATGTTGGCTGTGGACCTGTCATAGATGGCTCTCGTTATTTTGAAGTAACATACAAAGAGTTTAAGCATAATCAACATACAGAGACATTGAAGGAAGAATGTCATGTCCAACTGAATACCTACCACCCAAATCAACCTACCGGCTCAGACAGATGTTGTTGTTGTTGTTGTTGTTGAACCATTGAAAAGTAAGTTGCACATATCCTGATGCCTTACTGTTAAATATTTCAACTGGATCTCTTGAAAATATGAACACTGGCTGGGCGTGGTGGCTCATGCCTGTAATCCCAGCACTTTGGGAGGCCAAGGCAGGCAAATCATGAGGTCAGGAAATCGAGACCATCCTGGCTAACACGGTGAAACCCCGTCTTTACTAAAAATACAAAAAATTAGCCTGGTGTGGTGGTGGGCGCCTGTAGTCCCAGCTACTCAGGAGGCTGAGGCAGGAGAATGGCATGAACCTGGGAGGCGGAGCTTGTAGCGAGTCAGGATCGTGCCAATGCCCTCCAGCCTGGACGACAGAGCGAGACTCCATCTCAAAAAAAAAAAAAAAAAAAAGAAAGAGAAAAAGAAAATATGAACATTGAAAGTATGGATCACTATCACAGCTAAGAGTATGATGTAATTTCTTGTCTTATGTCCCGGTCATGTTCATACTTAATCTATGGCAAATGTCTTTTATAGCTCATTTGTTTTCTAACCAGGATCCCAACAAGTTTCACGGACTGCATTTCTTTGTTATATCTTTAAATTGAAATTGCCCCTTTACTTGGTTTTAATGACATTGACTCTTTGAAAAGATAATTCCAGTTGTCTTGAAAAATATTCCATGTTCTAGGTCTGATTATTTCTTTGAGGTTTTGCTTAATTTTTTCTTTATCCACGGACTGCCAAGCTTTTATAAGTCATGTTTTCATATGTACATATTTTTATAATCTTTGTAATTTATTTATAATTATAATAAAAAGGATAAAAATTTACTCTGATCCAGGTAATTGTGCAAAGTGTGTTGCATGCATTACCTGATAGAATCTTCACAGAAACTTACAAGGAACACATCCTGACACTTTTAATATATCCATTTTGCAAATGAGGACACTAGTCTTTCAAGTGTTCAGTCATTTTCTTAAGGCCACAGGGTAAATGGTTAGACCAGGATTTTGACCTGTTTCTGTCTCTCAAGCCCAAGCACACTGTAAGCCTCACACTTGTATTGCTCTTAAAGTCATGTCTTAACCTTGCTAGCCTCCTAGCACAGGGCCCAGTGCCTCTGCCTCAGTACAGATTCAGAAACAGGACTGCTGAGTGAATATAGCCTTCTGCTAAATTCTATAATGTTCTGGATTTCTTTTATTATTTCCTGTGATGTTGTCTATGTTCTCTCATCCACTAAATTTGCTGTAAACTGACAGTTAGGTCAAAGGGCTTTGTTAGATTCTGGTTAAACATTTTTGGCAAGAATGCTTCAAAGGCGATACCGTGTGGGTCACGTTGCATCACATCAAGAGATCTAGGATGTCAGCCTATGTCCCTATTAGTGATGCTAAGTCCGACCACTGGTTAAAGGGTGGCCCTGGGATCTCCCCCTGTAAAGGCTGGATTCCCCACTGTGAGTAGTCAGCAATCCACATGGGATACTTTGGCACTATGCAAATATTCTTTTCCCCAACGTTTCTGAATGGTTTTAGCATCGTTCAAGTCTCCTTGCTTATATCAGTCATTTCCTCGAGGACTGTAAAATGGTGATTTGCAACTTTCATCATAATTTCTACATTTATTAGCCAGCATTCTTCTGAAAGGAGAGCTTGCTAGCATAAACTGGAGATAAAGATCATTTCTCAAAAAATGCACAGTTCATGCTTTTTCCCCTTCAATTACCAATTTTCAGAGCAAAGAGTTAATGTAAAGCCACTAGAAAACTTATCCCCCTCCACCAGCCCCCCTCTCATGGTGTACCACTTGGAGGACTCATATATTTTTATGTATTCTATGAATTAGTCTTTTTTTTTTTGAAGTTCAGCTTGTCTCCCTCTATCTCATTTAACCAGTAGAGCCCCAGTCATTTTAGTAAGACCCCTTTAGCCTTTGAGTATTTCCATGTTTTTTGGATCAAAATGATGTCCCAGGCTTACCATCCATCTTTCTTATCTGAAATCATTATTATCTGCCCCAAGAATCCTTATTTCCTTTTAGGGGAAAATGGTATTTAGAAACCAAGGTCTGGGTGTTAGATAGTTTTGTTGCTACTGAAGAGTCAGTCTCTAGGCTCTCTCAGAAGGCGAAGGTAGGATTTTATTTTTAAAAAGCCTGAGTTCATATTGCTATTCCAATTCAAATTAAACATTATAGGGTTTTGTTTTTAACCTTTTAGACTTTATAGTTGTACTTCTTTTCCCATATCATGAATATCTTAGTTTCTAATAACATTAATGTATTTACTATTTACTTTATCCTACAATGTAGATTAAACTGTTTCAAAATTACAATACCAATATAATTTCTACTCATGAAATCACTAAGGAACATTCAAACTTTCTTTGTTGTTCTTTTTGTTGAGGTGATAACTCTCACCATGTGCTGGCCGTCTCGAGAGAGTCACATCTAAATGTGACCAGTGATAGCTCACTTCTGCAGATTTTTTTTTTAACCAACTTGAAGTCTAGTTAGTTTCGTTGATTCTATTTGAATTTTCTTTTTAGATTTTCTTTTTTTTTTGCCTTTTAGGATTAAATTTTACTTTTTGTATATATAAATCGTTTTCAGGATTCAAAGACATGACTGTATAAAAGGTATTATTTGAGAATTCGCGTTGCCTTTCTACCAGCCCCACCGTTAGTCCACTTTCCTGCCTCTGTGGGCAGCCACTTCCATTCATTTCTAGAAATTCTTGGGGGGTTTCTTTTAATTTTTCAAAAGTAGGCAAACACACGTATCATTTTTATTTCCTCTTACTTTTTATCCCCAAAGTAGTATTTTAGATATCCTGTTCTGTGCCTTGCTTTTTTTCATGGAACGACATATGCTTGACATCATTTCAAATCAATCCAGAGAGGTCTTCCTACTACGTTTTTTCATGGCTGCAGGCTCTGTCGTCATTTATTCAGCTAGTCTCTTGTTCATGGCATTGGGATTGATTCTAATTACCTGCTATTGCAAAAGGCAGCACAATTAATAAGCTTGACCATATGTGCTTTTGTATTTGTGGAAGTTTATTTTCAAGGTAGCTTTTTAGAGAGGAGATAGTCTGGTCAAGGACAAATACAGTAGGTTTGCTGGCTAACGCCACATTCCGCTGCATAGCATTCATATAATTGTGTGTTCCTACTGGAAATATATAAAAGCTTATCTGTCCACAGACTTTCCAACAGACTGTGTTTTACAATGTCTGCATTTTTTAAATGATGGGTAAAAAATGACATTTCAGGGTAGTTTTAGTTATCTTTTTTTTTTTTTTTTTTTTTTTTTTGAGTCGGAATCTCGCTCTGTCGCCCAGGTTGGAGTGCAGTGGCGCGATCCTGGCTCACTGCAAGGTCCGCCTCCCAGGTTCACGCCATTCTCCTGCCTCAGCCTCCAGAGTAGCTGGGACTACAGGCGCCCGCCACCACGCTCGGCCAATTTTTTGTATCTTTAGTAGAGACAGGGTTTCACCATGTTAGCCAGGATGGTCTCGATCTCCTGACGTCGTGATCCACCCACCTCAGCCTCCCAAAGTGCTGGGATTACAGGCATGAGCCACCGCACCCAGCCAGTTATCTTTCTCTTATCAGGACTGAGGCAGAGCCTATTTTTATATATCAAGTGGCCATTTACCTTTCTTTTAATCTAAACTCTGTGTTTGGCATCTATTTTCAAAATCAGGTTTATGAATCTTTTATTCTTGTTATTTTAGAAAACTTTTTATATGCTAAGATATTAACCATTTGCCTTGGGTTTAAGATGGAAATGCTTTCTCCCAGAAAACACAGAAGTAGAATGTAAAAATCACATGAATTTTGAACATAAAATATGAAATGTAAAGAGCTTTCTTTCTTAGGATCCTTGGAGCCGTGGCTTTTGAGAGCATTGGAGAGGAAGGGCAGATTGTGCTTTCTAATTTGGACCTCGTTGTAATAAATGATAATAATAGCTACCATTTATTGAACACTTCTTATGAGCCTCGTGCTAAGCTAAGCACTTTATGTTAAATTCTCCCACCAACTCTATGAAGTAGGCAGTATGATTCCCTTTTTACCAGTGAGGGAACTGAGGCACACAGACAATTTAGGGCACATGTCCAAGGCCACCCAGCTAGCAGAGGATGGCGATGGGATTTGAACCCCAGTTAATTTAACCCCTAACCTGAAGCCCTTAACCTCTGGGCTATTTGCCTCCTACTTCTAAAGGGAAGCCTTAGATCAGAATGACCATTTTCCAATAAAAGCACTTGCCAGAGTCCATCTGTGTTCACATAGCAGCAGCTTGTCCAAGCGTCATGGTGGAGAAGAGAAAAGGAACCACCCTTTGGGGAGCCAGAAACGTGGCCCTGGAGTTCAGAGGACAGCAAGCTGTCTTGAAAACTCAGACAAGGCCACGGTTCCCAGGTGATCTGGTGCTAAGGAGGATAAGGAGCTGTGGGGTCCGCGGGTCCAGCTGTGGCTGTGATTCCCTGAGCAAGGTCTTCCCCACAGAAGCATGTTCAGAGGTGGGGGCACTGGAGGATCTGGAAGAGGATGAGATTTTGGGGGCTTTTCTTTTTCCTCTGTACATCCTTTATTGGGCCTCTTAGGGATGAAAAGCCAGGCCATGGGGCTAACCAGCCTGGTCTGAATCCTGCTTCCCCATTCTGTGGCTCTGGTCTTGTGCCTCTGACTTAATCCTGGGTATCTCAGTCTCCCCATTCATAACCGGTGGAAATAACACTGTCGCTTATGCTTCAATCGGTATAAATTATATCGATATAAATAGCCTCACACTGCTACCTGAATCATAGCAATTGGCCAATAAAGGCTTCTCATTATGTTTTTTTTTAAATTTTGTTTAGTAAGTGAACTTTAAAATGTTGCATAGACTAGAGCAGCCACTGAAGCACAGCTACCCTTCCCACATGCCATTAGGCACAGTACTCCTCCCCAGGCCCTGGAGGGTAAGAACGATGGCTCTTTCTCTTGACCACTGATGGGGTGTCCACACCTGTTCTTGCCCTCAGTTGTCACAGTCACCCAGGGCTGTGTGTGGGTATTGTTATTTTTATTCCTATTTTAAAAGTGATTTTCCCTCATCACAAAGGGTATGACTGGCAGACCCAGTTCTCCTGTTTCCAAAGCAAAGCTGACTCTAGATAGTTAAGATCCATATTCATATCCCAAGATCATTTCCCAGGGTCTTATTTAGTGCTAGTCAGCGAGGCTCCGGGAAATGTACTTACGTTATCACATTTTATTCCATGTTGACAAAAATATGGAGGCAGGAAGCATTTTTGCCACTACACTGCAAGTTGGACTCCATTTTTATGAGAAAAACGAAGTCAGCAAAGCTGAGTGACTTGCCCAAGTGAAATAGCTAACAAGGGCAGGAGGTGGGATTTTAATCCTAGGTGGGCTAATCCCAAGTCTACTATTCGTTCTTCCTTTTTGCCATTTATTCATTTGTTGATTGAATAGTTTAGTGAATAATTTTAAGGCAAATAATGTTGCAGCCATCACTGCGATCATGAACTTGTCCAGTCACCCCCTTTCAACCCTAGACCCTTGCTTGCTCTAAAAGTCACCACTCTCTAATGTTTAAAGTAATCACGTCCTTGGGATCCCTTATGTTTTTGTCACCTGCATTATCTTCAGATATTACCAATTAATCTTGCCCATATTTTGAAACTTGATTTTTTTTAAGTTTTCAGTAATCCATATTCTTTTTTCTTTTCCTACAATTTATATGGAGAAGAACCCAGGCTGTTTGACTTATAGTTTCCCATAGATTGGGCTTTGCTGATTGCAAGATCCTGGTGTGGTTCATCATGTTCCTGGGCCTCTATATTTCCTGGAATTTGTCAGCTGGATCTCAAAGCTAGGTCAGACTCAGGTTGGAACATTTTGGCAAGTCTACAGGTTGTGTTCCTTTATCAGGAGAAGAGAGGGTCTGATTTATGGTCTTTTTAAATGTTAGCAGCCATGTTGCTTAATGCCTGTATCCATTAATTCCCTGGGCGTTACAGAACACTGATGTTCTCATTCCATCATTTCATTTCATTCTATCATTTCATTTCACTAGAATAATTTTATTTATTTAGTTAGTTATATATATATATATTTTGAGATGGAGTCACTCTCTCTCGCCCAGGCTGGAGTGCAGTGGCACATTCTCGGCTCACTGCAACCTCCGCCTCCCAGGTTCAAGCAATTCTCCTGCCTCAGCCTCCCTAGTAGCTGGGATTACAGGGGCCACTGTGCCTGGCTAAATTTTTGTATTTTTAGTAGAGACGGAATTTCACTGTGTTGGCCAGGATGGTCTCGATCTACTGACCTCGTGATTCGCCCGCCTCAGCCTCCCAAAGTGCTGGAATTACAGGCTTGAGCCACCGCACCCAGCCTCACTGGAATAATTTTATAAGAAGATGCTTTCTTCTCCCACTGTTTGGTTATCAGTGGCATAGTTCTTAAAGAAAAGGCAAAGTAAATGCTTGATTCTTTTCTCTATTTTTTCCCAGCTTCCAAGATAATGAATTGGTTCCTGTCATTTTCCAAAGGTGACAAGTTAATTGTTTAAAAAGTCATTGCAAATTCATAGATATAAACATATTTATTGGAGTTCAATCCATTGCAATTCTCATTCATAACAAAGCCCTCTTTACTTGTTCCACATTTAGCCAGAGGAATTAGTCTTACAAGCTTCCTTACTACATTACTGTGTTTTCACAGTGCTGATAAAGACATACCTGAGACTTGGCAATTTACAAAAGAAAGAGGTTTAATTGAACTTACAGTTCCATGCGGCTGGGGAAGCCTCACAATCATGGCCAAATGCAAAGAGAAGAAAGTCACGTCTTACATGAATAGCAGCAGGCAAAGAGAGAGAACTTGTGCAGGGGAATTCCTCTTTTTAAAACCATCAGACCTTGTGAGACTTATTCACTGTCATGAGAAGAGCACAGGAAAGACCTACCTCCATGATTCAATTACCTCCCAGTAGGTCCCTCCCACAACACATGGGAATTCAAGATGAGATTTGGGTGGGGACACAGCAAACCATATCCCTTACTATCTAGTATTATGTGATGTTCCAGATTCATCTTATACATCTCTTGCTCCAGACCTGGAATCAATTATTTCTCTAAGCTCTTGTTTCTTTTATTGGAAAGTGATATTTCAAGACCACAATCTGGGTTCTTACAATTTTCATTGCTACTGGATGTTCATAGTTACAATGGACAGAGTTGGGCTATATCAATAGATGATAGATAGACAGATAGATAGATAGATAGATTTCTCACTCCCCACTGCAAGTAAAAATAAAATAACTTGTAAGTTCATACTGATATTTTAAAATTACATTCAAAGTTACAGGGTTTTGAACTCTGTTACATTGAAATTCCCCCCGGCCTTTTTTTTACACTAAGAGTATTGGTTCTAAAGGACAAAGGAGATGGTAAAATTAGAATACCTATAGTTACTCACTTGTTTCATCTTATTTACACATACTAGAGTCAGATGGTAATTATTCTGCAGTCAAATGATCTACCCCTCAGCTATACCCCCTTGTTAGATGGTAAGTATTCTAATACTATCATCACCAGTTATCATCATTGAAAACATTTTAATTTTTTTATTTTGCTTATATTCTACCTATAGCCATTACACACTATGATATTTCCCTTTCAGCTTTTATTGAGTCTTCATTTACAAGGAAATATATATGTAATGCACACTGCCAGTCCTCAGGCTGAGACTCTCGGGTCATTTTGACTGTCTGAAGTATGTTCTTTACTAGTTCCTTAGGAAGATCTCACTTAAACAAGATTCCTTGAGTTTTTTACATTGGTAACCATTTACCTGTGCTCTTTGTACTTGAAGATAAACTTTGTCAGATGTAAAATCCTGACTTATATTTTCATTTCTTAAATATCTTAAATGTGCTACTTCATTTTCTTCTGGCACAAAATGTTCTGAAAAAAGAATCATCTGCTAATAATCTATGTTTATTTTCCTTTTAAATTGTATTTTCTTTTTTGGCTGTATATCCAGAGGATTTTTCCTTTTTTAAAAAAAATAAGTGTAGTGATTTCACTGGAATATATCTTCTTATTGGTTGTTCTGTGTTGATATTCTCAGGCAAATAGTGTGCTGCTTTGGCAAGTGGTTTTATATATCTTTATTTCAAGAAAGTTTCCTTGCATTAGAGTTTGTATTATTTATTCTATATCTTTCCTTCAGTTTTCTTCTTTAGGGACTACTCTTATCTGTTGGATCTTCTTTGTCTATCTTTAATCCTTTATGCATTATCTTCAATTTAAAAAATATATATTTTTTATGCATTTCTTTTTTTTTAATTTTAAGACTGTATTTTTCACCTACCTTTTTTTTTTTTTTTTTTTTTTTTGAGATGGAATCTCGCTCTGTTGCCCAGGCTGGAGTGCAGTAGCACAATCCTGGCTCACTGCAACCTCTGCCTCCAGGGTTCAAGTGATTCTCCTGCCTCAGCCTCCTGAGTAGCTGGGACTACAGGCATGCAACACCACATCCAGCTAATTTTTTTGTATTTTTAGTAGAGACGGGGTTTCACCATGTTGGTCAGGCTGGTCTCGAACTCCTGACCTCAAATCATCCACCCACCTTGGCCTCCCAAAGTGCTGGGATTACAGGCATGAGCCACTGTGCCTGGCCTTCACCTACTATTTTTAATAAGACATTATTTGTTTGGTTATTTACTCTTGCATTCCTTCTAGTTTAATGCTAATTTCTAATTACGTTTTAAAGTTTGTATTTCTAATTGTTTTTTGAGTTCTGTTACCTCATTCCGAGTTTTTCTAGTTCTGATTTATGTTGTTCTTTTGTGCCATGTGTTGTTTTCTTAATGTCTTAGCACATTTTGAAATGGTTTTGTTTTTTCTTAGTATGGCTTTTTGGAGTGCTTTCATGGTGGGGAGGTTACTCTGCTCCATAATATATTTTTCCTTACTGTACCTTGGCATGGGATTTGATCTTGATAGTAATCTGTTGTCATTCTTTACATGAAGTTAGTTTTTCTGAACTTCTAGAAGGTGGCTTGTTCCAATACAGCTTTTCTAACTTCTGCTGTTTTCATATGGTGTTCAAATACGACTGCTTACTTTTTGATATTTCCTGGCTCTGTGTCCTCCACGTCTACAATTTTATCTCACTTTCCATTTCTATTATCCCTGGCTCCCTTTCCTGCTCAATTTTGATTGCACTTCTAACAGCATATTCTCTATTTGAAGCTCTGTCCTAGAGGTTCCTAAGAGTCAGTTTCAAGATTCATCAGAGCTAGATAGCCTCAGATTCTTCTTAATCCCTGTCTCTTGCCATTGCTCATTATTGGAACAAGCCAAATCTCTCCACATTTCAACCACTGTTCTCAGATTTTCACACTGTGCTTACCCATGAATACCTGCTGACCTTGTTGGGGTCCCCCTGTTCTCAAGTCTTCCTTCCACTTTCTCCCGTACTGACTCCAAAAGTCTGGCAACCACTGGAGATTTTTCTCCATTTGCTTGCATTTTTGAAATTGCAGGAATACCTTGTTATCTAGTTTTCCTGTAAATTTTGTCCATGGGTTTTGATTTGCTATGTAGTTGCTCTATGTGTTTTTATGTGGAGATTCTGGAAAATTCAAAAGCTATGTCCCCGACAGCTTCTCTGAATTGCATTCTTTCTTTTGAAAAAAAAAATAAATTATACATTATTTAAAATGCACAAAAATGTAGAGAATAAGATAAATATTGTACAATCACCATCCTGCTTAAGAAGTAAAGCATCACAAATATAGTAGAAACCTGCCGGGGATCCCTCTTCAATCACTTTCCATAGCTCACCATGCCAATCCTCACCACTCCCCAGAGGCAGCCAGTCATTGATAAAGAAGTCGTGGTATATTCATGGAATGGAATATACAGCTTTTTTTGAAAAGGAATTGCTTAAACCACAGGTATCCACCTAGATAGATTTCAAGAACTCCCGTGCTCTTTCCACAATCAAATGCACATTTCTATTTAGATAGATAGATAGATAGATAGATGATAGATAGATAGATAGATAGATAGATAGATAGATAGATAGATAGATAGACATTAAATATATATATATTTATATATATATATATGTATGTATGTATTTTTTTTTTTTGAGACGGAGTCTCGCTCTGTCCCCCAGGCTGGAGTGCAGTGGCGCGATCTCGGCTCACCGCAAGCTCCGCCTCCCGGGTTCACGCCATTCTCCTGCCTCAGCCTCCCGAGTAGCCGGGACTACAGGCGCCCACCACCACGCCCGGCTAACTTTTTGTATTTTTAGTAGAGACGGGGTTTCACCGTGTTAGCCAGGATGTTCCCGATCTCCTGACCTCATGATCCGCCCGCCTTGGCCTCCCAAAGTGCTGGGATTACAGGTGTGAGCCACCACACCTGGCCACACATTTCTATCTTAACTGGGCAGAATGTAGCTGCTTTTATATCTCATTCACTGAAAGTTCTGTCTGTCTGTGTGGGAAGCTGATGACCTTACCAGTGACCAGAAATTTCCACCAGGAAGTCCTTCCAGTGCCAGCTAATTCTTCTGTAGGCATTTTTCCCATTCGAAACACAGACTTCTCTTACACTTCACGGCTTGTAATTTTCACAGGTTAATATGCTTTGCACCAAGAAAAAACATAATTACTTTGCACTAAGCTGTAAGGAGCTGTACCAACTCAAGAACATAATTATTGCTGTGTTGTGAGCACAGTGGAGTTGATTCTTATTTGTAATCCTGAGTTATTATGCTGCAAGTCTGCAAAATTATTTAGACAGAAATAATTATACCCAATGTAGTCAGATTCAGAGAATCACAGATTGCAGTAAATTAGGAAGCCTGATCCTAAATATATATATTATGTTATCTTGTTTTCGCTCTCTCTTTCCCTGAGTCATTTATCCCTTTCCTTGCAAGTTTTTGATTCACTTAACTGCTTGTCTTTGAAGGTTTTTTTTCTCTTTTCCTAGCATCTTTTAATAAGATGCAAATGATGAGCATCACAGGAAGCCAGTCCATCCTCGGCTGCCTGTCTTTTATGAGCGTATGTGATTGTGTAGTTCCTCACCCACACCCTGGACATCTACCCCCTACTCAGTCAAGCTTAGAGACTCACATAAAAAGCAATTATCAAACAACTTCTAACGTGGGCAAGCTCAACTCAGCAGTAAACCTTTAAGAGTTTGCAGGCCACGTGGTGCAATAGCAAGACCACTGGGCTTGGGCTGTTCCGAAAACCTGCATGTTTGTTCCATCACTTGCAGCCGGGCTAATTTGTGCAAATGCTTTTACTTTTCTGAACACCACTTTCTTTATCTGTAAAATGTAGTTGGCAAGATCAGCCCTACCTAATTCAGAGTGCACACTGTGTACTTTGTAAGGTATTGAATATGATTAAGGAAATCGACAAGCAAGACTTTTTTCTGGGATGACCTCAAAAGTCAGCAAAAGGCAACCAAATCGACATGCATTTGAACAGGGTTTTATTTAACTCAGTTTTTCTCAATTCTGGCTGTTCTAGAATCTTCTAAGAAAGCTCTAAATGATGAGGAATGCCTTGGCTTCACCACAGGGATTCTGACTTAAGTGGTTTGGAAAGAGGGCAAAGCGCTGTTTTTAAAAAGCTGCTGCAGGTGGTTGTAATGTGCACTCAAGACCGAGATGCTTTGACTGCTTGGCTCAGCTCTAAGGTGATCTAACTTTTACCTTGCCGTGATTTAATCCTCTTTAAAAGTATTGCTGACCCTGCTGCTGGTTTTGAATAATTATAAATTTGTGCTCCCCAAATACAGTTCTGCTAAGAATCATCCCAAAAGGTATTTAAAAGTAGAGATTTCTACACAAGCCTAGGTCTACTGAATCAGAATCTCTAGGAACAAAGACCAGAAATCTGAGTCTTTTTAATAAGCACCACAGCTATAAATGATTATCTAGATGCCAGCAGGGCCTGTTTTGCTATTTGTGGAGGGATTGTTTATCAAGAAAAAAAATGAGCTCAGATCTAGGTTTCTCCTTTGAAAACCAAACAATGTAGATGAAATTGAATGGGCTAACTGAGTCCATGCTAAGTCATTTTATATCTCATTTTCTTCCAAGAATCTTTCCTTATTTAATGTGGCTTTATTGAACACCTGAGTACCTACACTGTGCAGACACCTTGCAGGTCCTTGCCAGAAAACATCAGTAAATCAGATATGACCTTTTCCTCATAGGAGCCTGATGGAGAATTAGTGATCAAAGAACATTGGAAATATTCTTATTTTTTTTTTCATTTGGGGGATTTTCAGAATAAATAAACACATAAAACATTTTTAATTTCTTGAAAATGCATATTGTTTGATGCTTCCATATATCTCTAGTTCTGAGCAGTGTGGAGTCACTTTTCTAGCCATGATGAGCTTAAAGCATCCACCTCACTGAATTCCAAAGAACGCCGCTTCCTGTCATCTAATCTGCACATCCAAAGGCGGAAGTGCGTGATTACTGTGTGGGCGCCGTCTACCTCTGCTCTCCTGAGAGTTATGGAGGAAATGCTCTCATCAACACTCCTTTTGCAAATGCTCCAGCTGCACGAAGGGTTGACTTACGTCCATCCTTTTAAGTCATCTTCTAAAGAGCCAAGATCGCAAGGAAAAAGAGAAGGAAAATTTTACTTTACAGAAAGTGTTTTAGTAAATGAGAATCTGTAACAAGGTTTTAAATATCAAATCTGATCTTCCCTTGCAATATAACATTGGAAAAACTTGTGGTATTTGCAAAGGGGTTACAAGATTACAGCAAGGCCATTGCTGTCATTCATGAGATGCCCAAGTCCTTTTTAAGAACAAGCTTACGTGACCAGGTGTTAAAAGCAGTCCAGTTCACTGCTCTCTCCCAAATTTTGGATTTTAATGAATCTCAGCTATCTAAGACTGAGTTAATGGCCCAAAAGATAATCATTCATTCATTTATTCATTCAACAAATATGTGTCCTGTATGCCAGCCCTTATTACAGGCTATAGCAGAGGGTTGCCTTCACTCAGCATTCCTGCTTCTGAATGTGTACTGAGGCAGAAGCATTGGGCCCTGTGCTAGGAGTCTCCGTAAGTTAACACATGAGTTCACCCTCCAAGGGAGATACAGGTGTGAGGTTTATAGTGTGCTTGGGTATGGCAGACAGAAAAAGGTTAAAATCCTGGTCTAGCCATTTACTCTGTAGTCTTAAGAAAGTGACTGATCACTTTAAAGGTCAGTGCCCTCATTTGCAAAATGGATATAATAAAAGTGTCAGGATGTCTTCCTCATAAGGTGCTGTGAGGATTCCACAAGGCTGTGCATGTAATGTGTGTAGCACAGCATCAGGCTCCAGGTGAATGTTCCATAAATATAGCTTCCTCGTTCTGATCTTTTTACAGGAGACTGAAAGCCACAGAGTCTCTGGAGAATGGTCAGTATCCCCAGATGATCACAGTTCAGGTGACAAATAGGTTTCATCACTCCTGCCAACTCCAGCTGATTGACAGGACATTCCAGGAGAACTATTCAAAGAAAAAATAATTTTTGAATATTGTATTGAGGTTGACATTTGATGTCTCAGAAAAGGAATTGCTTAAAATCTGAGTCTAGTGGACCAGAGAAGTTGTTTCCTGTGGTTTCTTCAGACTTTTTTATTTTCCGAGTAGATTTGGGACAGAAGTATATGGCAAGCTCTAGAAACTTCAGCCATCTAGGAAAGCATCCTACCTCTTTTTCCTCCCAATTGTCATTCTCCCTTTGTAGGTGCTTGATTTGTTGGAGATAATGATAGGTGAATGAAATCAATTACAAGTTTTTCATGTTGAGATTCCCGTGTGAACAATGAGTTCTCATGTTGTTAGTACGGGAACCACAAGGTAGCAACAGACCCTGTCCCCACTGCCATCTTCTCTGGGAGTGTTTCTTGGTACATCTGTCAGGCAGGTGATGGGAGCAGGTAGGGAGAGGAGCTCAGCCTTCCAAGGTTTGCCGGTGGTTCTGTCTCTAAAGTTGCCGTTAACTGAAACCCATGAGGGAGGGCTCAGGGGATGTACCTCTGAGTATAAAGCAGCCCCTCCCAAGTATCCTCATATGCAATTAGTACTCAGTCCCCCTGCTCCCTTGACTTCCCCTTCCCATCCCTAAGCAATTGTTAACCTACTTTCTGTATTTCTAGATTTGCCTATCCTAAAAACTTTATATAAATGGAATCAGACAATATATGGCCTTTTGTGACTGGTTTCTTCCCCTTAGGATGTTTTTAAGGGTCATCCATGTTGTGGCATGTACCAGCACTTCATTCCTTTTTATGGTTGGTTAATAGTTTATTGTATGGATAACCCACATTTTGTCTATCCATTCAGCAAATGAGAGACCTTTGGTCCAGCCAATTACTAGTCAAACAAAGCTGCAGGGAACATAGCAGTCTGTGCACATGTGCCATTTTATCTTTAAAATAATAATATAGCATTGGAATGTCAAATTCAAAGGTTACATGCATTCTGACTTTTAATAATGTGGCCAGATTACCATCTACTACTTTCCAGAGGAACGTAATATCATGGCAATAATAGTGAGTAAACAGGCTGAACTGTGTCCCTCCAAATTCATTTGTTGAAGTCCTAACCCCCCGTAGCTCAGAATGGGACTGGATTTAGAGCCAATGTCTTTAAAGAAGTAATTAAGGTACAATGAGGTCATATGGACGGGCCGTAATCCAATATGGTGGATGCCTTTATAAGAAGAGGAGATTGAGAGGCAGACAACACAGACTGAGGTATGACTGTGTGAGGACATGGCAAGAAAGCAGCCATCTGTAAATCAAGGGAAGTGGCCTCAGAAGAAAACAAAGCTGCTAGCACCTTGAACTTGGACTTTCAGCCTCCAGAACTGCAAGAAAACAGATTTCTGCTGTTTAAGCTACTCGGTCTGTGGCACTATGTTATGGCAGCCCCAGCAAACTAATGCAGGGGGCATCTTTATCATAACTTAACTGGATTGCTTCTTGTATTTTCCCCACTCGCCGGATGCTAGCTTTTGGTTGTACAATGTAGAAAGATTTCCATGATGTCTTAGTTTATTAAGAAGTATTTGTATTGTAAAAATTGGATATGAACTTTTTCGTGTATGTACTTTGCCATCCATGGAGAAGGTCATTTGATCCTTCTTTGATTAATTAATATCTTGCATTATATGAGTGGATTTGCTATGTCATGTTATCCATAAATTCTTGGGGAAAAAACACACTTGATAGTAGTAGATTTCAGTTTTTGTAACAAGTTACTGGAATCTATTGCTAATATTTAATTTCAAATTACTGTATCAATATTTATAAGTGAAATTGCCCTAGTCTTCTGTCATATCTTTGATATGTCATGTTATCCATACATCCTTGGGAAAAACACATTTTATAGTAGTAGATTTCATTTGTATAATAAGTTGCTGGAATCTGTTGCTAATATTTAATTTCGAATTACTGTATCAATATTTTTAAGTGAAATTGCCCTAGTCATCTGTATTGTTTTGTTTTGCTGTGTTTGACAAGTTTTGTTTTCCATGTTACTCTGGCTTTGATAAAGAAGTTTGATTATGTGTATTTTGAAGTTTTGACAAAATTTGCCTCTGAGACTTCTTGATAATTCTGTTTCTTTCCTGGAAACTTATCGACTTTGATGTTCTGTATCTTTGTTTTCTATTGCTGCTGTAACAAATTATCACACTTTCATAGCTTAAAACAGAGCCCATTTACGATCACACAGTTCTGTAGACCACATTTCAGGTAGACTCAACTGGGTCGTCTTCTTAGGGTTATGCCAAGCAGAAATCCAGGTGTCAGCCAGCTGGGCACTTACCTGAAGGCTCTGGGAAATAATCTGCTTAAAACCTCACTCAGGTTGTTGGCAGAGCTCAGTCCCTTGTGGCTGTAGGACTGACAGCCCCATGTCCTTGCTGCCTGTCAGGGCTCTCTACTCTGTGCTCCTAGAGGCCACCTGCATCCCTTCTTGTGTGGCTCCTTCCATCTCCACACCCATAATGGTGCACTGAGTTCTTGCACTTCAGATCTGACTTTCTTCTACCACCAGCTGGAGAAGGTGCTCTGCTTTTAAGGGTTAATGTGATTAGATGACCCAAAAGCTCTGTATTTTAAGGTCAACTGTGCCATGCAAGAGGACATCATGATGGGAATAATATTTCATATTTACAAATATTTACATCATATTTACAAATATTTCATCATAATTTAAGATCAACTGTGCCATACAAGAGAGCATCATGATGGGAATAATATTTCATATTTACAAATATTTACATCATATTTACAAATATTTCATCATATTTACAAATTCCAGGGATTAGAGTGGAGTATCTTTGGTAGGGGTTGGGGAGTGTTTTAGATATGCGACCACAGTCTTCTAGGGCTAATGTTGGTAATTTTATGCTTTCCAATTGGAAATCCATTCCATCCAGGTATTTAAGATTTATGCATAGTGTTGATGAAGTATACTTCCATAACAATTATTTTTATCACATTGTACTTGCTTTTAATTTTTCACTCCCATTTCTGATTTTTTATATTTATGCTTTGTCCTTTTTTCTTAACTATGCTAGCTAGGCTTTCTCTCCCCCACTGCAAAGAATCATCTCTTAAAGTTAATTGATTAGTTTTCACCGGGTGCAGTGGCTCACACCTGTAACCCCAGCACTTTGGGAGGCTGAGGCGGGCAGATCACGAGGTCAGTAGATCGAGACCATCCTGGCCAACATGGTGAAACCCCGTCTCTACTAAAAATACAAAAATTAGCTGGACGTGGTGGCGCCTGCCTGTAATCCCAGCTACTTGGGAGGCTGAGGCCAGAGAATAGCTTGAACCAGGGAGGCCGAGCTTGCAGTGAGCCGAGATCACACC
This sequence comes from Homo sapiens, assembly GCF_000001405.40. Lineage (NCBI taxonomy): Eukaryota > Metazoa > Chordata > Mammalia > Primates > Hominidae > Homo > Homo sapiens. The sequence goes on along the minus strand of NC_000010.11, from coordinate 127,501,878 downwards.
ACCGCACTCCAGCCTGGCAACAGAGCGAGACTCCATCTCAAAAAAAAAAAAAGTTAACTGATTAGTTTTCTGATTCCATATTTCCAATACATTCATTCCTCCTTTTGAGTTTTTATAGCTCACTTATGTGTGCCTGTTTCCATGTGACCACACTGTCTTTTATTTTTTTGCTATCACAGAGAAGTGCCTGTTTACTAGTATGTGCTGTTTCAGGGCATAACTCTTTCATTTGTGTATTTTGGTCCTACATTTGATTTTTATCAATTTGATAAATTTGGTCCTACATCTGATTTTTATCAAATGTTCTTTTTATCCTTTTGTTTTGCAGTTTTACTTCTGAGACCCATACAGATTCCTTTTTGGTGCTTCTCATCTTTGAATGAGTGTTTTCAAGCCAGGCATTTGCCCAGCTACAGCACAGAGGTTGTGCCAGGAGAGTGAGTTTGGATGGGGACTGAAGAATATCGATTGTCCTATTGCTGGGCAATCTGCCCTAGAGAGGCATCTCTGCTTTGAGCAAGCAGGGGGCTTGCCTGGCTCACAGAGGAGCCCAGTATGTAAAGGCCTTCCTGGCACAAACTTAATGTTTCTATCGTTTCGACTGCCTGAGATCAAGAGTTGCAGACCTGATCATCACCAACTGTCTTTCTTCTACTCTGACACTCATACAAGAAGCATCTTGCAAAGACACTGTGTCTGCTTGGGTCCTCATTCAGCACTGCATCAACTGACACTCTGCAGTGTCACCACATGATCAAGGATGTTCCACCAGAACCCATCACTCCAAGCAAGGTATTTCTGGCTTGGTCACTTGATATCACAGAGCTCAGCTTACTGCTTAATATCTGCAGAGTCCACGCCCTGTCTTGGCCTCTACACTGCATTCTCCTGCTGCTGAATTCGGGAGCACACAGGTGTGTATCCCCCGACAAGCAATGTTTGCATCCTGGCAAAGGGAAAGGTCTCTCTCTGGAAAGCTATTCATTTCACAATAAACCAAGACAACATGTCCCAAAATGTTGTTTTGAAGCCCAGAATTAACAGGTGAAGCTCTAAGTGCCGACACATAAAGTGGCACCTGGATGTTCGCCAATGTTTGCCATTGATGAGAAATTGAGTAGAAGAATTAGCATTTTATGTTCTTCCTGAGTTGCTACCTCTTTTACTTTCTGTGAGCCAGGAAAATTGGGCCATACCATCTAATAAAAATTCTGCCATCTGCATGTCTGCCCATGCAGTTACTTTGAAACAGGAGAGCCCTGATAGGAAAGCTCAGCTGTGATGAGAATATGTCTGATTTCAATCTCCCCAATGTTAATTGGGGAACTTTCCCGACACAGAGCATAATGAAGGTGGAAATGACGAATATGGTAAATGATTACATGTCAGAGGCATTTTCAGGAATGCTTAATGTCTAGATTTGTTTCCAACTAATGACCAAGATGGTATTAGGAAATTAACGAGAGCTAGACACTGGGGTCAGGCTACTCACTGTGATGAAGTTGATGTACTGTGAAAATCACAAAATAGCTATTGGCAAGAATTTAAAAGTGTGACTCCAGTAGGCAGGAAGGATGCAGGCGGAGCACACGTAAGTCAGGGAGTTCAGATTCTGTGAGCCACTTTCACAGACAGAAATAGAACAAACAGAGAAGCAGTGGCTTCTCCAGGAGGCCGTGATTTGTTTACCCAAATAGCAAAACGAACGCTGTCATATGAAAATTAAGGGCTGGTTATGGAAAAGATCGTCCAAGAAATCAAATAAATTGGAGCAACAAAAAATGGCCATCTTCACTGTGAAATAGTATTGGGTTTCTGAAGTCAGAGGAAAACCACTTCCATTTTGGAGTGTGATGGAGATAGATTGGACCACTGATTCTGCTCCTTCGCCGTCTGTGATGGGATTCTGCGCCTCTCCACCCCTGCCAGGTTACTCTGCAGCCCCTACCCTGCCAGCAGACTCTTCTTCTCCAGTTAGGTTGGCCTTGGCCATGTGACTTGCCTTGCTCAATGGAATGTTAGTGAATGGGACCTGAGCGGATGCCTTACCAGCACAGTACACTTGGATCGGCCCCTTGTATTCTTGACTCTTGCTATGAGAAAGCTATGCCCCAGGTAGCAGGGGTCAAAGAAGCAACAGGTGAAGAGGACAGGTGCCAAACCCTCAGCCTGGAGCCACAGTGCCGATCTGCCACTGACACAGCTGCCCACCCAACCCTCAGATCAAACCAAACTAAATAAACTAAATAAAACTCAAGTCTCTGACACCAAGTCTAAGGTGCTTTGCCTTTTTCAATGGTTTCATTTTCATAAAAATTCAAAATCCCAATTTTACAAAAATTTAGGAATCATGAGTTCTATCTGTATTCTCAGCACTTTTTAAAAATTTTAGATTCAGGAGCTACATGCGCTGGTGTGTTACCTGGATATATTTCAGAACGGTGAGGTTCGGGCTTCTAGTGTACTTGCCACACGAAGGGTGAATATTGTACTCAACAGGTAATTTTTCTAGCCCTCAGGACCCGCCCATCCTCCAGCCTTTTGGAGTCCCAAGTGTCACTTTTTAAAATTGAGATAAAATACATATAACTTAAAACTTACCATCTTAATCCTTTTTAAATGTCCGGTTCAGCGGCATTGAGTACATTTACATTGTGGTGAAGACGTCACCACCATCCACCCAGAACTCTTTAATCCTGCCAAACGAAAACTCCGTACCCATTTAGCAACAAGTCCCCTCTCTTCACCTCCCCCAGCCCCTGCTGACCACCGTTCTATTTTCTATGTCTGTGAATTTGACTATGCTAGGTTCCTCTTAGAAGTGGAATAATACACTATCTGTTTTTGTGACCATTTTATTTCACTTAGAATAATGTCATTAAAGTGCATCCGTGGTGCAGCATGTATCAGAAATACTTTTTTTTAAGGCTTCCTAGTATTCTCCTGCATGAATATTCCATGTTTTGCTTATCCATTCCCTCGTTGATGGACACCTAGGTGACTTCCACCTTTTGGCTGTTGGTTGCCTTTCAGCTACTACGAATCATGCTGCTATGAACACGAATGTACAGATACCTGTTTGAGTCCCTGTTTAATTCTTTTGGGAATATACCCGAATGAAATTGTTGGATCATATAATAATTCTATTTTTAGTTTTTTCAGGAACATCCATAATGTTTTGCATATTTCAAGGTTTTTTTTTTTTTAACTCTTCACTTCTGGAGGAAAAAACACTCATACAGAACACAGGCCCGGCCCTGCATATTTTTAAATAAGGAAACTCAGTCTTTAGAGAGGATGGGAATGCACACAAGCTTACACAGCAGAGATCTATGTTATGGTAGACAGCTTTGTTTATTCCAGTTTTGCTAGAAAGCTTTCAAAATTCAGCTCAGAAGACGCTCTCTCTGAGAAGCCTCTCTTCATGCTCCAAAAAGGAACGGCCTGCCTTGGGCCCGTGGCCCCATCGACGCTGTGCACTCGTCTATTTTGTTCAGATGTCTGTCTCCCCTCCTAATTGAAAGCCCTTGGGAGGCATAACCCCTCAGTGCTTAATTGACATTTATGGGAGGATCCATGCAACGTGTCTCCTCTGAATCACTGCGCCCCCTCAGCCCTCCGTCTATTAGTATTTGGACACATTCCAGCACGTACTGGAGCAGCCCTCTGCAGCCACCCCTGAGCTGGTTTTCCAGACCTCCCCGAAGCGCAGGACATGGTTGGTCACTCCCTCCGTGGAAGCCTCCGCTAGCTCTTGTCCTACATCTCTGTCATTGTTTCTCAGGGTGGGCCACCGTCCCCTTCACCAGGGCCTTCAAGATTTTGTGTTCCTAGCCATCAAGTTTTCCTGCAAACCTGCAGCCATTGAAGAAATCATGTGCCCGCCCCACGATTTCCACCATGAATCCCTCTGCTCCTGCTCTGTCTACCTATCGTGTCCCTCCCTGGCTCTGAGCTCCACGGCCACTTTTTCCAGGGGCCTAACAGCAGCTCCCACTTAGCGAGCCCGCCCACGCTTTACCCTCTCTTGCCTGTGTCCTCACCCCACCGCCCATCCTGAGCTACTTAGCTTTGATAATGGCCTTGCTGTCTTCCTTGTCACACCCAGAGGTCACTGACAGTGCTCTTTATAATATCTAACAGTTTGCTAGAAATGTCAGCCTGTCCCTCCGGAGCTCTCCAGGCTGCCTGTTTCTTCCTGTGGATGCTGCCACCACCTTTGTGTAGGCCTTTGCCATCCATCTCACCACCTCCCATGTATCCTGCACATGATTACCCAATGCAGATGACGCCAACCCTGCCCAAACAGCCCCAGTGGCTTTTTACTCTTACACGGGGCAGGCAGACACCTGCGCAGCCCAGAGCCTGGCTCCATGACTCTTTGCCTTGTCAACCTTAGCGAGGCAACAGAAGGAATATGAAGAACATGAACCCACATTTCAGCCTTCACTGGGTCGCTGGGGAGAGCATGTCCACACATCCAATCACTTCCTCATCTTTACAATGTGGCAACTGTTTCTGGTTTTTAAAAAGAGATCTCAGAATGTCTCCATCTCTGTCCAGACTTCTGTCCTCATTCCTTCACCTGCAAAGTCCTGCACCTCCCAAATCTTTCAGACAGCCCAAATCTTTCCGACAAGTTTTGGCACAAAATTTCACCCCAGGCATGATGAGATGGCGAAGCCCCTGCCCTCTGTGTTCTCCTTTTCATCGCTGCAGATGTTTCCACTTGCATTCTTGCACTTGGGATGCAAACAGCAGCCAGGTCAGGGGTCTTCACTGTGGGCGCCTGTGCCCTTGACTGCTGCACCAGCTGCCAAATGCTGTGCAGCGGCTGCTCCAGCCCCACAGGGTATGAGAGCAGGATCCTAGGAAGAGGCGGCTGCCTGAGGGCCATGTGCGTTCGCGAGCAGACAGATGGTCTCCCCCTCTGGAAACCTTCACAATATGCTCGGGCTCAGCAAGCATGGAGAGGTGAAGTCCTGGGCTTGGGCGGAATTGGGGTCTACCTGGGCCCAGCTGCATGGTGTGCTACTAGCCAGGGCCCGCGGGAGAGGCGAGGAGTGCTTGTTAAGCAGTTGTGATTACCGCAGTCCACACGGGGAAACTGAGTGGCCCGCTGGACCTCGCCAATCTGCGGCTGTTGCTGGGGTCTGGAGGCTAACAAGCCTCTTCGATCAGACAAGATTAATTTTTGAGAGGCAAAGGCCACTGGGCAGGAAAAGGGGACTGTGAGTCTCTGAAGAGCTGGTTTCTCGTGGAGCGCAAATCCTAACAAGTGCTGGGACCACTGCCAGGGGCTCAGATCTCAGTTCAGGACTCTCAGGCCCAGAGACAGAAGCAGGGTGGATTTAAACTCTGACAGTTCAGGATTGGCTGGCTAAGAGGGGAACCACATCTGGGACCTGGCCTGAACGTGCGCTTCGAGTATAAATGCAGGCCCAGCCACTTACTTCCCAGCATCATGAAAAAACAATTAAACCCCCTCTGCGGGAAAGTGCAGGCGAGGGTACCACGGTCAGCATGGGAGCTGAACTAATGTCCTTGAATCCAGGCGGGCTTCAAGTGTGGCCAGTGACGGTGCATACAGAATCAGCTATTTCGATTCTTCAGAAGAGGTACTGATAGACAGCTCCTTGCGGCAGTTTCCTGCACAGGAAATGAGCCCTGGGGATACAACCAGGGACATGAGAATGGAGACAGTGCCGGATCGTTACATAAAACAGATGTTACTTATCCATGGAGGAGCCGAACTGACGCTTTGCCAGGGCCACTGATGGAAAGACTGGCAAGGTGCAAAATACGAATCAAATTCCATCCAATAGGCTGTAGGATGCGCTGTCTAGAGCGTCTAGAGCAAGTCAGTCTCCCACCCAAGACTGACAGGGAGCATGGAAGTGCGGGTGGAGGGCAAAAGTAATCAAGGCAGTGCCAGAGAAGGAAAGTCAGGCTGCGAGGACTTTGGGAGCAGTATAGCCTCGCACGATATGCAAGAGCCAGGAGAGGGACTGGGACTAAAGCACAGACATGAGGCTCTCCCAGGAACAAAGATCCTGAGACGGACGATCGTTAGGAGACTAAGACAAAACAAATATGCATGCTTGCCACAGGGCTCCAACAAAGGGAAGCCCACACAGGGCATTTTCAGGGCAGTGGTATGATCCTGTGTTGATACTGTAATCATGCATATGTGACATTATGCATTTGTCAAAACCTATAGAACTAGAAGACACAAGGAATAACGCTGATGTAAGCCAACACCTTCAGTTAATAATCAGATAGCAATGCCAGCTCATCAGCTGTAACAAATGCACCAGACCAATGCAAGAGGTGAATACCAGAGGGAACTAGGGAGTGGGAATGCGGGAACTCTGTTCTTTCTGCTCAACTTTTCTGTAAATTGAGAGCTGCTCTAAGAAAAAAAGGCTGTTAATTTTTTTAAAGGCAGCTGTATGGGAATGAAGAGGACTCAACTGAGAGCCTGCATCAAGCTCTTAACTCTGACAAGGCCATGTGAAATATAAGTGACACTGTCCTTATTTAGTGACCCCTGAATCACCACATAGCTCATGGTATGGCTTATTTTGCTCTAATCTTACAGTAAAACAATTCCATATTTGAATAAATGTACTTAATTTGGTTTTATCTTTTCCAGATTCCAGAACACTTGCATCAAGATTTGACATTTATATTTGTTTCCCTGCTTGATGAAGGACTTCATTTACTTAATGTTTTCATCTTGTTGTCGGACAGATAATACACAAACAGGAGGAGATTTTGCAAAATAATTCCATCATTTTTCATCTGCCAGAAGAGTATAGAACTTGTCCCCAAACTCAGATGGAATTTCCCCTGCCAAATAGCTTGTTAAAACTATACCTTATCACTGAACTTTTCGTTTGGAATCATAAGCCAGACTAAATAGAAATTTAGCAAAATTTCTAAAACTTTCACAATGTCAATTCTGTATTCAACTCACAAATGCACACACAAAAGACCTAGCATAACCCTAAATTGCAGAAAACAAACAAACATCCTTCTATGACACTGACAATGTTCTTCTAGTGTGTATCTCACAGTGGTTTTATTTCTGCTAAAGCACGGTTATGTTTAAATTCCCTGTTTTACTTTTCTGCTCCTGAACTTAGATTATGCCGAGCAATTTGCCTCTCTCATTCCCTTCTGATCTATTGGGGTTTACAGTGCCTGTGAGACCACTCTATAGCAGAGGGAGCATCATAGAAGTTTGACAATAAGATCCCCCTCATATCTCAAAGCTGGTGAAGAGATGAAACCCTTCAGTGAGATGCTAAAAATGAGTCTGCAGCTGCCTGGGCTCCCTGGGTAGCCTTACTGAAGCAATCCCACTCAACCGTGACATCTGAACACCGACGTGCCTTTGCACAGGGTCTTTCATCTAATGAACAAAGCTACAGCAAGAGCCTGTCTGCACCCACTTGCCCACTATCAATGGATGGCATTAGTGGTCACACTGTCTTCAAGACCTCCATTGGGCTGCTCCCTGGCTGGATAAACTCATGCTCAAGTTTGGGGGGGTGGCTATAATAGTTTTAACTTCATTATGTCTGATAAGCACCAAGCCAATCAGAATGTAAACAAATGCTGAGACTATGAATGAGAAGGTGCTGTGGTCTGAATATTTGTGCCCCATTTCCCCCCAAATTCCTATGTTGAAATCCTACCCCTCATTGTGATGGTATTACGAGCTAGGACCTTTGGGAGGTAATCAGGTCATGAGGGTAGAGACCCCATGAATCAGATTAGTGCCCTTATAAAAGAGATCTTTGAGAGCACTTGCCCCTCTTTCAGCCACAAGAGGATACAATGAGAATAAGTCAGTCTGCAACCCGCAAGAGTACCTCAGCAGAATGCAACCATGCTGGCATCCTGACCTTGGACTTTCAGCCTCCAGAACTATGAGAAGTCAATACCTATTGTTTATAAGCCACCCAGCCTATGGTATTTTAATACAGCAGCAGGTGAAGACAGAGGGAGGTATGGTCATGCAAATAATAATAAAGATGATCTTTTTAATTGAAAAAGGATGACAAGAGAGTACATTTATATGTGTATATGTGCATGTGTGCACAGTCTTTGTATATGTGGATGTGTATATGTGGCCTTAGGAACAGTCTTTAGAACCCAACCTGTCAGGAAGGATACAGGTGTCTGTGTCTACGAATTCACTTCTGTTGATGTCTTAGGCAATTTTCTGTTGCTTATAACAGAATACCTGAACCTGGGTACTTTATAAAGAAAAGGAATTTATTTCTTACAGTTATGGAGGCTAAGAAGTCCAAGGTCAAGGGGCCACATCTGGTGAGGGCCTTCGTGTTGGCGAGGACTCTCTGCAGAGCCCGAGGTGGCACAGGGCATCCCATGGTGAAGGGGTTCATTGTGCTAGCTCAGGTCTCCCTCACTCTCTTATAAAGCCAGCAGTCCCACTCCCGTGATAACTCATTCATTCATTAATCCATTAGTGGATTCATCCATTCATGAGGACAGAGCCCCCATGACCCAATCACCTCTCAAAGGCCCTGCCACTCAATATTGCCACATTGGGGATTAAGTTTCAGCATGAGTTTTGGAGGGGGCAGATATTCAAACCATAGCAGTCGGCTTTGGGAACTGCAAGGATTTGGATTCAAATATGGGAGAATCAGGAGACCCTCCTGAGATGCTCGTTGGGAACAGAGGGTGTTGGAAATAGGGGCAAAGCAAAGTGAAACACCAAGAAGAAACATCTGTGCAGTGAGTGCTTGGTGCAGGCACAGCAGGGACATGGGCTCGGAGCTGCCCTCTGACGGCCAGGGTGAGTGTGGCCTTGAGCCCCACACAAGAGGGCAGAGCTGAGGGAGCTTTATTCAGTTAACAACTAACAACTAGTCCTTAAAAAGTACTTAGCAAGTGCTGGGCTCCAGCATCCTGGGAGGGTTTTTCGTGTAGGCTGTATAAGGGAGGAACAGTGATTGTCATTCCACTTTAAACATTGGACAATGGAGGCACAAAGAGAGTAAGTAACTTGCTCAAACTGTACAGTGGGTAAACACAGGAGCTGCCATCGCAACCCAGGCTGTCTGGCCCGAGTCTTCATTCTCAGTTATCACACTGTGAATCCAGCCACTTGTCAAGAGTGAGTACAATGTAATTCTTACCATATCTATTGTGCTAATTTTATTATTTTGTTTTAGCAATTATAAAATAGTTATGAGAGGTGGTAGGAAGAAGAATGCTTACTCCCCCCACCGCCCCCCGCCCCCCGCCAAAAAAAAATGTCCATGTGCTAATCCCTGGATCCTATGGTATATTAGGTTATAAGCAAGGGGAACTAAGGTTGCTGATGGAATTACGGTTGCTAATCAGCTGAATTTAAGATAGAGAAATTATCCTAGATTATTTGTGTAGACCCAATGTAATCACAAGGGTCCTTAAATGTGGAAGAGGGAGGCTGGAGAGGAGATCAGAGATATTCTTTATGCAAACTTGACCTGCTGTTGCTGGCTTTGAAGATGGAGGAAGGGGCCATACACAAAGAAATGTGAGAAGCCTGGAGAAGTAGAGAAAGCGAGGAAACGAATTCTCCTCTACAGCCTCCAGAAGGGAAGGCAGCCCTGCCAATGCCCTGATTTTAACCCGGTAAGACCTGTATCAGGCTTCTAACCTACACAAGTATGAGATAACTTTGCGTTGTTTCAAGCCACTGTGTTTGTGACAATTTGTTATAGCAGCAATAAAAAACTAATATATAAGGAATATATATTAGTTGAGACAGTGAGTACTCAACAAATACTTTTGAATACTCACTGTCTATCAGGCATTCATGTGTCTCCTCATTCTATCCTTACGACAATCCTAGAAGAGCACCATTATTCACCCCATTTTAGAGGTGAAGAAACTGAGTTATAGAGAGGTTATTGCTGACTGTGGGTTTGTGGAGCATACCTGCTTCCAATGAGGGTTTGCAGTTAGAGAGAGGGGAGGAGAAGGGGGGCTTACAGACCATGTCAGAGGCTCTGACTCTTCTAGGCTGAGTTAGGAGACTCATGAAAGAGAAGAAGCTGGGTCACGCAGAGCATGGCTGGGTGCCTCGAGCCGTCCTGGCTCCTGGTCCCAAGGCATCTCTCCTGGACCGTTTCTTCCTTTGCCTGATTCTCTCCCAGGCCCATGAGCTCACAGCTGATCCTCCTCCAAAGCAATGCTGACTCTCTACTGCCTGGCTCAGCAGCTGTTCTCTGCATTGAATCCAGCAGTGTGAAAATGTAAAATCAGGATGCTGGGGTTCTAGTCCCCACTCTGCCACTCGAGCGCAATCTGCATGCATTTTCCTGGGCCTCCATCGTTACTCCTGGTCAAGGGCGTGTCTGTGCAGGCAGCTGAAGTGCACGAAGCCCGATGCCTGCAAACCTCCAGACAGCTTTGCTTTGGCCCTTGCAGTGACTCACGGTAATTAAATCGTATTCTTTTCTCCTAATGAAGGTACAACAGTGATTAAACTGCTAAAAAATTATTTTTTTAAAAAAAAGAGAGTTGGAAATTGCCTTACTTTGCCCCCATTTTTTTCCAATGAAATTTTGAAAACAGTAAAATCATAAGAGACAAATAAAAACTTTGGAACCAAAATTCCCATTACAGTCTCCCAGAGGCTACTTCTTTGTGAATTTCAGACTACTCCGGAGAATTATTTATTCCCCAAAACCAGTTTTTTAAAAAAGGCAAATTCATCTTCAGGTGAGAAAGAGGGGCCATTATAAATACAAATAATGCACTTTGCCCTTAGCTTTTTTTAATAGACACCTCTCATTGTTGAATAATGAAGAAGAGAAGACATAGCTGTGTTTGCAGAACAGGAAGGTACTCGGTAGGGAAAGGGGACTGGGGAGGGGGAGGGAAGAAGGAAAAACTTGTGGCTGCACAGGTGGGCTGCTCAAGGGATGTCTAGGAATAAGCTGTGCTGAAAACTAGAAAAAAAAAAAGTCACCTCCAGTGGTCCATCTGATTTAAGTTGAAGAAGATGGCCTTGAATTTAAATGATAATTGATATAATGCATTTCAGCAGGCATTAACTGTGAGTCTGCTGTGTGCCAGCCCCCGCACCAGGCACGGAGGATACAGGGACGGCTACACCCTCAATGAACTCACCTAAGGGGAGAGAAGATAAACTGTACTACGGGCAGAATCAGAACATCAGGGAAGCCATCGCTGCAATTCATTATGTTAAGAGGTTAAATGAGAAAACCATATGGTCATCTATATGGGTGCCAAAAAAACATTTAGTATGGTCACAATCCACTTCTGATACGAATTCTAAGTATTCCAAGAGTAGAATTAAATTTTCTAAAATTAAGAGTATCTATTAGAAACATCCCACAAGCATCAGACTTAATAACAGATCATTAGACTGTTCTATGCCACTATGTTTTAGGGTGATTTGTTAAATGTACTAGTCTGCTAGGGCTGCAGTATTAAAGTACCAGAAACTGGTGGCTTAAACAACAGGCATTATGGGGAGCCACAGTTCTGGATGCCAGAGTCTGAGATCAAGGTGTTGGCAGGACTGGTTTCTCCTGAGGGCTAGAAGAGATCCTTCTAGGGCTCCCTCCCCAGCTCGTGGGTGGCCGTCTTCAGGCTCACATGGCGTTCTCCCTGCGTGTGTGTCTATGTCTCCTTTTCAGAGCTACTAGTCATATTGGATTACAGCCTACCTTAATGACCTCATCTTAATTTGCTTATCTTTTTGAAGACCTTATTTCCAAATTAGATCACATTCTGAGTTGTTGGGGTTGGGATGTCAACATATGAATTTTAAGAGACACAATTCAACCATAACATCACACAACAATAGATGACTCATACAGTTGGGAACAAGAATAATTGCTATTCTTCAACTTTGCTCTGAAGGCTGTAACTAATATAATAAGGCAAAAACACGAAGCAAAATGTTTATTGCAAAGGAAAAGACAAGATGATCATCATTAGAGGATTACCTCAATGTCTACCCAGAAAAATCTAAGAGCATTTCTAAGAAACATGATTAAAACTCCTTAACAAGAGCATTTCTTAAAATTCCTGCATATAACGTTAAAATCATTTTCAAAGCAACTTTCCTTTATATCAGTAACAACCAATTTGAATATATAATCTTTTTTTTTTTTTTTTTTTTTTTTGTGAGACGGAGTCTCGCTCTGTCGCCCAGGCTGGAGTGCAGTGGCGGGATCTCGGCTCACTGCAAGCTCCGCCTCCCGGGTTCACGCCATTCTCCTGCCTCAGCCTCCCGAGTAGCTGGGACTACAGGCGCCCGCCACTACGCCCGGCTAATTTTTTTTTTTTGTATTTTTAGTAGAGACGGGGTTTCACCGTTTTAGCCGGGATGGTCTCGATCTCCTGACCTCGTGATCTGCCCGCCTTGGCCTCCCAAAGTGCTGGGATTACAGGCGGAGCCACCGCGCCCGGCCTGAATATATAATCTTTAAAACTGTGTTCACAAAAAGACTTGTATATAAATGTTCCTATCAGCTTTATTAACAATATAACAAAACATTATTTCTAATCCAAAACAGAAGCAACTCAATTATGCTTCAATAGTTGAATGTCTAAATAGTGGTATACAGTGATGTTTACATTTGACAGTGTGTACATGCATGGTATATAGATTTTAATATATTAAGTGGAAATATAAAATACATCAAATCTACACTTAGTATGGGTGCATTCATTTTATCGTATGCCGATTAACTTCAAAAAATAACTTTTTAAAATTCCAATTGTGTTAAAGGGATAAATCTAAAAAAAAGAAGACATTAAAATTCCAAAGAAAATTTAGAAGAATATTTTTATAACCTTATGGTAAAAAAATAATTTAGTCAACATGAAAGAGCAAAGCAAAAGCTATAAATTAAATGATTACTATACAAAATAACTGGGTATGTTGGTGGGAGGCTGAGGCAGGACAATCACTTGAACCCAGGAGACAGAGGTTGCATCAGTGAGCTAATATTGCACCACTGCACTCCAGCCTGGGTGACAAAGTGAGACTCCATCTCCAAAAAAAAAAAAAATTTACATTATATAAAACATCGACATGATTTGTATGTCAAAAGACACCAGCAAAAAAGTTTAAAAGCAAACAACAAACTTGGAAAAACTGCAACATATTTGGAAAACAATGGGACTTCATGAAAAACAGTAGTCTAGGGTATGAAGTGAGAAGTGAAAAAACTACTGGGACTCCTGGGACCTCGGAGATCCAAGAACGGGAACGACAAGGATGCCGGACCCATGTGATGTCGAAGCTGCCAGGAAGAGAGGCAAGAGGACAGGCAGGCAGCCAGCACCAGGCGCTCGTGCCCCATCCACACTGGGTAGGAAGCAGTGGGGGCATCCTGTGCTTCTGTGTTTAGTGCAATGCACGCTGATCCCCAGGCTTAGTGGCAGGTGCGATGCAGTCACTGTCCTATCAGCCTACTGTCTTCTCCTCCCTAGGTGAGAGCGGGATTAGGACAAGGATTAACTGGGCCAGTAATTCTTAAACCTTTGGATCTCAGAAGCACTTTACCCTCTCAAAAATGTTTGAAGACCCCCAAATAACTTTTGTTAATGTGGGTTATATCTATTAATGTTATCGTATTAGAAAATAAAACTAAAAATGCTTCTAAATTCTTGATAGAGTTTAAAATAATACTAATAAAGCCATGATGTATTAACATACGCTATTTTATTTTAAAAAATAGCTATTTTTCCCAAAACAAACAAAATATAATGCAAAGAGTGGCGTTGCCACATATCTCTTTAATGTCTGGCTTAGTAGAAGATGGCTGAATCTTCAGAATTAACCTGTTGTGATCTGTGGTTTTGGTTGAAGTATAATAAGAAATTCAGGCCTCATTCAGATATGCTGTTGGAAAAGTATTTTAATAGCCTTTTCCAATCATTGTGGATATTCCTCTTACAGACTACATAAAAACTCAGCAAGTTATAGGTTCTTAAAGTATATTGCAATGTAGAATCAGAAACCCCACCAGGGAATATTTTTTGCTCTGCTACATTAAACTCTTGGTCCATCTTGTGCTTTGAAAGGATCATTTCTCCACATAACAGCAGGCATTGGTCTTTGGAAAATGGCAGGTCACTGTTATGCAGATCTTCCAAATGTTGACACATTTCATTGTACAGGATTAAAAAATCATCTTTGTTAAAATCACCACCTGTGTCATCAGTGAAGTATTTAAGTCAAGGGAGACTGTTAAGCTCATGGTGGCTGAAGGAATGTTCCAAAATTCCAATTTTCACTTGAAAGCTTGAATTTTATCACGGGCAAAAAATAATGTCAGTTGCTTTCCTTGAAGTGACAGGCTTGCTTTGTTCATTTTAAAGAAAATGTCTAGCAAATACCCAAGTCTGAATAGCCATGGTATGTCTGTCAGTCTTTCTTTGAAGCGAAAATGACGGTCCAAGGAAGACGCAGTTCATTCAGCTCAGAACAGAAACAATCGCACAGGTGCCTTTCCTTGAGATAACGTGCACACCGGGTATGCACACTTCGCATTTTAACACGGAGAATATAAAGGACGTGTACACAAGGGGCAAGGTTTAATAAAATTAATAGTTTATGCTGCTTCATCAAAAACATTCTTAAGTGAAACTGGTGCTTTTTTTTTTCTTTTGAGATAGATTCTCACTCTGTCACCCAGGCTAAAGTGCAGTGGCACGATCTTGGCTCGCTGCATCCTCTGCCTCCTGGGTTCAAGTAATTCTCAGGCTTCAGCCTCCTGAGTAGCTGGGACTACAGGTGTGTGCCACCATGCATAGCTAATTTTTTGCATTTTTAGTAGAGATGGGGTTTCACTATGTTGGCCAGCCTGGTCTCGATCTCCTGGCCTCAAGTGATCTGCCCGCTTTGGCCTCCCAAAGTGCTGGGATTACAGGCATGAATCACCGTGTACGGCTGGTGCTTTAAAAAAAATTGTGAGTACACAAAATGACCAGGAGTGTAGTTGGCTACCACTGCTTTGATTCCTGCTAAAGATCACTGTTTTACTCACCACTGCTTTTGTACCATAAGTACAAATGTCTGCACAGTGAAAGAGAAAAGGCATCTTATATTATTGTGGAAAGAATCTTGACCTCACAGACCTCCTGAAAGGGTCTCAGGGACTTTCAGAGTCCACACTTTCAGACGCACCTTGTTATGCTATTCCGAGGAAGTCATCAGAAGTTTGTTCAAAGATGTGTGGTCAAGATGTTACTTTCAACAACATTTAAAATAGTCAAAGGCTGAAAATAAGCTGAATGCGCCTAAGGAGGGCACTGTTTAATGACATGTGGTGCAGCCATGCAGTGAAATATTACACAGCAGTTCAGGCCTCAGGGGAATCGGATGAGAGACTGAGATTTGCTCGGGAGGTTTACTGGGGGGAACACTCAGGACCAACACCTGGAAGGATGTGGAAGAAGGAGAATTGAGTAGCTGCGGTTAGGCCTCAGCTCATCATACTGAGAGCTGGTGGGCCTTTCAGAGGTACCTGCAGGGCAAGGAGACAAGACCTTTTTACCCCTGCGTCGGTCAGCCACTGGAGCATGTGTGCCTGGGCAGGGGCTCAGGTGTGAGCTGTCCCAGCAGCAGCTCGGGGAATGAGTGCCTCATTGCTGAAGGGGATAGTAGTGGTCTGGAGGCAACAAAACAGAGAGAAGTTTCTGGAAAGAAGCAGCTGCACAGAGGAGGAAGGAACAGTGTGAGAAGGGCTAGAGAGGCAGCCTGGGGGAAACTGAGGTGCCTCAAAGACCTGCCCCAGAGTTTGTGACAAGCATCTAGGCAGTGGGGCATTAGAAGTTTTTGAGTGAGTGATTTGATAATTCTGGGATGGAAGTTGCACTCCTGAAAAATTAATCTGGCAGCTCAATTGTTCAAGGAGACATCAGAGAAGCAGAAATATCAGTAGAAAAAATAAATGGGAAATATAGTGAATGGATTTCAAGGAAAAGAATGGAGCCCTTAGAAAGAATGTGGAAATTGTTGAAACGACACTGATGCACTGCGCTTAGTGCTGCTCAACTCTGTGTCCGGTTATGACTATCGAAAGAAAGGTCACCAGGAGAAAGTATTCATTCGATCATCGACTAATTTACTCACTCACTCAGCCTGCCTCTATTGAGCCCTCCCACATGCCAAGCAGGTGTTTGATTGTGTACAAGTTTGTCAAAGCTTCACATTCCAGGCATAGTTAACCTGTCCATGGAGGCGATTTGGGAAAATTCAAGCCACATGCTGAGAGACTGAAAAGCAGGGAGAACCTTGAGAAGCTTCCGTGATTGTGTTATTTAATGCTGGGAACACAGAGCAGTCACCTCTGCAAAATTATTTTGCTAAGAGCTTCATGCCAGGAGGTTTAAGACCTATGTCTTATGACTCAGCGTGAGCAAGAGCAGCAGGGATGATGAGGTCCTGCAGAGGCCACTACTCAGTGACGTGCACGGGAGACTCAGCACCAAGGTCAGCAGTGCAGCTCCAGCAGGGAGGCTGAGCCAGGATGGGGCCCAGGGACAGAGGCAGGAGGGCTGGGACAGCAGGTGTGCTGAGCTGCTCCCAGGGAAGCAGAGCACAGAGGGGGCAGGCTGCTGCCGCTGGTCCCAGCCACAAGCTCTCTACCTGTGGCAGCGTCCCATCACTCACCGGAGCCCACGCAAGTCCACAACCTTGTGCAAGGCCGAGACCCTGGGCTGGGACAAGTCCCATTCTTGAAGAACTCAGAGTGACCCATAGGTCCAAAAGCCACACATCTAATGAGCTCTAGCCCAAATCAGGTGCTGGCGGGTGTGTGACAGGAGGCTGAAAAGGTATTAGGGGAGACAGGGAATGACAATGGAGTCTCGTGGTGACCGAGGCTTCATGGAAGCTTTGGCATTTTGGTAGAGCCCTTGACTGATGAGGGTGATTTTAAATGGAGCCCCTCTCATGTTGCAATAAGAATTTCTGAAATATGAGATGGTTTTCCATATTTTCAAGCAGAAATCATCTCAACACCACTCAGTAAGAAAGTGTGATCTTGCATTTAGATCTCCCCTCTGCCTCCCTTTCTCCCCTAAACAATCCATCCTGGAATCCAGGGCTGAATGAATTTTCCTAACAGTGTTTTCACCATATCGCCCCAAGATGAAAATCCTGCCATGATTCTGCATGTAGAATTTAAAAAAAAAAATCAATGGAACTAAGAAACATCTCAGAAAAATGGGGTGGTGGGGAAAGCCCTGCTTTCAAAGCAGCAGCTCTGCTAAGAAAGGCCTGGGAATTGCCAAGACACTGGTCCTGGTAGAGCCCACAAGTGACCCCATTAGAGCCCAGGCAGTGACTTCTTAGAGGCTGGGAGTGCCCGGACTGCATAGAAGGTTGGACAGAGTTTAGACCATGGCATCCCAGGAGTCTGGAGAGCTCTGTTGCCCTCTGGGAGAGTGTCCTTTAAAGGGGAAATTGCCAGTAGGGAGCCTGCAGAGGAGGGAGAGAGGATGAGGACAGTCTGGACACCATGGGGATGGGGACTGATGGGAGAGGCTTAATCCGAGAAGGGCCTGCAGGAGCCGGAACCCCAAAGAAGGAATCCCCGCAGGAGATGAATCATACCTTCTGTCTGCAGCTCCCAAAAGCAGAGGAAGGACCAGGGCTAAGAGCCATGTGGAGCAAACTTGGGCTCAGCAAAAGGGAGACTTTCTTAGGGACATGATGGCATATTGAGCAGAGAAGTCAACTTGCTCAGCAATTGCCAACACCTAGATTCTTCCTCATATTCATCCCACCCCAAATCCGTCCTTGGAGGCAGTGGGAGGAGAAATGGTATTGAAGCACCATTGTGTGCCGGTCCCCATGCTGGAGACGCAGCATCCCTAACCTCATGAGTCTTGTAGTCTAGTCTAGAGCAGGGCTCAGCGACAGCCCCCAGCTCAAATTGGGCCTGCCACCTCGTTGAGTAATAACTTTCTTGGCACACAGCCAGGCTCATTTATTTACGTATGGTCCCGGGCAGCCTCCAGGCTGCACTGGCAGAGTTGAATCGTTGCAAGAGAAACCCTGAGACCCAAAAAGCTGAAAATACATTCAGGAAAAGTTTGCCAATCCATGCTCTAGATGAGAAAATGGGCTGCATCTAGTGTACAGCTGCCACACCAGCTCTTAGAGATGTTGTGATGATTAAAGGGTAATTCATGCAGAGTACTTAGTGCAACTCTTGCCACATCGTGTCTGGGAAGTCACAGCTGTTAATGATGAGGAGGGGGACGGTATGTGGAACGCCATAGGAGCACGAGAATAGCAGCTATGGGGGCAGGAGGGAAGGCGTCCTGGAAGAAGTGATGTCTGCGATGACTATCTGAAGGATCAGTGTTAGCCAGGTGGATTACAGTTCCACACAATTACAATTACATGGAAATAGCTCATGTAGGAGTCAGAGTGAGGAGGCATGGTGCGTTGGAGGCCATTTCAGCATGGCTGGAGTGAGCACAGGGGAGAAAGTGCCGGCAGGGACGTCAGGGATGTAGAAGGCACATGAGGGGTTTCTCCAGTGGGAATTCAACACAGGTTTACTGGGCACTGACACAATCAGGCTTGAATTCTAGAAAGACTTGTCCTGACTGCAGTGTGGAGAGTCATTGAAGGGCACAGAGGCAGGGGAGGGAGGAAGACCAGGTGATGTCCTGCTGGAAGATAACAGTGGTCTAGACAAGGATTGTGGCCGTGAGGATGGAGAGCCCAAGAACAGAGGTTGGAAGCTTGAATGGGGTGAATCCTGGTGGTGAGGGAGAGAGAAACGTCAAGGAAGGGTCACAGTGCCCTGGCTGGGGCAACTGGGTGGTGAGGGGCCAGTCACTAAACTCAGAAACAGGGATGAACAGGGAGTGGACAAGGGGGAAGGTGGGCAAGAGCAGGCAGAGACACAGGGGGATCATCACACTGGCCACAGAAGCAGAGGGCACACCTGTCAGGGAACCCAGGGGAGGGTAGCAAAGGCACCAATGGCACTGGCCTGGGCAGGGATGAAGGGGCAACCAGGGACAATGAAGCTGCTGGAAAATGGGGGCAGGAGGCCAGCACATCCTCCAGGCCTGAAGGTGAAGGGAGCATCCGTTACTGAGTCAGAGGGAGCAGCTGTGCAGAAGGGGACACAAAGTCAATCCCCAGCCCCACAGGGAGGGAGAGAGCCCCCAACTCTGCCTGGGCTCTCCAAGTCTCCTGTGGAAGCCCAAGGGTGAGGGGCCCATGGTGCAGTCCACAAGGGTCACTGCCCGGGCACGGAGCAGGGTGGAGATGGGGGAGAGCCAGGCAGAGAGCAGCCAGCACAGACACGGGGACACTGAGGGCCCAGGGGACATCCTCGTGTCACCTTACCTGGGTGGTTGAATATACGCGCCTTAAACTCAGGAGAAATGTCTGGGTCAGACACGGAGTAAGAGGAGCCATCAGCCGAGATGTGGGACAAGCACAGGCAAATTCCACGAAGGTACTAGGAGAAGCTATCGGTGAGGTGCGAGGGAAGATGAGGTCCCTCAAAGGGAAGGTGAACCGCATGGAGTGCTGGGCAGAGGTGAAACCAAGGACCAAATATTGCCCATGGATATAATTAAAGATGTGCCATCAGTGAGCTCAGCATAGGGATCTTACTGGATGAGGGAGGGAAAAGCCCATCTGCACTCAGCTGAAGCGAAGGCATCAGGTGTGGTTGGTCGTGAAGGGGTAGACGTGGCAGAACTGAGGGACAATGGGGGCTCTCCCTGCGTGCTGGAGGGTGTGGCCCCAGTGGTGAATACAGAGTCAAGAACAAGGCTCCTGCTTCCCTGGAGGGCTGAGCAGAGCAGAGACGTAGCCCCATAGAAGTTCTTGCTTCCCTGGTCTAATGAGCTCCACACTCTATGGGTTTAGATCTGAATAAACCACCAAAACCTTCAGTAAAGGAGAGTGGAACGTCTCATCTGTCCAATCCCTTGTTTCCATGCTGTGGGTACTGGGGGTAACAAGCAATGTCCCTTCATGGGGTACAGAGAGTGGAAGGGAAGGAGGATGTAGTGGGCACAGCTTTGCAGAAAATGGGAGAACACTGACTATGTAAACACACAAGATTTTCCAGGCTACATAGAAAACCCAGAGATGCCTTCCACTTATAGGTGTTATGACCTTGAGAAAATTCCTCAGCCCCTTCAGGTCTTGCCCTAACTCCGTTCATTAACTGAAGGTCGTACCTCCAGCTCCAAGTGTGAGGGTGACAATCAGGTGGGGTGATGATTACCAACTTCCGGGAAGGAACTGATGTCTAGTAGTGGCACAATACATGTTCATTGCTTCTCCAAACTCCATGTGTGCTTCTGAAAATACTTGTCTTGCCTCTTCCATCAACAAAGAAGCCTTAAAAGCTGTAAACCCAAAAGAAATAACTTGTTCACCAAGATAGAGAAAGGTTGAGAATAGTTCACCCTTCTTCTAAGACAATACATAACCAAATGTCTCTTTTGGAGGGACAGTTTAATCTATAATCTTTCTGACAATAGAAATCTTTAATGATGTAGAACAAAAACAACGAAAAAAGAAGAATGCTTTAACACACAGCCTTTCAGCTGGCATTTAAAATACAAATGGAATACATCTTTTTGTCAGGCTATTCCATCCTTGTTTCCATGTTTGTTTTAATTAGTTCAAGCTCAAGCTACCTAAATTATCAGAGGAAAGAATTAAAACAAACTTGCTAAAAAAAAAATACTTAGCTACCAGGAAACAGTTGAAGAGGGCACGCTATTTTTTCATTATCTCTTAACTGTTCTGGTCTGACAAGAATTACTTTATTGTCAACAGATTTGTTACAAATTTATGAACCATTTTAACCTCTTTCTGTTGCACTGGGAACATTTTCTGGTGAAGGAGTTTGAAGAAATTGTTCAAAGTAGCCTCTTATGGGGAAGTTCCTCCATTTTCCCTGGAGAGCTTCTGGGAGAATGATGCACTCCACCGAACTTATCAAGAACAGCCGCTCATGTCTGTGGATGGGAGCATAATATTTAGGACATTTAGAAGTCATCTTCATATAATAGGACAGAGCACTGTGAGATTGTTCGTGCCTATTGACCTATGAAAGTGAAAGAAATGATAAAACCACATTAAAAAAAAGATAGGAAATAAAGTTCCTTTTAGGGAAACATTTTTAAAACACTTAACTTTCCATCATTGATCAAAACACTCCAAAATTATTGTTAGTTGATCTACTTTTTTTAATCAAAACTCACCTCTGACATTCTGTAGAGGGCATAGCTGTGTCCATTATAAACTGCTAGAAGAAAAAATATGAGTGTCCAGCCGCCTGTTGATTACATTGTATTCTTTGGACAGTAATCTTTGTCAGAGAGAGAGGATTATATGTCTCAACATCACTTTAATTGCACAAGGAAGTAAACGGAAACATTTTCTTTCACCTATAAATGTCATTATCTCACACGTGAGCCTGGGATAGGAACATGAGAATATGATCATTCCGCCAAAGTGTTAGCCACTTCTCTTTTGCAGAAAGAAAGCTCTCAGGTCAGGGTTCAAGCAATAATTAGACACTTTCTGTATACATTACCTCCAATTGTGCCTTTCCGTCCATGACAGAGATGACCCAATGAGCATTCAGGGAAGTGGCAGGATGACAACAGCCTTGCTTTGATCCATGGACCATGTGTAAATTGAAACAAACAAAAAGAAACTCTGCATGTTAAAAGCCCTTGAAAATGCCTGAGTAGCATCAAGAAGAAAATGTTACAACCTAAGCCCCTGAATATAAATGTATAAAAAGAATTGTCCTCTTACAACATTGAAGAAAATGGTAAATATTCTTTCTTAGAAAATATCTTGCCCATGGGAACTGGGGGTATATGGAAACTCTCTGTACCTTTTGCCCAATTTTGCTGTGAATCTAAAATTGCTTTAAAAATAAAAGCTATTTTAAAAAATGAAAATAACTTGCATATACCATATGGAACAGCATTAATGCCACTAGGCAAGCATTGGGTAAATAGTTCTGAACATTCTGAGGATTTTAAAGTCACTGTCCACAGGACCTTCAAAGTCAGCAGCAATTCTCCTAGTCTGCTACCTGCATAACCAGGTAATTAGGGACAGGCAGGGGATGTCTTTCTAATCTCCAAATATCAGACTGGATTGTCAGACTGGAATAATGAAGCTTGCCGAGACTAAAGTTGAAAAAGGGTTGATAACAATGAATCTGCTACAAGCTCTGAATTTTAACACAAGGGTAATATTATGCTTTAAATGAAAAGTTAGCTAATCTGCATGTTTTTAATATAATATAACATTTCACAAAGAAAATGTGTGCCCAACGGACACTAGAGTCATTGACCTTGGAAATATATTACTCAACAAACATTTACCAAGTTCCTACTTGATGCCCAGTGCAGTGCTAATCCCTGAAAATGCAGAACGGAGAGAGACATAGCCTGCCCTCAAGGAGAAAGACGGACACTGACTAGCATAGGATGGGATCACTCCAATCACAGCAAAATAACTAAGTATTCTGACGACCCAGAGATGATTTGAGAAAATGGTATCCTGTGGCTGAGAGTCAGAAAAAGCTTTGCAGAAGAGATGATGTTTGATTGTGTTTCTGAAGGAAGACTAGAAGTATGCCAAGTAGAGAGGGGATGTTTGGGGCAGAAGGGACAGGGTGACTATATATATAATATCTATAGCTTTATATATTTATATTTATTCACATGCTTATGTATATCTAAACACACACAAATATATAGAAATATATAAAACTTTGCACTCTAGATAATACATATTATCTTGAAATATCCCTGGGCCATGTGCAAAAATTTAAAATATTTTTAAAAGTTAAGAGTGTTTAGATCACTTTCTCAGACCACATAAAAATGGATGATGAAAATTCAACCATTGAGAAGTAAAACATTTCAATCTTATAGATAACACTTGACACAAGAAAAAATCAAAATTGCAGTTACAAAAACACACAGTGGGGAAAGGACAGTTTTTTCAAGGAATGCTGTTGGGGCAACTGGATAGCCACATGCAGAAAAATGAAATTAGATCCTTATCTCACACCGTATACAAAAATCCACTGAAAATGGATTAAAGAATTAAACATAAGACCTGAAACTGCAAAACGACTAGAAAACATAACGGGGAAGCTCCATGATGTTAATCTGTGCAATGATTTTTTTGGATATGACCCCAAAAGCACAGGCAACAAAAGTGAAAATGCAGTCGTCCTCCCTCATCCATGGTTTTGCGTTCTGCAGTTTTAGTTACAGTTTCAGTGCAGTGCAATATTTTGAGTGAGATATATAGAGAGGGAGAGAGAGAGCGACTACATTCACATAACTTTTATGATAACATATTGTTATGATTGTTCTATTTTGTTAGTTACTGTTGTTAAGCTCTTACTGTGCACAATGCATAAATTAAACTTCACCATAGGATTGTATGTGTAGGAAAAAATGTAGTATTTATAGGGTTGGGTATTCTCTGAGATTTCAGGCATCCACCTGGGGTCTTAAAACGTATCCTCATCGATAAGCACGGACTATTGTAGACGAGTGGGATTACATCAAACTAGAAAGTTTCTACACAGGCAAGGAAACAATCAACAGAGTGAAGAGACAACCTATGGAATGGAAGATAATATTTGCAAATCCTATGTCTAATGGGGGGCTAATATCCAAAATATATAAGGAACTCAAACAACTCAATAGCAAGAAAACACACAACTTGATTTCAAAAAAAGGCAGAGGGCCAGATAGACATTTCTCAAAAGAAGACATACAAATGGCCAGCCAGTATATGAAAACATGCCCAGTATCACTCATCATTACAGAAATGCAAATGAAAAGCACAATCAGATAGCATCTCACATCTATTTGAATGGCTAATATCAAACAGATGCAAGATAACAGGTGCTGGTGAGGATGTGGAGGAAAGGGAACTCATACACTGTACGTGGGAAAGTAAATTAGTACAGTCATGCAGAAATCAGTGTGCAGATTCCTCAAAAATTAAAAATAGGACACTATATGGTCCATCAATCCTACTACTGGGTATATATCTAAAGAGAATTAAATCAGTATGTCGAAGAGATATCTGCACTCCCATGTGAATTCCAGCATGCTTCACAATAGCCAAGAAATGGAATTAAACTAAGTGCCCATCAACAAATGAATATATTGTGTTGCAATTCTTCA
Organism: Homo sapiens; assembly: GCF_000001405.40. Taxonomy (NCBI): domain Eukaryota; kingdom Metazoa; phylum Chordata; class Mammalia; order Primates; family Hominidae; genus Homo; species Homo sapiens. The sequence goes on along the minus strand of NC_000010.11, from coordinate 127,477,632 downwards.
AGGATCTAGAACCAGAAATACCATTTGACCCAGCAATCCCCTACTGGGTATATACCGAAAGGATTATAAATCATTCTACTATAAAGACACATGCACATGTATGTTTATTGTAGCACTATTTACAATAGCAAAGACTTGGAACCAACCCAAATGCCCATCAATAATAGGCTGGATAAAGAAAATATGGCACATGTACACCATGGAATACTATGCAGCCATAAAAAAGAATGAGTTAATGTCCTTCACAGGGACATGGATGAAGCTGGAAACCATCATCCTTAGCAAACTAACACAAGAACAGAAAAGCAAGCACCACACATTTTCACTCATAAGTGGGAGTTAAACAATGAGAACACATGGACACAGGGAGGGAAACCACACACTGGGGCCTGTTGAGGGGTGGGGCGCGATGGGAGGGAGAGCATTAGGACAAATACCTAATGCATTTGGGGCTAAAACCTAGATGAAGGGTTGACAGGTGCAGCAAACCACCATGGCACATGTATACCTGTGTAACAAACCTGCACATTCAGCACATGTATCCCAGAACTTAAAGTAACATTTTTTAAAAAGACGGTAAATTTCATGTTATATGTATTTTAATGCAATAAAAAATGTTGGAAGGAAAAAAAAAACAAAGGAATATATAAAGAAAATGGAGTATATGTACATAATGGAATACTATTCAGCCTCAAAAAGAAGGAAATCCTGTCATTTGTGACAACCTGGATGAACCAGGAGGACATTTTGTTAAATGAAATAGCCAAGCACAGAAAGACAAATACCACATGATCTCACTTAAAAGTGGAATCTAAAAAAGTGAAGTCATGAGAGTGGCGGGCTGAATGGTGATCAGTAGGGGCTGGAGGTGGGGGCATTGGGAGGTGTTGGTCAAAGGGTACAAAATTTCAGTGAGGAGAAATAAGTTCCACAGATCTATTGTAGAGAATGGTGACTATGCTTAATAATATATTCTTGACAATTGCTAAAAGAGTAGATTTTGTGTTCTCACCCCCGAGAAACAGTATGTGAGGTAATGCATATGTTAATTAGCTCAATTTAGCCATTCCACAATGTATACATATTTCAAAACATCACGTTGTACATGATAAATGGATGTAGCTTTTATCAATTTAAAAAATAACAAATTGCCATTGCAGAGTATTTATACAATAATGATACTGGAAACTTCAAATGTAAAAACCTTATTTAGATGAGGTCACGCTCTCATTTGCTTTTTAATTATTAAATCAAAAAAATTAAAAATAGGCTTATCTTTCAACCAAAGACTTAAGAAAGAGAGAGAGAAACCTGAGGAAGCTGTGATAACACAATTAATCAAAATAAAAGAGAAAATAATGGAACTGGAATATACAAAGAAGATGCAAACATTAATGAGTCCAACCAATGTTTCTATTAAAAAGAGAATAAAAAGATAATCTCTGGAAAATCTAATCAAGAAGAATTATTTCCAACAAAAGCACATCATTATGAATGACAAAAGGATATAGACACAAATATAATAATTTTAAAGGTAGGGTATAAACAACTCTCTGAAAAGACATTTTAAAGTTTGAATGAAATGCATGCCTTTCCTAGGAAAGCATAAATAAACCAAGATCAATTTAAAATGAGGTTGAAAGTCAAATAAGCCAAAGTCATTTTAAATATATCAAGGAGCTCTTACAGTGAAAACTCAAACAAGCCAAAGAGAAAATTTTATGTCTATCAAGGATCTACTTTCAAAATAAAATTTAAAAAACTTCCTGTTCCAAATGGATTTGTGAGTGAGTCCTATCAAACTCCCAAGAAATTGACCATTTCTATGTGATTTTAGCCATTCCATGTCATAAAAAATATGGAAACTGTCCCAATTTATTTTTCTGATATAACAGAGCTACATTAGTTATCCATTGCTTTATGATGAATTACCCCAAAACTTAGTGGCTTTGAACAAGAAGCATTTACTGGCTCACAGCTTTTGTGGGTCTGGGATTCAGAAGCAACACAGGTGGGTAGTTCGACCTCCGAGTTTCTTACAAGGCTGCAGTCAAGGTGTTGGCTGGGGAAGCACTGATCTGCAGGCTTCTCTGGGGCTGCAGTTTGCAATTCCAAGATGGTTCATTTTCATGGCTGTTGGCTGAGGAGGACTCATTCTTTTCTGGCTGTCAGAAAGCAGCCTCAGTTCCTCACCATGTAAGGCACTCCATAGGATTGCTTAGACATTCTCATGACATGGCAGCCAGCTTCTCCAGGAATGAGTGATCTGAGAGAGAGAACAAGAGTGAAGCTGCAATGGTTTTTATGACTTAGGCTTAAAAGTCACACACTGTCATTTCTGCCTTATTCTGTTCATTAAAATGAAACCACTAAGTCCAGTCCATATTCAAAGGGAGGGGAATGAAGCTGCACATCTTGAAGGAAGTGTGTCAAAGAATTTGTGGATATATTTTAAATCCAGCATAGCCTGCCTTCTGGCCACAAATGATTTACATTTCTTCCACAGGCAAAATATACTCACCCCTCCCCAAGACCCCCTCAAAGATCCATTCCCTTATATCATTAGCTATGTCCAGAATGTTTTCCCCTAAGTCAAGTCTAGATTGAATGGGGCTCATTGGATGCAATTCCTGAAATACGGCTTCTCAAATGCACTCCCTTCTGATTCTTTCGATTGGAGACCTGTGCACCAAAGAGAAAAGTTACCCGACCCTCACACATCCAATGTACAATGGTGGGGTGGGCATAAAATAATTGCTATTGATACTTGCTCAAAAAGGGAAATTGGAAGGCATGGAGGATTTGCCATACTAATTTTAAAATTCAGCCAGGCAAGCCGTAGATTTTTTTAAAATTAGGACTCAGTCCCATTCCTGCCTTGGCTCTTGGCTCTGTCCTCTGAACTCTGGTTCTGCCTTCTGAATCGTACTTTCATTTTCATAAATGGTAACCATGTTTGCAGCTGCAAAAATTTCTCAGCCTGCTTCCAGTCAGCATTTGTGGGTCCAATGTTTACTTTTTGTTTTCTATTTTCTCTCTCCCTTGCAGTCCAAACTGGTGGTATTTATGCTAATATACTTCTTTTTAAAAATGTGGGGGTCTCCTGCAAATCTAATTGAACATTCATTCCATTATACAAAAGCCATAGCCACAGATATCTTCAGGATAAATCCTTTTCTACCTTGAGCTTCTGCTAAGGGACAATTCCCCTAAGCTTCTTGGAAGCTCTACTATTGGATTGAACAATTCTCCGAGGCACCACGTTATATCTTTCTGGGGTCTAAACAGAGGACTTTACAGTAATACTCCTAAATTTATCTGGAGGTAGTACTTGCCCATGAGCACCCTGAATGTGATTTTTACCTGGAAGCCATTTCTTTATCTTAGCATTGTTTGCCTTCAGGAGAGGCTAAGTTCCAAAAACACGAGTCCTAGCTCCTTTAATGTTTAATGGCCCTTCCTTTAGATTCTCTCTCTCCTCTCACATTTTACTGTAAACAGCAATAAGAATCCTTATTTATCACTAGCTGCATCTGTATCACTTTGCCTGGAAATATCCTCAGCTAGATTATCTAGTCCTTTATTCTACCTCCCACATTATCACAGGTGACAGTGTTGCTAAACTTTCTGCCAACATATAACCAAAGATGGCCTTTCCTCCAGTTTTTAATAAGATTTTTCCACTTTTGGAAAGCTCCAATTCATTTTATGCATTTTGTTGTTGTTAATGTGACTTCATGGAAGTGCATTATCACGACATTGACTTTGTGTGTAGGCGTTTTGTGTGCGTGTGTAAACATGTTGAAGCGGCCTCAATAAATGAAGAGACGTCCCTTTTGAAAAAAAGAAATATTTTCCTCACTTTCCTTTAACACCTATGTCAAAAGCCATCATGCTTTTAAAATTGGGTTCTTCAAGGCCTTTCAACCTTTCTTCACTAACTAACTTCAGAGTCCTTCTAGCTTCTGCCTACTGCCCAATTCCAAAGCTGCTTCCATATATTAAGCTTTAGTTATGACAGCACCCTACTCTTGGTATCAAATGCTGTATCCATTAGGGTTCAATTAAAGAAGCAGATTAGAGCCACTGGAACATATCTAAAAGGATCTGACTTTATCGGGTGTCTGTGAGAGCTGACTGAATTGTGTCTGTATTATGGTTGTGTCTGGTGGTGGAGCTTCAAGTCCACAGGGCAGGCAGTTGGGAAGGGAGCACAGATATCAAATGGAGTAAAGCAAACATGAGCTGGAGTTCCTGGGCACAAGCTGGATCAAACCCATGAGGACAGACGAGAGCCTGTGACAGTCCCACTGCCTTTTCTCTTGGTAAAATGCATGGAGAGACTAAGCACACAACTGGCCCTGGAGTCAGAGAACCCAAGGAAGGTTTGAGGGAGGGTGGAGCAGTTGCTGGTCCAGCTGCTGCCCTGTGCCAATGAGGTGAATCAACAGACAAGTGACAGCATGTGAACTCCAAAAGCACCTGCCCTGACCATCCACGTGGACAAATAAAAATGGCTGTGGCCTCATTACATCTCATACAAAAATGTCTGTGGTCCAGCCTAGCTCAAAACTACAGAATAGGAAATTTGAGGAATTGGTTCAGCCTAACCTTAGTTCAGCCAGGCCAAATTAACATATTATAAAGTCACACAATGGTCCTAATACCAAAATGTGAAACCAACAGCCCACATTTCACCCAGAATAAAACTACAAACAAATCTCCTTTATGAAGGTGAAATTAAAAATTCTAGTGATAATATTAGCAAGTGGAATCTGTAACTTTATTAAATGAATACGAATACTACTTCATGACCAAGGAAGGCATTTGTAGAAATAAAATTACAGTTCAATGATAGGAAATTAGTGAATACCTTTTCCTTTCCAATACATTGACCAAATTATCCTCAAAGTCACTTGGAAAAATAAATTGGTGAAAATATATTTGGGAGGCTAAGTTGGTAATATTAGCCAAGAAAAGAGGCTAAAAGAAGAATCAGCATGGAGAGAACTGCTGTCTCTAGAAGCTACCTCTATCTTCCAGAGATCTCTACAAAAAAGAAATTAGATTTTTTACTGCAAACATTCTGCAGCCATCAGGCATGTCTTGAGCAACCCTGAGACTGCACTGTGAGCCATAATTCTAGAACCGACATGGAGGGAGCAGCACATTTGTTGTTTTTTTGGAAGCTGAAGAAGTCTTTGAAGGCAACAAGAAGTAATACTATAAAGTAACCTCTTCATCATGTTTAATGTCGTCACCATCTACCACAAATGGTGGCCCCCACTTACCTGGTCTCACCTGCCCCTACACACCTGAAGGGAAGAGATCATCAGAACTCCTACACCTTGCCCTCCCTTCTCTCTCCCCTGCACCATCCTGTCCTCATCTCTCTCCTTTGTCCACCTTCCCTCCCTCTATCCTCCCTCATCCTCTGCCATAATCTGCTCCCTCCTGTATACTCTTCACAACCCTCCTGACACAGCCCCACACACTTGTACAAATGGGTGGTGCCATCATATGTGCATCTTCTTTTCTTATTTTGTAGAAATTTGTCTACATTCCTCTTTTCTAGGTTCTAATTCTTGGTTTACTCTGCAATGAATTATTCATTATATTGAAATAAGCCAGGAAAATACATGCAGGCATGTCTGCGAGTTTGAGGGATGTCCCTATAACGCTCCATTTACCATTATTTCTCATGACAAGATTTGGTTTGATTCACCCAGATTTGCTTTACATGTGGATTTCCAGAAATATATTTGTAGCCAAAAGATGCTTTTATTTAAAGCCAATGGTTCACGCGGACTCACTATCCCCAAATCAAACTTTCTGTGCTCTGATGATCTCATCCCTTCAGGTGGTTGGGCACGTGAGACTGGAAAAGAACAGCTTTGCCATGCACCTGGGAATGGAGTCCCTGAGGAAGTAGCTCCCTGGGTCATTTACCTGTTGGGGAAAGTTTTAAGTCCTGGTTGGATTAACTCCTAGCACAAAAAAGAGCAGCAGGAAGTGCTTTCAAAGCAGCCCTGCCGTGTAGTTCTTTGAATCAAGCTTGCATTTCTATTCTGTTCATTATTTCTATTTCCCAAGGTAGATTTCCTCCCTTTTCAACATAGCCCACTTTGGAAGATGCTGCTCAGAGCCACTTATCATCCATCCGTCCATCTACTCATCATTTTGACCAAGCACCCCTATGAACAAAGATCTAGGTGCTGAGGGCTGTAGGATAGACTAGCCCCTGGCCTGCCCTGATAGGGAGACCCTTCCCTCCTGAGGCTAAAATCTCACACACTTCATCCTTTAAGTAATCAAGTGATACACACTCTGGAGTAACCAAACAGTTTTCTCACTGACAAATACTATCCAGCCTTAGCACCATGTATAGCTTCCCTGGAAATTAGGACTATTAAGACCATCTGAGGACACAGCTTGCCATCTTCCTAAGAGCACTGCTTTCATGCTGGGCAGAGAGTGCACTTAATGATCAGGCAGGTCTCAGGAGGCTGCGAGGGAAGGAACGGTGCTTGAGATCAGAGACCGGGGAATACGAGGGAATCCTGTCTGCCTGTGGAGGGGCTCAGCTGGTGAATCAGTGCCAGCCCATCTGAACTGCAGGGTGAGTTCTTTCTCTGTGCTGAGCCTATGTGGGGGCAGCTTTCCCTGCAGGATTCTGAACCACCCCCGAAGAGCCTCCTGAAGGCCTGCCATGTGACCAGAGAGAGATGGACCACTGGGGTCCCTGCAGAAGACCCTCAAAAGAAATCAGGAGTCAGAGGATGACGGTGGTGTGTGTGGACCCTAGCTAGCGCTGACCAGAACAGCTGCCCTCACCATGGCCAGGGATGGATCTGTTCTTGGGTCTTTCCAGCCTGCTCTTTGGTACCAAGCTGTCATCTTCTCAGGTCTTGAAGAAAGAGTCCTTCACACAAGCAAATTCTAGGATGGGCAGAGGGAAGGAACTGGAGTTTGGACCATGACTTAGTTTGTGAGACAAAAGGCTCTGAACCATGAATTTCAGAGAGTTTCCCTGGACACATGGATTCGTGTTAGATCTGAAACAAAAGACGTTGTGTAATGTATATCCCTTGATAAGACTCACTTTATCTGTCAAGGTAGGGCAGGGCTCAACACAGACATATTTTAGATTCTGAAATTCATTACTGAGGAGCCTAAAGTTTTATTATAAGGAGTTCAGCAAGATAGGTATGGGATGTTTCCAAAGTTGATATGCTCAGCAGAGAGCCGAATATTAAAGATGATGTTTTAGAGGGTCTTTTTCTTATTGTTGTTGCTGACGACATTGGCTTCTGCTGACTTTTTTTTTCCTTCATAATTTAGTGTGATGGGTTGGTCATGCAGCAATTATTTGTTGAGTGCTTAACGTGTAAAGAGCCAGGGGCGAGGAGCTAAGGGGAGCCCTGACTAGTTTCCAAAGGCAGTCTGCCTCCATCCTTAAAAACTGAAGCCTGGCCAGGGGCGGTGGCTCACACCTGTAATCCCAGCACTTTCTGAGGCCGAGGCAGGCGGATCACGAGGTCAAGAGATCGAGATCATCCTGGTCCACATGGTGAAACCCCGTCTCTACTAAAAATACAAAAATTAGCTGGGCGTGGTGGCGCACACCTGTAGTCCCAGCACTTTCGGAGGCCGAGACAGGTGGATCACGAGGTCAAGAGATCGAGATCATCCTGGTCAACATGGTGAAACCCCGTCTCTACTAAACATACAAAAATTAGCTGGGCGTGGTGGCACACACCTGTAGTCCCAGCTACTCGGGAGGCTGAGGCAGGAAAATCACTTGAACCCGGAAGGCAGAGTTTGCAGTGAGCCAAGATCGTGCCACTGCACTCCAGCCTGGGCAATAGAGTGAGAGTCCATCTCAAAAAAAAAAAAAAAAAAAAAAAATGAAGCCTTACTGCTGGCTGCTCCTTGTTCAGGTGGAGGAGCTCTGAAGTGTTCGCTGCAGGTGGCCAAGTGGCACGTGGCTCTGTCCTGGTCACTGGTCCCGCCTGTGTCTAAGCTGGCATGGCTGGCCTTAGCTCCTAATACTGTGCTCATCCTCATGTAGCTGCCCCCACTGGGTAGGTGGGGGACCCCACTCCTGTGGCCTCTGCCCACACTGACCCATAATTCACTGGGGCCACAGCTCTGTTTTAGCACAGGTCCTCTCAATAAAGGGATGCTTAAGACCGGTTGGTTGTTTTTGGAAGGATCTATGTACCTGTGGAAGGAGGTGATGGAACCAGCTCTTGTCTGCCCAGCCTCGTGGGCAAGCATCTATGAGCCCACTGGATCATGTGTGGTGCTGAGATGGATCACCAATTCATGCCCTTCCTGGGCACTGTCACTCTGCCTTCTCTCTGTTTTGAGCTGCTAAGGGCAAAAGGGCTTCTGCTATGCCCCTGCGTGTGGGATCCAGGCCTTGCGGGATGGAGAGGGAGGCTGAAATTGCCACTGGGTCCCAGCTGGGTTTAGCATGGACTGTATCACCTCCTGGAAACAGCTGGAGGGCAGGGTGGAATGGAGGGCTGAACTTGAAGCCCCTCTAATCTGGGTTGAAGGGCCGGCTCTATGCTCACTTCTTCTCCTGTCAAGGGGATATAATCTTGCCTAATAATGTGGAGAAAATGTCTAGTGCACCGAGGAACATAAAGCAGGAAGTCAAGAAATGGCCTGTCCATTGGAATAGCTATTTGTTAACAGCTATTTCTAAAGCACCCTGCATGCATGAACACACACACAACACACAGAGACACAGACACATGTGTGCACACAACACGTGCCCACACATAGGTACAAAGTACACACTCAGATGCCCAAGGTCACAGTAGATAAGCTGCCCTGTCATTTCCCGGGAACTAAGCAAGGAGGGCCGTGAGTCTCCTGAGTCGTCAGCTGTTGTTCAGAGCACCTGCCTCTCCCCTGTGATCTTCACTTACAAAAGAAGAAGAGGAGAACCACTCTCCTTATTCTGTGCAGGGGTAGGGACATCCCTTGCTGTTCCCCAGGTTGGCTGGCAGCAGGGGCACATCAGGAAGATGGGCAGGGACAAGGGGCATTCTGGAGCTCAGAAACGTTAACTCCTGCTCAGAAAGACTTGTGATCGCTCTGAGGCATCACTGGAGCCCGTGTGTCCCGAGTAAAACACTACCCAGCACGTGGGTGTGTTGATGGGGACCTTGCGTCGATGAGGCAGCCTGGGCCACTTTCTAAGTGAAAAAGATGACTGAGCACTAGGAAAGCCCCCACTGGGTCCCCAGTATTTTGTTAGTGTGAAAACACCCATAATATGGAGGTTACTTCTCAGGATAATTTGGGAAACTCAGCAGCATACTCAGAACTTTCAGGATGAATGGGGCTGGGCTCCATCAGACCCCTGAGGAGGACTTTGTTCACCAGCCTGGGTTAAGCACAGGTGGTAGTGGCCCTATAAGGGTCTTGTCCCATCTCAGCCAATCCCCCAACATCCTCAAAGGCAGGAGAGTTCTTTGTATCCACGTGTCTTCCTTCATCAAGAAGCACCACCCCCACATGATTCCATGGTGAGAGTCACTTCCAATTACGCTGTCCCGTCGCTAATGCTCTTTGTCAGGCAGAAATAAGAGCAGTGGCGGCAAGGCAGTTCTAAGAGGAAAATTGTCTTTGGTGTAACTGTGACCTGAAGAACAAGCAACCGTTCCCAGGGAAGACACATAATGATGGGTTAGCAAGCACTGTCGGGAACTCCACAGCGGTGGGCATTGCCCATTAGAGATGCTGCCCTCCCGTCAGCCTCCCATCAGCTTCTATCTGCAGGGGAAGCTGTCCTCCCGCTCAGGGACACGCCTCCCCAGACAAAGGCAAGGGAGGCAGAGGACATGGTGCTATGGCAAGCTGTGGGCCTGGATGGTCTAGCTTAGGGAATCAATCCCGGTTTAAATCTCAGCTTTTCCCCCAGAGAGCTCTGGGAACTTGGGGAACAGTCTTCTCAGACACAGTGAAATGGCAGTGCCTGCCTCCATAGGTTGTGGATGATGAGTTGGATGTCAGTCATGACAGCTGCCATTCACCATGCCCTGCACAGAGCTGAGTGCTCCATGCATGTTGTATCACTTATGCCTCTTGACTGCCACCACAAGGTAGGTGACCAGTTAGGATGCTCACAGCTGTAAACAACAAATGGCTCAAAGAAGCGCAGACTAAACTCAAAGGAAGCAGAAGGAAGGAAAGTATGAAGATGAGAGCAGAAATAAATGAAATAGAGAGGAGAAAATCAATAGAGAAAATCAACAAAACCAAGAGTTGGTTCTTTGAAGAGATCAACAAAATTGACAAACCTTTTGCTAGACAGACCAAGAACAAAAGAGAGAGGACTCAAAGTATTAAAGTCGGGCAGGAAAGAGGGGGCATGGCTATGCCGACCTCACAGAAAGAAATACCCAGCTCAAAGAATAAGCAAAATCACCATTTCACATACAGTAACTGGAAATTGAGGACCACAGCTCAGCAGTGCCATCAGGGACACGGGCTCTCTTTGCTTTGCGACTCCATGCTCACCCAATATTTCTACACTCTCTGCTAGCATTTCACCACCCTCCTGCTTGCCACTTGAGTTAGCCGGTGAAGTGTGAGCAGAATGGCATGGGTCACTTCTGGGAGGCTGCTTTACGAGTGAGGGTATGTTCACAGGATGTTCTTTTCCCCTCTCTGGGATGATTGTGGAAGCCCCTTGTTGGAGGAGGCTTCTGTCTGCCTGGGCCACTGAGTTTCTGCAGCGAGTAGCTCCCCTTTCTCCTCCAGGAGGGCTGAATACAGCGGATCAGGTAGCAAGAGCGAGTGATATGTGTTGTTTTAAGCCACTTAGATTTCAGGGTAGTGTATAACTGCATGTGACTGAGAGACTATATACAGGGCCAGCCTGGTGCTAAGGTTGGTTCTCCTGATTACAAGAGAGCTATACAACAGGGTCCATGCATAGTCATGACTGGGAACAAAAGCTGTCATTCTCACAACCATCAAGAGCAGGAGAACCTCTTCCCCAAGGATTAAAAAAAAAAAATCTCCCTTCAGTCTGACTGGGTCCATGTAGGTTTCATGTCCATCTCTGGACCAATAAAAATTGCCAGGGGATGCTCATGTTGATTGGCTGGGATAATGACCAGCTGACACATCAATCCCATTCTTCAGGACATAGATTCATATTATTATTCAAATGACTTATATCATGATTTGATAATGACGATGAGACTTAGGTTCATTAACTTGCTCAAGGTGAATAATTTGCACAAGTGGTAAGTGGCAGAACTAGGATTTACACTGAGCTGTCAGGTTCCAGAGGTGGAGTCCTCACCACTCCGTAAGCCCTAAGGTGAAGGGCTTTTTGGATGGGCATTTTCCCATCGCCTTATCCTAGCACCTAGAAAAAATGGACTTATGTGGAATAAATGAATATGTCAGGCTGCAGCCACCTGATGGGGTGTTGAGAAGATTAAATGAGACATTACCTGTTCTAAGCCTCATGGGAGGCCTGGCTGGAAAGTCTGGGGGCTTGGTTTTGCCACAGCCACAGGGACCCGAACTTTTCAAGTTTTAGTACCTCCTCCATGAAATGGGAAGGAAATATGTTACTCTTCTTATCTATTTGCAAGATATTTATAAAAATTCAATTAGATAGCCGGGCGTGGTGGCTCATGCCTGTAATCCCAGCACTTTGGGAGGCCAAGGCGGGTGGATCACAAGGTCAGGAGTTTGAGACCAGCCTGGGCAATATGGTGAAATCCTGTCCCTACTAACAATACAAAAATTAGCTGGGCGTGGTGGCGCGTGCCTGTAGTCCCAGCTACTCAGAAGGCTGAGGCAGAAGAATCGCTTGAACCCGGGAGGTAGAAGTTGCACTGAGCCAAGATCGTGCCACTGCACTCCAGCCTAGGTGACAGAGTGAGACTCTGTCTCAAAAAAAAAAAAAAAAATTCAATGAGATAATACAGGTGAAGGTATTTTAAAAAGTAGAACGATTACTGCTATAACAATAATGCGGATTATTGTATTTTATGTACAATAATAATTCGCCAACATTATAATTATAATTTTCTTGGCTCATGACTAAGGGGCTCTAGGAAGCTGATGGTAGTGATTAAAGTTTTAAGATTTTTCTGTTTTTCATTTCCTCAGACTCAAGATGGCATTTCCTGTCCCCACCAAAGAAATCTATCAGGAAGGGAACAAGTGACAGAGACGGGTGCGAATTAGCCTTGTCAGAAAGAGGCAAGCCTGGGCATTCGGTGGGCACTGGCTGGGATTTCCTTTCTTTTTCTTTCTTTGGCTGGGCATCCTCTGAGTCGGTGAAATCGATGACAGGTCCCCAGAGTGTGTGAATTAGGTAGAGCTGCCGTTGCACAGCTGGGCCAGGTGTTCTTTTTCTCTTGTCCTTTCTCCTCTCCTCTTCTCTTCTGTCTTCTTTCCTCCCTTCTTTTCCTTTCTCCTCTTCTCTCCTTTTTCCTCTACCTCCCTTCTTCCTTCTTTCTCTTCTTCAATTATTGTCAATCCCACTCTCTCCCTCTGTGGGCTGGCCTGTGGTAACAGGCGTTCTCAAAGACACACATCGCCCTGCCGCTGCTGCTCTGGACTTGGAAGCCCCGTGCTCTCTCGGGGTCTGCACCCGCACCCACCTTCTGGAAGCCCCTCCCCACCGCCTCCACAGCTCCCTTAATCTGAACCTGGATTGCTTTGCCGCCTGACTCCTGCAGACCCTGACTCCCTGCAACCGTCTTTAACAAACCCCGTTTCCTCTCACATCCCCTATACCTCAGGGCTAGGGGTGGTGGTGCTGAACAGGTACTCGTCCTCTTTGCTTCTGGTCAGGGCTAGGGGTGCTAAACATGTACTTGTCCTCTTTGCTCCTGGTTGCCACCTCCCGATCACTCCTCCCCCATCCTCCTCCTGCTCCTATGAAGAAATGATGTCCACCACTACCAGTACTTGGCCCTGAGCTATATCTGGCACCAGATGCCTCATCCCAGCCGGTTCCCCCATCTGCAATCCCTTCCTTTTTTGTCTTCTGCTGACCTCCTGATCTTCTCCCTCAGTTGCTAGCAACTCCAGACCCTGGGGTCTGGTCTTTCTCGCCACCTCAATGCCTGTTCTTCTTTTCAGGTGCTTTACAACCCCTGCTGACCCTCCCCCTCTTCACCTTCCATGCTTACGGCTGATGACGTTGCCTCCTGTGTCTTTGTCAAGTACAGTGGACACTCTCAGGATGCCGTGCCATGCTCCCTGGCTCAGCTATGACCTCAGCACAGTTGAAGAAGTGACAGGACCCATGCCGACTGCCCCTTTGCTCTCAGCTTTCTGCCTCAAGGCTTCTCTGAAGCTTCTCAGGCTTTCTCTCAGCCTGGAGGGTTGGGGCACTTAACAGCCCCACAGGCGACTCTCAACCAATGGGAACCGGAGCCCGTATGCCCTGCAAACTCACTCTCCAACTGAGGGTGTTGCTAGGGCTGGAGGATAAGAATAAGGCAAATTGCTGGTAACAGGAGGGGAGGAGCACTGGTGGCTGCTGGTCTCACCCAGGGCAGGACAAGGACAAGGAGGGTTTCCTGGTCATCCATCTGGTGACGCTCTCCATCCATTGGCGTCATCCATTGGGTGACCCAAGCTCCAGTGTATATGGGTGGAGGCTCCCTGCATCCCATCTTCCCCTTCACCTGGGGAAGGACCAGACGGCTTCTGAGGATATGGTACTAGGGGCAAAGGCACACAATGAAATCGGGCTGGGTGGCCACTCAGCTTCCCCAGCTCCAGTAAGAATGTGAGGATTTGCGGAGGGTCCTGTGAGTGCTGCTCCAGTGAAGGAGACGGATGCTCAGGGGGAGAAGGGGGCGCTTAGCTGAAGGGAGGGCACAGGGACAGCAGGGACCCCTGATGCAGGAAGGGAGAAAAGGACATGGAGTCCTTCCTCCAACAGCATCGTCTCTTCTTCCCTGTCGCCACACGTGGCATGATCTATGTGGCAGGAACCACGGTGCTGGAGACACAGCCCTCTGGGGTGTCCATACTCACCTAGGAAGGGGCTCTGGTCGCCTGATCCCTCTATGGGCTTCAGGCAGGCTGGGAGGACCCTGGGAACAAAGAGCTGAGTCCTGGAAGGAGGAGGAGAGCTACCTTCAAAAGCAGGGAGAATGGCAGGTAGAAACAAATGAAATGTCTGGAATAGGAAGGGTGAGTGTTCCCAGAGGGCTTTGGAGGGAACTGGGAGTGGGGCAGAGTGTGAGAGGCCCAGCTGCTACGTGCATTGATGAATAGTGACCACAAAGGAGAAAGCCTGTTTTTAAGTTGACTAGTAGGGCTTTTAAGAACTGTACCTGCTACTCCTTCCCGGCCCTTAAGTTCAGTGGATTTCTGCAAGACCCTTGGTTTTAATTATTTTTTTCTATTCAAATGTTGTTCATTTGAGTCCGCTTTTCTCAAAGACTGGCTCCTCTGGGGCCCTGGGTTACATTTAGATTACTCGGAAGCAGCCTGTTTGGGTTAAGAACTCTATTTGTCTTCCCCTGGACCTTGGCCAACTGGGTGTTCCCCTTTCCCTCACAAAGGTGAGGAAGGAAAGAACTGGTTCTCTCTCTCTTTCAACATGGTTATCCGTGGAGGGTGATGTGAAAGGATGACTACTCCAATCACTGGCAGGATGATAGCTTTGAGTAATTAATATGTACACAATTTGGTAAGGCACTGTAGCATGAACAATCACCTTTGGTAACTGTGGCTTTGGCTCATAATTACACCATTGTTAGAAAAGGAACTGCAGCCTGGCCAGCTACTTTGTTACACTTGTAGAGAGAAAAACAACGTGGCAGCCTAGTAGTCCAATCTGCTGCTGATTTTTAATTATGAGTTGTGCTTCACACCAGTGAAGGAGGCTTGGATCCTTAAGAAAAATAAAAGACCCACCTTTCAACTGTCCATTTCTTTTTATTATTATTATTATTATTATTATTATTATACTTTAAGTTTTAGGGTACATGTGCACAACGTGCAGGTTTGTTACATATGTATACATGTGCCATGATGGTGTGCTGCACCCATTAACTCATCATTTAGCATTAGGTATATCTCCTAATGCTATCCCTCCCCGCTCCCGCCACCCCACAACAGTCCCCGGTGTGTGATGTTCCCCTTCCTGTGTCCATGTGTTCTCATTGTTCAATTCCCACCTATGAGTGAGAACGTGCGGTGTTTGGTTTTTTGTCCTTGCGATAGTTTGCTGAGAATGATGGTTTCCAGCTTCATCCATGTCCCTACAAAGGACATGAACTCATCATTTTTTATGGCTGCATAGTATTCCATGGTGTATATGTGCCACATTTTCTTAATCCAGTCTATCATTGTTGGACATTTGGGTTGGTTCCAAGTCTTTGCTATTGTGAATAGTGCCGCAATAAACATACGTGTGCATGTGTCTTTATAGCAGCATGATTTATAATCCTTTGGGTATATACCCAGTAATGGGATGGCTGGGTCAAATGGTATTTCTAGTTCTAGATCCTTGAGGAATCACCACACCGACTTCCACAATGGTTGAACTAGTTTACATTTCCACCAACAGTGCAAAAGTGTTCCTATTTCTCCACATCCTCTCCAGTACCTGTTGTTTCCTGACTTTTTAATGATTGCCATTCTAACTGGTATGAGATGGTATCTCATTGTGGTTTTGATTTACATTTCTCTGATGGCCAGTGATGATGAGCATTTTTTCATGTGTTTTTTGGCTGCATAAATGTCTTGTTTTGAGAAGTGTCTGTTCATATCCTTTGCCCACTTTTTGATGGGGTTGTTTGTTTTTTTCTTGTAAATTTGTTTGAGTTCATTGTAGATTGTGGATATTAGCCCTTTGTCAGATGAGTAGGTTGCAAAAATTTTCTCCCATTCTGTAGGTTGCCTGTTCACTCTGATGGTGGTTTCTTTTGTTGTGCAGAAGCTCTTTAGTTTAATTAGATCCCATTTGTCAATTTTGACTTTTGTTGCCATTGCTTTTGGTGTTTTAGACATGAAGTCCTTGCCCATGCCTATGTCCTGAATGGTATTGCCTAGGTTTTCTTCTAGGGTTTTTATGGTTTTAGGTCTAACATTTAAGTCTTTAATCCATCTTGAATTAATTTTTGTATAAGGTGTAAGGAAGGGATCCAGTTTCAGCTTTCTACATATGGCTAGCCAGTTTTCCCAGCACCATTTATTAAATAGGGAATCCTTTCCCCATTTCTTGTTTTTGTCAGGTTTGTCAAAGATCAGATAGTTGTAGATATGTGGCATTATTTCTGAGGGCTCTGTTCTGTTCCATTGGTCTATATCTCTGTTTTGGTACCAGTACCATGCTGTTTTGGTTACTGTAGCCTTGTAGTATAGTTTGAAGTCTCAACTGTCCATTTCTAATCCAAAGTGAGCTCTAAAAATGTCATCAAATAGCAAACCAGCTATGTGACTTGGCGTACTGTGTGGCCATTCTGTATCTTGTCCCTCCCAGGCTCACATGGAGTGTTATGATGAATAAAGACTCTAAACATTGAGGGCATTGAGCACTGTGAGTTCTCAGGGTCCTTCCTGAGACAAATACTGGAATTCATTTTTGGCTTTTCTAAAATATGAGCCTGTTCCAGCTGTGGATCCCTCCTTTCCTTTTACTTCTGATGACAAATTCAGCTGGAAGGACTAAGGTGGCTAATGCATTTGAGTCTTCACTGCATGACAGATTTTGAAAATTCCAGGTTGCTTTGCCAGGAAGCAGGGCTCTGGAGGTCACGTTTGCTCTCTGCTGGGTCATCCCTTCCTAGGATGACTTCACAGTCTCCACAATTCCATGCAAATCTCTTTTCTCAGCCAGGAGGACCGAGGTACTTGGGAAGTGCACCGTTTTTAGCTGTCAGTTTTTGGTTCTAATCCCTGGCAGTCCTCCCTTGGGGAGGGGGAACATTTATCCAAGGAGCATTAAAAAAATAGCTGTGACCCACAGGCCCTTTCTGTCCATTTCACCTCCAGGCTGCCAACTGAGCCTCCTCGGGAGGCATAGGACCAAAAGCAGCAGCACCTCCTCGCTCCAGCGCTGAAATAATATGGTCTTCCTGTCAAAGAACACTCATTTCACTAACATTTCTGAAAAATGAAACATTTCTGAGGAATGATTCTGATGTTGCTTTTCCATGATAATTGCTTTGCCTTCCAAAGTTTGCTTTTCATGTGAAAAAGCTTTAGCAAGGCAGTGAAACCCCACGATGTCATCTGTGTTCCCTGCAAAAAACCCAAAAATATGTAGGAGCTTAAAAATAACCCTGCATTTTGCAGGAAGCTCCTTATTTGATATTAAGTGCCCTCCTCTCCAACGCAAGTGTACATAATGCTAAATTAACTGTTAACGTTTATTTTAAAATAGTCTAATTTATGCTAATTCAAAAAGATTCCCGTTCCCAAACTGCATGTTTTTACCTCCCAAATTGCCACACTTTTTCATTGAAGGCTGATGAGTCAGGGTGCTGTGTCAAGCCTCTGTGTGGCTTCTGGGCTCCTGGTCACTTCCATGGGAGGTGTGCAGGGGAGGTGTCCACGGGTGCACATGCACAGCTTGCCTCAGAACCCCGTGGACAACAAATTTGTGTGTTTAGTTTTACGCTATGCATATGATCTGTCGTGACTATTGGGAGGATGGGGGACATCACCAGCACCATGGGGCTTCCAACTCCGAGGACACATGGGCCTCCTTGTCTCTCAGGGTAGGGCAGCCATGGGAGAAACCACTGACTCCCACTGAGGGCGCTCCTTTCTCCCCTCTCACCCACAGCAAGAACATCAGGAACTCTCAGGGTGGGGACAAAAATCCCAACACCAAATGTTGCTTTGGGGGCTTTTCGTTTCCACTGATGTGTGGACCCCTGCTTTGTCCAGTTGAGAGGTGAAGCCAGCTGGACTTCCTGGGTCAAGTGGGGACTTGGAGAACTTTTCTGTCTAGCTAGAGGATTGTAAATGCACCAATCAGCACTCTGTAAAAACACACCAATCAGCACTCTGTGCCTAGCTAAAGGTTTGTAAATGCACCAATCAGCACTCTGTAAAAACGCACCAATCAGCACTCTACGTCTAGCTAAAGGATTGTAAACGCACCAATTGGCATTCTGTAAAAACGCAACAATCAGCGCTCTGTAAAATGGACCAATCAGCACTCTGTAAAATAGACCAATTAGCAGGATGTGGGTGGCACCAATCAGCGCTCTATGTCTAGCTAAAGGATTGTAAACGCACCAATTGGCATTCTGTAAAAACGCAACAATCAGCGCTCTGTAAAATGGACCAATCAGCACTCTGTAAAATAGACCAATTAGCAGGATGTGGGTGGGGCCAAATAAGGGAATAAAAGCTGGCCACCCGAACCAGCAGTGGCAGCTGGGGGTCAGCTTCCACCCTGTGGAAGCCTGTTGTTTAGCTCTTTGCAATAAATCTTGCTGCTGCTCACTCTTTGGGTCTGCACTACCTTTATGAGCTGTAACACTCACTGTGAGGGTTTGTGGCTTCACTCCTGAAGTCAGCGAGACCGCAAACCCACGGGGAGAAACAAATAACTCTGGATGCACCACATTTAAGAGCTGTAACACTCACTGAGAAGGTCTGCGGCTTCACTCCTGAAGTGAGCAAGACCAAGAAGCCACCAGAAGGAACCAATTCCGGACACACAGTGGGGGGGTGAGGAGATCCTATGGCCGCACCTTCTACTTTCTGCAGCCCACTGCAGGGGGAGCACTCCCTCCCACCTGGCCCTCACCTGAGGAAGGCTGGTCATCTCTTCCTCCTCCTGCCTTTGTCATGAAACTCAAGCTCTTCTAGAGGACAAGGCCATGGCATGCCCTGGCCAAGCTCCCTGCCCTCAGTGCCATCCACTGGCTCTTCCCCCGACCCTCCTTCACCTCCTGCTTCTGTTTTGCAGATATTCCCAGGTCAGTCCAAGCCCAGGCAAGGCCTGTGTGCCTGCTCTTTCTCCACCCTGTACCCTGGATTCTCACTGAGCTCACAGGTCTCTGCTGAAGTCTCCCAGCCTCAGGGAGGACCCCTGGAAGGGGAGGTGAGCCCTGCCCTTCGGATGACTACCCTGTCTCACCCCTTCTAGTTCTAATGGTCATGTGGAATGGCCTTACTTGGTTCCTTGAATATTGCCTGTCGTCTCCTGGAGGAACTTTGGAGACGTTTGTCCTGCCCACCTCGGTACCAAGTCTGAACCGGGCTGGGCTTGGCAGGGACTCTGTAAACATTTAGTATAGACAAGAAAACACTGCCCTTACTGTGGCCTGCCCAATGCTCCTGAGATAGGGACTCACTTTTCCCTCCTTTGGGCTCCATGTGGAGCCTTGATTGTTCTAGCAGCACAGAGGTGGCTGCTGGCTAGAGTCCCCGCCTCCTGTTACAGTGGCACTGTGCCTGTAAACTGTTTTTGCAAAATCCAGCATGTAGGCATGGCCTGAAGGCTTTGTCAGAGAAGCAAGTGAAATGATATCATTATTCCCTGCGGAAAAAAAGTATTTCTAGCGTGGAAAAGGAATGGCGTTCTGCACAAGTACAATATGGGTCATTCTCCCCCACCCCGCTCAGAGTAAGTTGGAACTAAGTTGCCTGCCTGGTACCGCACTATCCCCAATGGCTCAGTGTTCCTTCTCTTTAAATGATAACATCCTTCTACATAGCCAGAGTACAACCAACACAGTAAAGAAATGAACACTGAGATATCTCCGTCGTCCAATCCTCAGACTCCATTCAAGGTTTGCCAGTTGTCCCAATACGTCCAATGTAGAGAACATCCAGCTCCAAATTACAAGTTGCGTTTACTTGTCGTGTCTCTTTAGTCACCTGTAGTGAGGACTAGGTCATTCATGGCCTTGACCCTTTCCAAGATTATAGGCCATTAAAAAAAAATAACAGCTTTATTAAGATATAATTAATTCAATAATCATAAACTTCACCCCTTTAAAGGGTGCAATTCAATGGTGTTTAGTTTTGTCATATAGTTGGGTACTATCACCATAATCTGATTTTAGACCATTTTGATCATCCGAAGGAAAAATCCTGTACCCGTTAGCAGTTATTCGTCCCAGCACCTGACCAACACTAATCTACTTCCCAGCTCTGTGAGGTTGCCTCTTCTGGACATTTCATGTAAATGGAATCATATATGAAGGGTCAGTTTCATAGAATGCCTCCAAATTTAAGTCTGGCTGATGTTTTCTTGTGATTTCATTCTGATTATGCATCTTTGGTAGGAATATTGCAGAGCTGATGTGTTCTCAGAGCATCAGTACTGTGGTGGTGGGGGGAGCATGTAATTTTAATTTGTCCCAACACTGATGATGTTCTCTTTTATTTCTTGATTAAGGTGGTATCTGCCAGTCTTTTCCACTATGAAATTGTTTTTCCCTTTGTAATTAGTGTTTTGTGGGAAGACACTTTGAAATTATGTAGATATCCTGTTCTTCATTAAACATTCAATTTATTCATTTATTGATTTATATCCGCATGGACTTACAGAAAAGGCCTACTTCATTCAACTGCTTTAAAATTTGTTACTGTCATCATTGATTTTGATGCTCAAATTGTCCCAGATGTGGGCCATCACATAGAAGCCACTTCATATGGGCCCCAATGTCTTTTTGAAGTGTGGCCCTTATTTCTTGAACACTTCCTTGTATTCTGGTACAAAATGTTCTAGGCTGTCTTGTATTCCCAGACCAGAGTCAGCCATATTTCTTTTCTTTCTTTTTTTTTTTTTTTTTTTTTTTTTGAGATGGAGTCTCGCTCTTTCACCCAGGCTGGAGTGCAGTGGCACGATCTCAGCTCACTGCAAGCTCCACCTCCCTCCGGGTTCACGCCATTCTCCTGCCTCGGCCTCCCAAGTAGCTGGGACTACAGGCGCTCACCACCACGCCCAGCTAATTTTTTGTATTTTTAATAGAGACGGGGTTTCACCGTGTTAGCCAGGATGATCTTTCTTAAAGAAGCCTTGGTTTGTTTGATTGGAGAATGGTATTTAGAAGCCAAAGAAGAGATGGAATTAAGCACTTCCCCAAAGTGAAAAGAAACATTAGTTAGTAGCAACAGCTTAAACCCGGGTGCCAACAGTTGAACAAAGTGACAGGACAGGAAGGAGATAAGGAGATAGTGCTCTGGGGCTAGACAAAGGCATGGAGCCCTTCCTAGTGGCAGGAGGGCAGCATGGCCACTGGAGTCTGCACGGCAAATTCCGGAGTCTCATGTTGCAGATGAAGCACGTCAAAAAAGGAAAGGCCAGCAGAGCTGCGTGGGCGGCCTGGAGAAGCTGGTTCAGGACCAGCTCCCAAGCCACCTGCCAAGGGCCAGGGGAACGAGGACAGGCTCACCCAAGAGCTCAGCATGAGAGGCTGCAACACGGGGAAGCCACAGAGCCGTGACCAAGGCAAACTGAGATGAAGGGTAGGTCACGGTGGCAACCTCACAATGGTTTACCAGGAAAATGAAATTCTGTTTGGAATTTAAACAGGGAAACCCTGAGCATACAAAGTAGCTTCCTACAGATGAAACAGCCCTGGAAAATGAAGGACAACCCAAGGGGGATGGAAGGAGAAAGGGGGAGAGGGAGGGAGAGAGAGAGAGAGAGAGAGAGAGGAGAGAATGCCCAGCCAGCTGCAGTGAAGCAGTGTGCCAGGCGCGTGAAGGACGCCATCTTGGATGTTCCAGCCTCAAGACACCATGACAAGGTGGCAGCAGATATTATGACGTGACCCACAGAGACACTCATGACTGGAGAGGATAAGTGGCTTGCTTGGGGGTCTCTAGATTCTTGGATTCTACTCCAGGTATCCCTAAAGTCACCTGTTTCTGCCAAATACCACTTTATGAGAGGAGGTTTGCTATGGTCTGTCCTTTGTCAGAGCGTGTGTGTGTGTGTGTGTATACAGAGAGATTTAAGGAATTGGCTCAGCCATTGTAGGGGCTGGCAAGTCCAAAATTTGTAGGGCAAGCCAGCAGGCTAGGAAGTCAGGCAGGAGCTGATGCTGCGGTCTTGAGGCAGAATTCCTTCCTCTCCAGGAAACTCTAGTTTTTGTTCTTAAGGCCTCTTCAACGCATGGGATGAGGCTGACCCACATTATCAAGGGTCACCTCCTTTATGTAAGGTCAACTGATGATAGATGTTAACCACATCTACAAAATACGTTCACAGCAACACTTACAGTTGCTTTGATTAACTGGCTACTGCCGTCCAGCCAGGTGGACACTTAAGACCACATCAGAACTCTTTTGTCCGGGGCTGAAACTAACCCAGGAGGTTTGCCACACATCAGACATCCAGGGAGTCCTCACTCCCCTCTCCAGCTAGTGACACTGCACTCAGGCCACTGTACAACCTGGAGGAGCAGAGGTTTCCTCGTGTGTGGGAGACAAATAGGGCAGAACAACTCTAGCTTGTTTGGGTACAAAGGCTTATTGGCCTACAGGTTCCCTATTTTTTTGAGCCATCATCAATGAAACAGTAGATGTTTAAATAATTCTGAAAAGGCAGATTGCCAAAAAGTGTGGTGGCAGAAGTTCCCAAACAGACTTTAAAAAGTTAAGTAAAATATTAAAAAGTAATTAGAGATGGAACTAAAAAGCAAAAATGAAAATCCATTAAACCAACAAAGAGTTCTGTGGACATGAAACAAAGTCCAATAACATAAAAGAATCCAGAGCAGAAGATAATGAAATCTGTAAGAAATTTAAACGATCAAATCTTTGCATGAAAGAATAATCTTAAAATTGATTAAAAAATAATTTCTTTAAATACTAGGAAGCAATCTTCAAGCACCAAGGGTGGTTTTCAAGTAAGAAAAAGACTTTTCCATTTATAAAATACAGTTTATATACTAACTACTTTGAATAAAGATTTGATGAAAGTGCATATGAAACTAGGTAGTTAAAGTAAAGATGGATTTTTAATAGTCCAGAAAGCTTTTGGAAGGCAGGAGAATAAAACGAAAATTTAACTGAACGTGTGAGGGCAAAATTTGGCTTTGAGCATCCTGGAAACCAGAGCAAAAGTAGAGCCTAAGAAGCTCACAATTCCTGCTTTGGAGCATGAGTCTGCAAAAAGGCAGTATCACCCCCTGAAAACTGGTACTTGGGAAACAAACAAACAAAAAATCTTATTTTTTTAATGTAAAAAAGCATAGGTATACATAAAGTACATAATAGATATGCAGTATATAGTCTAAGTGATACACAGTATGGCTGTACTATTAAAATTTCATCATAAGAGTGATGGAGGGAAAAAAATGTCTAAAAAGGCTCCTTGAAAGGTAATTGTGAAAACAAAAAAAAAGGTTAAGAAATAGTGTTTCTGTGTAGAAGGGATATGTCCCCGCATGTACAGAGGCAAACCTTCCCCTGGATCCACATTCCAGAAGGAATGCATGTAGCAGGCACTGTGCGCAGAGGCCGGTTTGTCTCTGATTATTGTGTTGCAGCCCATCCACGGATTTACAAGCTGAGGAAATGTTGCATCTGCATGAAACGTTTGAGAAGTTTACTCACTGGTGAATATATTAGCATATTTGTAATTCATATTAATAAATAGGAAATGTCTGCAACCTTTTGGCTGTCTTCACTTTTCTTTAACTCTGTTCTGTGTTCTCTGCAAACCTCCCAGCTCTAGAGATCCCCGACGGATATAAGGTCCTTGGGGGGTTGTGGGGCGGGGATTCCAGCCAGGGTTGTGCAGCGCGAGGATTAACCCGGTAGATGGGGGAAGAGCAGGAGCCCACACGTCATTCCACAAGAAAACCATCATTTATCACAGGGCCAGGCACTATTCTTTCTGTGTTTTTATTTTTTTATAAATACAATTATATTTTATATCATTTTATAAATTTTATAATTTTTATTTTTTATAAATACAATTATATTTATAAAAATAAATACTTTTATTTTATTTTTATAGATGGAGATAGAGACGGAGACAGATTTCTCGCTCTTGTCGCCCAGGCTGGAGTGCAATGGTGCAATCTCAGCTACTGCAACCTCTGCCTCCCAGGTTCAAACAATTCTCCTGCCTCAGCCTACCGGATGGCAGGCGCTTGCCACCATGCCCGGCCAATTTTTGTATTTTTAGTAGAGATGGGGTTTCACCGTGTTGGCCAGGCTGGTCTTGAACTCCTGACCTCAGCTGATCCGCCCGCCTCAGCCTCCCAAAGTGCTGGGATTACAGGTGTGAGCCACTGCGCCCGGCCTATTCTTTCCGTTTCTGGTGGCCGCTTATACAATGTGAGGCACAGACTGCCCAAAAACAACCTGTCCCCAGGCTGGGCTCTCCGTGGTCGCCTACATGGGTGTGCCCATTCGATGATTTCTAGGGTTGTGGATAATATTCAGTTTCTCACACACTCGACAGAAGATGAATATTTATCTTGGTGCAACAGTTGAAACAGTAAAGATTCTTGAAGAAAAAAATCCCACATTCACACAGGCCTACAGTTTCTCAGGGGTGGACTGGATATTTACAAGCATGAATACGCTGGGGACAGCACCTGAGTAGGAGGAAGAGCCTCCCAGCTTCCTGGGCTCCACAGCAGCCTCCTTCTAGGCCGGGTTAGATGGGCAGAGGGCACATCCTTATGGCTTCCACACGTCTGGCAGGAGCAGAGGTGAGAGCCCCGTCCATTGAGAAGAGAACCCCCTGCCTTCCTTGTTTCTTGCCACCCCAGATCCAGCCAGATAGGCCCTGGAGAAAGCTCTCCATGTCCAGACCTCTACAGCTAAATCACACACCCATTAACCAAAGCCCTTTCTTAAATTAGCAGCTGAAAAGAGGCCCACATGATCTGCAGCCCCACAGCCCTCTGGCTTTGGTGATGGGGAAGCACTCAGCTGGTCTCTGCTTAGCTCCTGTCTATCAGGACATGCAGCCATGCACGGGACACGGGCACTTCCCATCTGGGCTCCAGATCAGACACAATTAACAGAGAGGATTAAAAACAATGTTGGAGGAAGAGGTGCATATATAAATGTGTGTCACCAAGCACTTTAACATAGCAGAACAGAAACAGCAGCGTCTGTATTTTACAATCAAGGATGAAAACATAATTGGTCAGACACTGTGAGTCTTTTAAAATAACATTTTATTTTTCGTTGTCAATGATTAACTTTTAAGTCTATTAGAAGAGTATCATGATTATAGTGAATAAAAAAATATAGATGAGAGAATACAAATATTAGGTTATACAAAGTTAGTTTTTTAAAAATCATTGTCCACCAAAATTTTCAGGACTTTGGAGTTCTCAAAAAAAAAATGTGTGTGTGTGTGTGTGTGTGTTTTAACACTTCCAGCAGTTAAAAATTAAGAACACATATGGATAATCATTGGTGGACGCCTATTATAATAAACGGAAGGACCACAAAAATTAAAACAAGTTCTAAGAACCATCATATATACAAATTTCTGTACAGAATGAGGACAAAAACAATTCACCCAATTAAAACCAGCTCTTGTGGTACACATACTCTTTTTCAGAAAAGAACGAACACTTATCTTCCTGTATTCATTTGTTTTTCCATTTGATTCAGTATTCTTAATGCTGTTTCCACCCCATAAATTAGTAACTGTTCAATAGCTGAGAAATATCCTATTTTCAATTATGCAGGGGAAATCAGGAGCTTCCCTGGAGGGGTTGAACTTCATGGTCTGATGTAGGTTGGAGACACACCTCAACCAACGAAGTCACACCACCGGCTGGAACAAGGAGGGGCTGGATACAACATCCCATGACAGTGAGGAGGATTCTTATACATCATCACTACACAGCTTCCTAAGAGTGATGGCCTAGCCTCTCCTACTTGGCTGAGCTCAGAGCAATTGAGCTCTTTGCAAATGCAAGTCATTTGGCACAAAAAGAAAGAATGTTTGGGCAAGACTCAGACTCTCTCAGAGCCAGACACACTCAGAGGCCCCCAACTCTGATAACTACGATAGCACATCCCGGACCCATATCTACCTCCCAGACCCACCTTGCTCCATGACGCTAAAGGCCACTCACTCCATGGTGAGAACTGAACTCCTTTGAAGAAAAAGCAGTCGCACGAAATGTTAACATCACAGGCCCAATGAGGTAAACAGCAGACTCAGGGGACACAGAAGGAGAGGGCATGGAGATGGGGAGGGGCAGCACACTCTTTCCAGAGAGGCTTGCGACGTCACTGCACGATCCCGGAGTCCACCGATGCCTGCTTGCGAGTTGTCTTTGGAGGGGGAGGAGGCGGAGTTTTGCTGGGCAGTGGAGGTGGCAGATGCTAAAAAACATGAGGATGGGGAAGATGTCACATAACTGATGTCCTGACAGAAAAGACACCGTCTCCAGGTGGGGTCTGACCTGGCACAGCCACTCAGCCGGAACCATCCTCCCCACATGAGTTGGGCTCCATCCTGTCCGACTTGGGGCTGGCAGGTCTACTAGGCTCAAGACTGGGCTGCTATGGGCCTGGGCCTTTCTGACGCCTCTGAGCACTCTCCCACCGTCTGCACAGCCCCTGAGAGGTACCATTGCCCTTTGCGTGGCCTTTTTAAATCTAGATGCTATCGACCAAGTTATCCATCTATTGTCTAAGGGATAAATAAGTCCTTAGAGGCACTCTCCAGGGGTGAGATGAGAGACCTTCTTTTGCTTTCTGAGCTTCGGGCAAAGGTTAGCAAGCTTCTCCTGGAAAGGGCTAGACAGTACATATTTCCAGCTTTTTGGCAGGCCACACGGTCTCTGTTGCAGCCACTCAATGCCACTGGTGTGGCCGAAAAGCGGTCATTGACAGTGTGTACAGAAAGGGGTGTGGCTGTGTTCCAAGAAAACTATTCACAGAAACAGGTGGCTGGCTGGCTGGCTTCAGCTCATGGGCATATATTACTTTAGATTCCAAAAAAGAACATTAATTTCCAATGTGAAGATAATAGCAAACCCCTTGCTGATGGACCTGGCTGGAGTGTTATGACTGAGGGCAGCTGCACCCTATTGCTTTTGGGACCCTCATGCCCATCACACACACCTGATGTGCAGGAGACTCTCTAGAAATATGGGTCAATCGAATAGAAAAATGGATGAATGAGTGAATAAATGAATGAGTGAATAAACGAGTCAGTGGATAAATGAAGAAATGAACAGGTAAGTAAACAAATGAATGAAGAAGTGAACAGACCAGGGTAAGTGGGAGCATGCCACAGGCAGAAGAACCAGAATGAAATCACAGAACACTATCGTCTAACTTAAGGGTAAGAGTGGATTTTTATCAGCCTCTCAGTGTGGGTTTGCATTTAGCTGAATGTGAGAAAAGAGGTTTTCAAGGATAGACAGTGACGCAGTAGTCTCTCACTCATCGCCCAGATTTCCTCCTGATTCACAGACTAGTAAATACAAAAATGACCTAATGCTTAACACAGAGAGGAGAATAAATGTGGAAAAGTAAAGCTGATATAAAGATGTCCTATGAGTGTATGACCTTATATTAAGGAAGGTAAAACAACAATTAAGTCTTTTTAAGGTTGGTTAGAACCGTTAAAAGAGACATCTATTTTGAGGTCTGATGAAACTGTTTGTTTACATGTGAAAGCCACACTCACTGATAGGCCAATGAGGAGCAGGTAAGGACCACACTAACACAGCCTGATACCAACACAGCGCTGCAAATGACCTCTATGCCAAGTATGAGCATGTCAAAAGTTTATCACCATTAAGCAAAATGATTAATGGTGATAAACTCAGTAAGCTCAGATTACTGACAGGAAGAGCCATTTGGAAAGAAATGACAGCTTAGTGGCAACAACTAAAGACAGAGTTGCCTACAAGCCTGAGGCTGATCAATGAGAGTGACAGGAGGATATTGATCACACCCCCATCATGGCAGATGGATGATCATTATCCTAGAACAGCTCTCAGGGCCTGTGCAAAGGGAGGCACCCCAGGAAATGCAACCGCTTCTGCCTAATGATGACATACTAACCACCAGCGTGTCACCTGAGCATGCACTCAGGCTGCAAGTAAATTAAACAAGAAACAAAGACCAAAGACACCTGGGTCATTAATCTAATTGAATTCACACGCCCTTTATCAATTGAGAGAGAGCTAATCCATGTTATCCCTTACTTAATCAACTGTATGTGGCATCAGTAACCCACAATGGTGTATCCAAGAAATTGAGACAATAAAATGTTACCCCGGAGTTGATTTGTAACAAGAAGAGGAATTGGCTGTAATTCTAAGTTTAGAATTTTCAGTTTACTAGTGTAGGGAGACTAGGGGGAACATTCCTGCCTTTGCAATAAAATAGAGAGAAGAGAATGTGACCAATTAACGAAGCTGTTAGGGAAACAATACTCCAAGCAACCCAATATTCTTGTTAGACCCCCCCGAATCTCCTTTTACTCTCACAAGTAGTTAGAAATGGCCGGGGAAGGTCCGGCTTCCATTTCTGTGGTGCAACAAACCATTCCAGCCTGCCAGAAAGCCCTCTTCACAGGGGAACCTGGTGCCTCCTCCAGGACCGGTTCCCCATCGAGGCGTCTCTAGGGAGAGGGAGCCTGTTTAAATGGCACTTGGGTCTCAGAAGAGCAATCTGCCTCTTTGATATTAAAGATGACTGCTTGTTTAGTTTTCTGATACAAAGGGAATGATGAAATACGTATGCTGTACACAAACACCCTCTCTCTTCCACTCCTCTCATAAGGGATGTAATGACCTTGTGGAACACTCCGTCAACGAGTCTCCATTAAAAAAAAAGAAAAAGAAATGGCACGTGGGATTTATATTGTTTATTAAAGAAAAATAAAAAAAAAAACCATGTCTCACCATTATGAAAAAAACAGAGCCACCCAACAATCTCATGTTTTCAATGTTCTACAGGAGTTTTGCGGCCATATAATTACTTCACTAAGGCTGGATAGCAAAAAAAATACGGCCAGCTGTCCACATATGAAGAGGGATATTTTACCCTTCAGACACCACTGATTTAATTGTCAAAGGCTGTGAATAACATGGCCTGGGGAGGCCTGAGCCTAGAAGCAGAAGTTCCCGCCGTGGCTGAGTCAATCGCTCGCCCGCCTCCATCCCACTCATGCTGCCCTCCACACATGCCTGGGCCCGACATGAGGATGGGGCTGGGACCCGCAGGGATGAGTGACGCCTGACAGCATCCTTGAGAACCAGGAGAGGAACGGGGTGGATCTCAAAAGAATGTTTCTAGAACTGTCAACTGGTAACTGAGGTGCTTGTTTAAATGGCTTTTCATGACTTTGACTAATATTTGTACGGGCAGGCAGGCCCAGGGGCTGTTTGGCACAAGGCACTTTGGGTGGCATGAATGACTAAAACAGCTGCTGGGGGGTACCAGCTTCAGGGACTCACGCTGAAGAGGGGTTCCAGCAGGTTGCTTAGGCTTACAAAGGCCAGTGCTGCTGGAGGAAGCCAGGTCAGCACCCCCGAACTAGCACTGGGGAGGGTGCCCAGGGGTGGGGGCACAGTGAGGATGACTGTGCCCAGGAGCCAAACCTGGCTGTCCTCTGCAGTCTCCGTAAGGTGAGTGCCTGTCACCACCCAGGAGCTCCCAGCACCAGGTGAGGCTGCCTGGAGGGATGTTTGGAGACAAGCTTCTCCAGGGCCAAGCAGGTGTACAACAGGTGCCTGCCATACAGGGCGATATTGGCCAACCTCTTTAAAAAGTCAGACCTCTTGATAGAAAAGCTACTTCTCAAAAATCAAAATGTCATTAGAATTGCATCTCCAGTGGAATGATCTCCATGGTGATGATAACCGATGACAACCTTGGAATGTCTATCCTCTTCCTCGTTCTGAGGCATGATATCAAAATGTGCTTTTTGATGCAGTTATTGATAATGACGCAGAGCCACAGATCTTACCCACTGGAGTCCTTACTGCTTCGATATCTTTTTGCAAAATCAAACCCGGGCCCATCATACATGGTTTTCCTCATGTGCTCACTAGCCCGAAGTAAACCTGCTAGTATCTGGAATGAGGGACTCGTCCTACTTTGTGGAGGCGAAGCAATGAAAGCCTGTGTTTCAGATTGCCGACTTACCCTCTGGTGTGGAGGGGGAGGTGGAGGTGTTGGCGAGCCCAGCAAGTCCTGGTTTTCCATCAAATTCCCGTAATCTGCCACGCTGCCTTTGAGAGGCAGAGGGGGTGGGACATCGGCCACGTCCGCCCCCGTCATGCCGTTCAGCTCCAAGCCTGGAAAACCGGGATCTATTTAAAATCAGCCCGACTTCCCCACGGAGCCTGAATGCTCAGGGAGCTGCTCCACGTTCCCTCCCAGAGAGGCAGGCACAGCAGAAACACTTCATCTGGCAGAAAACGTTTGTCAACAGAGCAGATGAGGGCAGGGAGGGAGCGAACACAAAGGGTGGGACCCTCTCCTAACGGCAATGTTCTAGAAAGAGAATAGCAAGTATCACACGAACACTAAAACTGGAGTGTGAAGCAAGGCATCGAGCCACTGTAGAAAGGGTGATGTTCACCCCGGCCTCTTCTGTCCCTGCTCGGGCCCCCTGCCTCGGTGGAAGTTAAACAGCTGGGTGCCACAGGACCGTCTCCGCTGCTGCTGCTACTGCTTTCGAAGCCAAGCCAGGCCCCTGCAGTCACCCCTGCAGTTATCACCTGGAGAGATTCACTAAGCAAAGTCTAACACGCCGACCAGCCACCCAGCTTCCCATCTCTTTCCACAGGAAAATCCACAGTCGTATGACATGAAGTCATTAGCCATAGCAGTCACTGTGGCTGTTGCTTTAAATAAGCCAAGGGGAAGTACAATTGATTTTTAAAGTAAACTGGAAAAAATAGCCGTTTTCAAACGGAGGAATAATCATTAAGGCAGGATATTTTCTCAAACCTTGTTGAGACTCTTAAAGATAATTTGTTTTCTTTTATATTAAAGAGAGAAAAATGGACATTTTTACTGATGAGTCTCTTTTGGAGTTTTCCCCTAGGATTCATCTGATGAAAAATCCTTTATTAGGAAAATGCATGCTAGGAAGGCCACACTGTAAGCTTATAAGGAAGCTCTGCCATGGGGCTGAGGGAAATACGAAGGCTTCGGTGAGTGACTGTCCTCATGATTGCTGCCTACTTCTTTGCTATTATTGTGGTAAGATATACACGACATAAAATTTGCCATTTTAGCCATCCTTTAGGGGACAATTTGGTGGCATTAATCACATCGACCGTGGGGGATAACCATCACCATGATGTATTTCTGAAACATTTCCATCACCCCAAACGGAATTCTGTACCCATTAAACAGTAACTCTCCACTCCTCTCTCCCGCCCCTAGTATCCTCTATTCTACTTTCTTTTTTTTTTTCTTTTCTTTTTGTTTGGGATGGAGTCTCGCTGTGTCGCCCAGGCTGGAGTGCAGTGGTGCGATCTCAGCTCACTGCAACCTCCGCCTCCCAGGTTCAAGTGATTCTCCTGCCTCAGCCTTCTGAGTAGCTGAGATTATAGGCACGCACCACCACACCCAGCTAATTATTGTATTTTTAGTAGAGACGGGGTTTTACCATGTTGACTGGCTGGTCTCGAACTCCTGACCTCAGCTGATCCACCCACCTCGAACTCCCAAAGTGCTGGGATGACAGGCGTGAGCCATGCCTTTCTGTCTCTATGAACTTGCCTTAGATATTTGATTTAGGTGGAGTCATATAATATTTGTCCCTTTGTGACTGATCTATTTCACTCAGCATCATGGTTCTGAGGTTCGTCCGTGCTGTAGCACGTGTCAGAACTTCACTCCTTTCTACGGCTGGGTAATATTCCATTGCACGGACATTTCTTTGGACGTACATTTTGTTAATCTGGCCATCAGTTGATGGACATTTGGCCTGTGTTTGCTTACTGGCTCTTGAAAAATACTGCTATGAATATTAAGTATCTGTTTGAGTCCCTGTCTTCAATTCTTTGGAGTACAGGCCTAGAAGCAGGACTGCCAGTTGATATTATAGGTTTATTCTACATTGAACTTTGGAGGAACCACTAAATTGTTTTCCGCAGCAGCAGTGATGGTGTCTGTTTTCAATATTAAAATAGATTTTAAACACATTTTTAGAAAGATCATGTAGTAATAGTGCAAGGATGTGAAGATGCACCCTCCAAAGACATATCCAGTGCCCAGAAAGCTCTTTGCCTACTCAATTAGACTCACGCATCCACTCCTGCAGCCAGCCTCCCCACCCACTGACAGTCTCCAGAATCATGACTGCTCCCCTTTCAGCAAGAGGAAAATCAGGAGCAGAGGACAATCACTCACTGCCTTGCACAGCCCTCGCCACAGGGCACAGAGCTCTCCTGCCTGGGACCCCTCTCTGTGCCACAGGAAGGAGAGTGGGCTCCCCGGTTCTGCTGCCGTCCCCATCCTCAGCACCTTCTCCCTGCCAAGATTTCTCCTCTCTGCTGGCTCTGAATCTAGTGGTGAAAAGCTGTCTGCCACTTAGAGTAAGTTGAGTAGAGTCTCTCCAAAATGTAGACCTCTTAGGGCCACCCAGAACCTCAGAATGTACCTTATTTGGATGTAGGGTCTTTGCAGATGTAATTAGTGAAGGATCTCAAGGTGAGATCATCCTGGATTTGCAGTGGACCCTATATCCAATGACTGATGTCCTTGTAAGAAGAGAGGACACCGAGAAGGAGGCCACGTGGAGACAGGGGCAGAGAGGGGAGTGATGTGGCCACAAGCCAAGGAGGGCTAGGGACTGCTGGGAGCCACCAGAAGCTGGAGGGAGGCCCGGGACAGGCTCTCCCTTGGAGCCACCAGAGGGAACCAACTTGCTACCTCCTTGATTTCAGAGTTTTGGCCTCCAAAACCTTCAGAGAACAAATTTCTGCTGTTTGGAGCCACCAGTTTTGTGGGAACTTCTAGGGTAATTTAAACATTGGTCAAAACTAGAAAAATAAGCTGTGCCCCTTAGCTGTTGCCAACTGCCTGAAGGTGCTTCTCCAGTGCACAGTCCTAGACACAAGCAGGCCCACGGCCTCCTGCAGCTCTGCGTCCTGGGATAGAAAGTGTGGTGGTTCCACGTGCTTCACAGGTCCCCTCCACATGGACCCTGGGACAGACCCTGCACTTTCTGCCCCTCCAGTGCTGGAGACCTGGGCTCTGGATTTTGGCCTGATTTGCGGAAGTCCAGACTCTACAGCCTGTCCCAGGGGACACTCCCAGGGAGCCAGGTGTTTATCTAAACTCCCACCCTCTGCTGCAAGGGGAGGGAGGAAGCGCTTCTAACCTCAGAGCCTTCAGTGAGGGGAAGTCACGGAGCTATAGCACGATTCGTATGTGGGGAGCGTTCCACTTACTCGACTGCATGCTGAAGCTGAGCTTGGCCCTTGGTGTAACTGGAGGGGGTGTTTGCTGGGAGGACGGTGACGAGGGGGACACCGAGAAGCGCCTTTCGCTTCCAATGACGTTCATCACCTGGCTCTTCGGTCTCTGGGGCCGCAGGGGACTTATCTACATCAAAAGGACAGAAAGAGCACAGTTACGGTCTGTTATGGGCTGAGTTGCGTTTCCACCTAAATTCCTATGTTGAAGTCCTGACCCCCATTACCTTAGAATATGACCTTAACTGGAAATAGGGTCTTTGCAAATGATCAAGCTAAGGTGTGGCTCTTAGGGTGGGCCTGTTAGAGTGGGCAGATAGTAAGACATGAAAAGGAATGGGGGACCGGGGGAGGAAACTCTGGAAAACCTTATGCCCCAGAGACCCCCCAAAACACACATGCTAGGTGTGAGCAGAGGGGAGGAGAATACCTAGGCAGGAGGCAGCATCCTGAAACACCCCATAAGACACCCAGTAATTGCTCCCTCTGTAGCTAACGTGTGACAATGTAACTAGCTACATGCTGATCAGGAGGGAAACAGGGCAAGGGATGAATGCCTAAGAGATACACACACACAGTATGTACAGATTTGACCACTGTATGACCTTCTTGGGGTGGCGGTAATGAGCAATGCCGCCATTAGGTAGGTTCCTACTGATCACTGAGCCCCACGTGTGCACATCAACTAGCAGCAAGGGAGAGCCCCACAAACCTGGGCAGGAACTAGGCAGGGAAAAGGTGGAGACTTAAGACAGAGCAGGGAAAACAGACAAAGACAAAGGGAGAGGCTTAAGACAGAGGTGGGAGCTTAAAACAGTCCAATATAAAAACCACAACACAGAACTCCTGGGGGCTGCTCTCCACAGGGTCAGCCTGCTCCTCTCCCAGAGTCCATGCTACTTTTATTTCCTTAATAAGCCTACTTTACCTACTTTACTAATTGGTCTCTTGGCTGAATTCTTTCCTCTAAGAAGACTAAGAACCAAGGACCTGCACACTTCCCAGTAACAGGTCCAATTCCAACAGGACAGGTGACCTTATGAAAAAGGGAAATCTGGACATGGACGTGTCCAAATTTGGGAGGGCACAACGTGAAGATGAAAGCAGAGGTCAGGGTGATGCTTCTATCAGCCAAGAAACACCAGAGATGGCAGCAAACCCCCAGACAGGAGGAGAGAGGCATGTGTAGACTCTCCCTCACAGCCTCTGAAGGAATCAGCCCTGCCGACGCCTCTAGAACTGGGAGACAATGAGTTTCTGGGGTTGGAGCCGCCCAGCATGTGGTTACAGCAGACCTCCCCCACACGAGGGGCTGGCACTGCTGTCCTCACACAGCCTGGGCTGGACAGCACATCGCAGGTGACCTGAATATAGATGCAAAAGTGGCTGAGTATTATTGCAAGACATGCAGATAGCCAGCAAGGACACACGGGGCAACATCCGTGCGGTCAAGAACAAAATCAATGGCCTGTTCCATGGCAGAATTATTCCCAGCTGTGCTCAGCATGCTTTGGTCTCCTTGGCGTGTACCTGAAAGTCTAGGAATTGGCTGAAGGATTTTTGCTATTCCTTTCCTTTGCTTCTTCTCTCATCCTAGGTCATTACTGGGCAGGGATTCTTTTTCTCTCCTTTTCAATGCATTTTTTCCTGCTCATCTCTGGCTTTTGGAGGCACTTGACTTTCCCCCACCTAAGCCCTTTCCCTGTTTGTTCCATCAGTAAGTTGTATTTACATATTTCTTACAGGTTGGTCTCAGATCATCAGGCTTTGGGGAACAGGAGCAGTTACAAAATACTCTGACGCAGGAGTAATTAGAAAACGTATTAACCCAGCCAAAAAGGAGGGGTCAACGTTCTCCCCCAAGGAAGGGCAGGCAGGTGAGTGGGCAGCTCTGGGCTTGGGGCTGCGGCTGGGTCTGGGGGCCTGGTGGATGCGCTGTGCTGGTTTGGGTGAGCAACAGAGCACATAGGCTTCAATGTCTGCCCCAGGAGGAGTCAGCTGTGCCAGGGCCAGTCTGGAGGTTACTGAGGCTGGAAGGAGGAAATGGGAACTAGGCTTGGGAGGAAGATTCAGGCCCTCTGGTAAATGAGTGACAGAGCCAGGCCAACAGGTCTATTTCCAGAACTGTCCTGTGCTGTCGGGGGAGCCAAGCGCCCAGGAGCTGCACCTCCTCTGAAGAAATGGCCTTGTTCCAGGCAGCAAAACTGCTGTGGGAAGTCAGGAAAGGCCGGGTGAAGCGCTGGGCTCTCTGAAGGTGAATGTGCTGGCAAGAGAGATTTGGGGTCTCCTAAGGTGCTTCTCCTGGCCTCCCTGCATCCCAGGGAGGGCACATTCTGACTCAGAGAGCTGAGGAGGCTGGACTGCTGAGATGCAAATCACAGCCTGGAGGCTCTGGCTGGAGAGGCTCAGCTAAAGGTCAGGAAATTGTTGATGATGCAAATCAAGTAGGAAACCGAACCCAGCCACAGGGGTGAGGAGGGAAAACCTTTGCAGAAGCTGGGGTGCAGGGGAGGCCCGCAGGGGGGAAGGGCAAGGAGGACACTACAGTGGGGGTGGTGGGGGGGTGGCTGGTGTTGTCCCCAGGGAATGGGTTGCTGCTTCTGTTCCTGTGAACCTCCTCCCCCGCACCTCCCCTCCTGCGCATGGCTGGTCACTGGCACGCAGCCGCCTGCTAGGAAACTTCAGGTGTCTGACTGTCCTCACAGACCTTGCCGGCACCCGTCCCCTGGAGGAGGTGCCCTCTGCGTAGACAGACAGGTTGCTGGGCTGGACCAAGAATAGTAAGCCTGTCCCCCAGTGGGAGGTTCGGATTCTCCGCCTCCTGGTGCTGGAAGGTTCAAGCTGACACTGGGCCAGATGCTGAGAAGCACCGCCAAGGTTCTGTGCTCTGACCTTGGTGAGTTCCTGTGGATTTGCTGAGGGTGCTAGGGCCAGCCGTGGGGAGGCAGCCCTCGTGGGGCTGCCCCTAGCCCTGCTGCTTGCAAGGACCCTAGAAGGATGCTTGGGCCACCAAGGGCAGGGACAGAAGATGCACTGTGCTGGCTCTGTGCCTGTCACGTGTGTGCTTGTGTCCTTGGACTTCTTTTCACACAAGTCAGCTGTGATCAATTCTGCCACTTGGCACAACTGCTCCGAGGCCCTCCAATTTAGCATCTTAAAACGGAGCTTAAATTAAAATGTATGAAAGACTTGCACAGTGTCTGGCACTAAGTAATATTCAAAAATGCTTCTGTTCATTCCCCTACCCAGCTATAATGTTTTGAGACTTGAGAAATCTACCTGGGGCTTAAGAGATGGAGACTTCAGCCAGCCTCTGGGGTGGTGGGCATCTCAACTTTCCAGAATAGCAGACAGAGCATGCTGTGTGGTCAGGAACCCCTCAATCTGCTGGACGCTGAGCGTCTGGGTACTTCAGGCCAGCCTCCAGCCAGTGCCCCCCTGGTCTGACATCCTCGGCCACCCTCATGGGAATTCTCCAGCCCAGCTGCAGCCACAGCACCTACCCACAGGCCGCAGAGCAGCGCTGGCCTGTTGGACGTCAAGTCATGGCTGGGGCGTTTGCCTTCCACCTCTAGATAGCCAGGTAGCATGTGACTGCTTTCTGAGTGGCATGAAGTATAGATAAAACGTACCTTCTGGGTTTTAAGTTATAAACAAGCAGTGCAGTATGTCTAACCCTCTAATCACAGCCCGCCGACGCCCAGGGCTGAGACAAGCAGACACCCACCCATTTCCAGGGAGGGCGGCTCCAATCCTGACTTCACCTTTGATGCTGACAGCCCATGAGAACTCCTTCTTTATTTTTGTTTCCCACTACAGCTAGCACTTTTGGAATCAAGTTCGCCCTGGAAGTGGGCTGTGCCTCATCTTCGCACTCAGACTCTGATACAGCTCGGATATCTGTCCTCTCCAACTCTCATGTTGAAATGTTGGGGGTGCGGCCAGTGGGAGGCATCTGGGTCCTGGGAGCAGATCTCTCGTGAAGGGCTTGGTGCTGTCCTTGCAGTAATGGGGGTAATGAGTGGGTCCTCATTCTATCAGTTCATGTGAGACCTAGTTATTTAAAAGAGCCTGGAACACACCCCCCACCCCCCACCCATACTCTCTTTCTCACCATGTGACACGCCTGCTCCCCTCCCCTGCCTTCAGCCAAGAATAAAAGCCTCCTGAGGCCTCACCAGAAGCCAAGCAGATGCTAGTGCTGTGCTCGTACAGCCTGCAGAACCATGAGCCAAATCAACCTCTTCATAAATGACGCAGGCTCAGTTATTCCTTTGCAGTAACACAAAACAGACGAACACAGATTCCCAATGTGGTGCACTTCTGGGAGGATCAGCCCTCAGGCCCAGCCCCAGGATGAGAGCCGGCTCCTGGGTTTCACCGCCCTCACACGCCCACGACTGTGGAATGAACGAGACTCACTGGGACCCGTCTTCAAGGTCAGCTCAGCAGTACGGGTCATGTGAAGTCCCTGTTAAGTCCTTGTGAAAGACGGCCAGGAGATTTAAAGGTGGAGCAGATGAGACAGAGCAGGATACCCCAGGACTGGGTCCAGCTTCTGGGGCCCGGTGGGAAGAGGTCTTTGGATTCTAGTTCCGCTGATTTTAACACTTGGGCCGTAACTAGCTTAGAAGAGTTCCAGTCAGCAAGGGGCAAGGGGAAGGCATTAGCGGACACCAAGGACTGTTTCCTGACAACAAAAGGACTCCTGCTCATCTTCTGGGATATTAGGACATGTGTAGGAAACAAGTCCAACAGAGCGGCAGAGCCTAGCAGCAGAGCGGCCTCGCCCCAGGCCCTGCGGAAGGGGGACAAATGCTAAGCCCACCTTCCTCCAGGTCTCTCTGTGGCTCTGGCTGTCCTACTGCCTTGGGACATTTGAGGTTAGGGGAGGAGGACCCCAGGTTTCTGAGTTGCTAATTTATAACAAGTTCAATAAGAGCCCAC
This sequence comes from Homo sapiens, assembly GCF_000001405.40. Classification (NCBI taxonomy): domain Eukaryota; kingdom Metazoa; phylum Chordata; class Mammalia; order Primates; family Hominidae; genus Homo; species Homo sapiens. The sequence goes on along the minus strand of NC_000010.11, from coordinate 127,439,308 downwards.
CGTCAGCCCTGTTGGCTACAGGTGGGGCAAAGGTAGGTCCCTGAAGCTACCGCAGAGCGAGGAAAGATACCCTGTCGGGTTACCGTTTCCGAAAGGATCACAGCCTCAGACTGCTGCAGGGAAATGTCGGTGGGTTTAAATTCTTTCTCAAATATCTCTTGATGTTTGCTGTTCCTTTTTTCCTTCTTCTTGTCCTTCTTCTCCTTCTCCAGGTCATCCTTGTCCAGCTTGTCCTGGGACCTGGAGTGCATTTTCTTTGGCAGGAGAGGCTCCAGGGCAAACCTAAAGGAAAGGTCAATGACGTCTTAATAGGAGAGCAATTGCTTTCCAGCCCACAGACACGTGTAAAGTCACTCACAATCCATCGAAGACATTTACAATGAAAGCAGTGATTTAAAAGGGAGGCCAAGGGTGACTTCAGATACACAGTCACCAGATGCAAGGACTGTGTTTCAATCCCAACACAGATAAACTGGAAAAAGATAGAACACTTAGCACGATAGGGCAAATGTGAAGTCTGACCGGATATTTGATGATGATATTAAGGAATTGTTCATTTACGATGGGAGGATGGTATTTAGGGCATATTTCAAAAGGGGAACCCTCGTCTTTTAGAGATTTATATAGAAATATTTTGTCTATTTTTTAATGGGGAAAAATAGACGTCAATGCAAAGAAATGTCTGCTACCTTGATCCTGACCAAGGCTCTATGATTACAGATAGACGGTTGTTTTCAGGTGAAAGCACTTTGCATGGCTCAGTCAGAAGCAAGCCAGGGCCAGCTCACAGGTGCTTGGAGATGCCCTGAGGTTTCCAGCCAGCAACTAAGCTGGAGACAGAAGACCTGCATTCTAGGTCTGCCACTGTGGGTGACTCTTGATGTCCTCGTAACCTCTGGCAGCTGTCTCACTTATAAAAGGGTATAAAGACACCACCACCCTTCTGCCTACCCCACAGTTGCTGTAAAGACACATTCGTGGTTATACCATGGAGTAAATGAATCTTAGGCTAGTGTCTAAGGCATGTACCAAAAGGTTAGTGTGCAAGCATATCCACACATGATTGTGATTTGTCACTCCAACACAAGATTGGCATGTCCATCCTGTTTCTGGTCCTAGAAGTCCTATCAGGAGGTGGAAGAAATGGATCCAACTCTAAGACTGGAGTCTCATCCCTAGCAGCTCCTGCTGTGAGGAGGAGTCAGGAGAGATGGTTGAATGGATGAAGGCATGGGCCCGCCTGAAAAACCATATAGCATAACTCACGTGGAAGGCAGTGCTGTTACTAGGATCTTACATTTTCAAAATACAGCCTGCTCTTTGGAGCTCTGAGCCTCACAGCAACTTCCAAACCTGACTTCCTTGACCGCCTGGAGAAGCAATTGGCTTCTTCAAGGGGAGCATGATTTCAAGAGAAGATAATTTAGCCAGCCAGTCATATTTTCATCCTAGCTCTAGTTTCTTTTACATGTATTTCTGAATGGGACACTTGGAAGAAAGCCACTGTTCTCATTAAGAAGGCCATTGCAGGGCCGGGCATGGTGGCTCATGCCTATAATCCTAGCACTTGGGGAGGCTAAGGCAGGTGGATCATTTGAGCTCAGGAGTTCGAGACCAGCCTGGCCAACATGGCAAGATCCAGTCTCGATAAAACGTACAAAAATTAGCTGGGCATGGTGGTGTGCACCTATAGTCCCAGCTACTCAGGAGGCTGAGGTGGCAGGATGGCTTGAGCCTGGGAGGTAGAAATTGCAGTGAGCCAAGACTGTGCCATTGCACAGCCTGGGTGACAGAGCCAGATCCTGTCTCAAAAAAAAAAAAAAAAAAAAAGATGGTCATTGCAGCAATCTTGCTCCCCATTGATTTGCTCACTGTTGATTATTTCCATGTTGTGTGTCCCATAATGGGGAGTAAGATGAACCAGGAAGGGAAGGATCATTTGCAAAACTGCGCTTAAATCTGCTGAAGATGCAGACTACCCAGAGCAAGGACCACCACCTATTCTTTGCTTCTCTCATCTAATATGGCTGTGCAGTAGGATCTGCTGCAGGTCACTATGTAAACAATAATGGTATTGAATCTAAGCACTGATTATCAATAGCTGTTAACATCTCCATAAGAGAGAGAACAGGTTATGATGTGCCTCTGAATGGAAGAACACACAAGTACCTATGAAGTCATCTTGTCCCTAAATCAAATCTGAATCTGATCAAATCGCTAGATTCAACCACCAATATGCAGGGAATATGGAGAATCGAGACGCGAATTAAACAATGCGATAGGGCACGCTATCAGCAGAGTCCTGATGGTGGGGACCATGACAGGATACACAACCTAGGATTTCCCACAAATAAATTACAAGGGAGAAAAGGGGACTAAAAGAGACTTAAAGAGATAATATCAACCAAGTGCAAGGTACAAGGTGGGAACCTTATTTGGATTTTGCCTCAAACTAAAAAAAAAGACATGACAATGGGAAATTAACACTCATGTATTATTATAATATGGAATTCCTGTCAATATTTTTGGTGTGAAATAAACTATATTACTATAGTTTATATAATATAACCGAGTTATGGTTTTAAAAAAGAGTTTAAATTAGAAATTCATAGTGAAATAGCTATAGATAAAATATGATATTTGAGATTTGCTGGAAAATATGATTGATACAGATTGAAAAAAAAAGATTAGTTAAAAGCTGATAATTGTCAAGACTGCATGATGGGGCATGGGGGCCTCATTACACTGTTTGGCCCACTTTGTACATATCTGAAATGTTTCTTTTTTTCTGAAACAGAGTCTCACTCTGTTGCCCAGGCTGGAGTGCAGTGGTTCAATCATGGCTCACTACAGCCACAACCTCTCCAGGTTCAGGTGATCCTCCCACCTCAGCCTCCCAGGTAGCTGAGACTACAGGCATGCACCACCACACCCAGCTAATTTTTATATTTTTTTGTAGAGATGGGGTTTTGTTATGTTGCCTAGGCTGGTCTTGAACTCCAGAGCTCAAGCAATCCACCTGCCTCAGCCTCCCAAAGTGCTGGGATTTTAGGCATGAGCCACTGTACTCAGCTTTGACATTTTTCTATACTAAAATGCTTAAAAAATTTAAACTGATTGATAAAATATACCAATATTGACTTAGATCATTAAGGCATTTTGGGACATCTGGACTTTTCACACTGGATATACAATACATCCATATCCATTAGGTGAGAAATATTTTATCTATTATAAGCAACAACCAAACATTTCATGATTTTATTCTAGGTTTAGCAGAACTTGAGATAATGTAGGTAAGAAAAGGATTAGTAGATGCTGTTTAGCTCAGGGAGAAGACCCGGGTTGTGAAATCCTGATGCGTATACAAAGAACCCAGAGAAAGGCAGGTGGAGTTTTAAATTTTCATATTACGAGAAGCAACTGCCTACAGGATGAACTTTATTCTGCATGTAACCTGTGCCATTTGAGACCAAAGCCTCATTTTCTCCACATTAGTTAGCTAGCAAAGGGTGGTAACCCCAAGAATGAACACAAATCTGGACTGTAATAAAGACGCCTTCCAGTTAAAGGTTAAACAAATGCCTTCTGGGGAAGAGCCAGCAGCCTGAGCTCACATGTGCAATTCACCACTCTTCTGTCTAAAACCTCTCCATTAATTTCCACCCTAACCCCTATGTTCCTAGAAATATAAAAACCTTTCCATAACCAGTCCGGGGATTTTCTCGGGGAGAAGTTGAATTAAATTTCTTTAGCAATCTTGCTGTAAGTGACAAGCACACATGATTTAAATACCTCTAAATTGAGAATTTCCATATGGACTTGGCCTTATAAATATCAGACGCTGATAAAAATTACTGTTAAGAAAAAATATGGGGATAGTTTGCAATTCTCCATCGGGCACATCAGTCGTTGGCAACAAAGGGCAATCCGAGTTGAGCCGTCCCTTGGGGCTCTCTGGAAGTTTGTTTCTGTGTGTTGAGGGGGCCAGATGCCTGTGGGTTTGATAGGGTGATGGATTGTAAACAAAATGGGATTGGACACACAAACAACTGTACAAATCAGCAGTAAAACAATTAGAGGTTCTTCTGTGTTGTTTAAATTGCATGCAACATTTTTTTCTTTTTGTAGAAGAACAAACTTTACATGCTTGCCGCTCAAAAATACAAAAAAATACCAATGTTGCAGTTCTCTTTGCAATAACCTGAGCTAATGCCAGAGCCACAGTGTGTGCTCAATAAATGTTAACTATTGGGTACTCAAGAGCAAAAATGCATCTCCAAAGTGGCCTTGTACAAAGAAGGTGGCCCATGAGTATTTAGAATAGTCAAAATCATAGTGATAGAAAGTGGACGTTGGCCAGGCGCGGTGGCTCACACCTGTAATCCCAGCATTTTGGGAGGCCGAGGCGGGCGGATCATGAGGTCAGGAGATCGAGACCATCCTGGCTAATATGGTGAAACCCCGTCTCTACTAAATATACAAAGAATTGGCCAGGCATGGTGGCATGTGCCTGTAGGCCCAGCTACTTGGGAGGCTGAGGCAAAAGAATTGTTTGAACCTGGGAGGCGGAGGTTGCAGTGAGCCGAGATCGTGCCACTGCACTCAGCCTGGGCGACAGAGGGAGACTCCGTCTCAAAAAAAAAAAAAAAGAAAGTAGACATTGTCAGGGTGTCAGGGGTGGGGGGAAAGAATGCAAAGTTAGTGTTTAATCAATATGGGAGGTAAAGAGTGGGGAATTGTTGTTAAATGGGTACAGAGTTTCAGTTTGGCAATATTAAAGAGTTCTGGAGGTGGATGGTGGTCATGGCTGCACAGCGATGTGAACGTACGCAATGCCACCGAACTGTTCACTTACAAATGGTTATGATCGCTTGAGCTTGGGAAGTGGAGGCTGCAGTGAGCTGTGATCACACCACTGCATTCCAGCCTGGGTGGCAGAGTGAGAGTCTGCCTCAAAAACAAAATTTTTTAAAAAGGATAATATGCCTTTTATTTTCCAGAGTTGTCCTAAAAAGTAGGGACAGATGGTCATTCTCAGAAGCATTCACTTAAACACCATTTCCCTTTAAAAGGCAATAAACCTCAGCAGAAACAAAAATAAACAAAACATTTGCTCTCCAAAAAAATGAGGAAGGGAGGAAAAGAAAAAAAAAAAAGAAGGCCCGGCCATCCATCATGAAAGCCTGACTCTGTGACAGTTGGCTTGGCAGAATGGTGTCACAGGGGGACAGTGGAGGTTGTGTCATGGTCAGACCACACCAGCTCCTGTCCGGGCACAACACCCTGGAGGTGAACAGGAGATGAAAAGTACAAAGTGCTTGGCCAGCCCGGACTGCACCTTGCTTTTTCCCAGGGGTGCCCAATCTTTTGGCTTCCCTGAGCCACATTAGAAGAAGAAGAATTGTCTTGGGCCACACATGAAATACACTAACACTAACAATAGCTGATGAGCTATTAAAAAAAAAAAAAGAAGAAATCACAAAAACAATCTCATACTGTTTTAAGGAGTTTATGGATTGGTGTTGGGCCACATTCAAAGCCATCCTGGGCTGCATGTGGCCCGTGGGCCGCGGGTGGACAAGCTTGTTCTAAGCCATGCTGAAGAGGACTGAACACTCACTGGAGGTTCTAAATTGGATGAAAACCTCACCCAAAGTGGTACCCAAAGAGAGGATGTTTTTCTCAACAACTCACACGACCTCAAAGTAATATTGGGCACTACGGTCAGAAAGTCTCGGAGGGTCTCAGTTTCAAAGATAATTTTGATGAACACAAAATCCTCAGTTGTAAGAAAATAAACCCAGAGCCCTGGGTGGCTCCTTCCAGATCCCCCAAGCCCTCACTGCTCAGCTCAGCCCTGCTGTGAGCTTGACTCACCCGTCGGAGCCTGGTCTGGAAGGGGTGCTGTCCGATGAGAGGGAAGAGACAGAGGCCACAGACAGAGGGCGGGATGAGGAAGGCATCGTGAAGGACCGCACCATGGACCGGGGGCGGCTGCCTCTTCTATCATCCAGACTTGAGGGCTGAGAGCGAGAAAGAGAGAGAAGGAGACTTGTTTGATGCCTGTGCCTGCCATGGTCAGACTCCTGAGATAAAGTGGCCTTAGCTGTGTGGAATCGAGACCATCATCGTTCAGACTTCTGTAAACAGTACATGTTCTTGTTCTGAGTGGAAGACAAAAACAATGATTATTTTTGAGTCTTTTAAAACCTAACCCAATACTGTGAAAGTATCAGAAGGAACCTTCTTAGCCTTTTAATACACAGTGCAAGTTTTCTTCAAAGACCGCGATGCGTCAACACATTCCAAAGCCACAGGAGAATGTGCCGACCAGAAAGTTTAATGTAGAGTAACACCTAGAGAGTGATTAAAGAGTCTTTCGATCTTTAGATGCATTTTGTGTATCTCTGCAGGTTGACAGACTACACGGGCCATCAAAATGCATGAATCCATAATGACTGACCTCCTCTAGACAAAAATAACATGCTCCTGCTGCTTAATGAAGAGTACGTTTCCTTTCTGCAAGTGACTGAAGCCACTGAGTAGGTGAAACCGCTGCTGAAGTTGCTAAAGCTTCTCCCACTTGCTAGGTAGTGAACTAGTGATGCATTGTGCCAAAAACAAACAAAAAAAAGATCTCTAGATGGACTTTTCCATCTTCTTCTTGACATATTACAGAAGCAAGTGTCCTTGAAATACAGCATGTGTCCACATCTCATTAGCTAGAAAATTCCAGGGTACCTGCACCCCGAGCCAGATGTTGGCACATCTGGGACTGCAGCTGCTGCACAAGGACCTTCCTTTAACCTGAGGATGTGGAAACTAAGTTCCTGTAGGGCACCTCCTCTCTGTGTGGCGTTGACTTCCCCACCCTGCAACCCCACCCCGCCCATCTCATTCAGCCAATCAACTACAGAAGACCTGCTGTGGACCATGGTTCCAGCCCTCCAAGGCCAGAAGCGGTAGATTACAGGTAAGATTAATATAACGCCACTTCCCCTTCTGAAAAGTGGGCCTTTTTCTTAAATATGTGATCCCAAATAAAACAGCATTTGATGTGTAAACTATCTCTTTCATAATAAGAAGCTCAAAATTGTAAAAGGGCAGGAATTGGCCCACATTTTCTGTAAAGCAGTTGTCCCCAACCTTTTTGGCACCAGGAACCGGTATCGTGGAATACAATTTTTCCACAGACCAGCAGGAGATGGTTTCAGGATGAAACTGTTGCACCTCAGATCATCAGGCATTAGATTCTCATAAGGAGTGCACAACCCAGATCCCTCACATGCACAGTTTACAATCGAGTTCATGCTCCCATGAGAATCTAATGCTGCCACTGATCTGATAGGAGGCAGAGCTCAGACAGTAATGCTCCCTCACCCGCCGCTCACCTCCAGCTGTGGGCCCAGTTCCTAACGGGCCACAGACTGATACCAGTCCACTGCCTGAGGGCTGGGACCTCTGCTGCAAAGGACCAGGTAAGTATTTTAGGCTTGCAGGACATATGGTCTCTGTGGAAACTAGCACGCGCTGCCACGACAGCACAAAAGCAGCCACAGATAATACAGAAATGAATGAGCATGGCCTGCCTGTCAACAAAACTTTATTTACACAACCACGCCAGGGGCCACAGTTTGCTGACCACTGGCTCTGAGTGACGTGCAGCTGGGATTTGCCAGCAGAGAGGGGTTGGTCAGTCTTGGACCTGCACCAATGATGGTGCCAGGGGATAGCTTCATGGAGATGTTCACTGTAATTACTCTGCCTTTAGAAGAAACTAAAAGGGAAATGGTTGCTTGGGGATTATCCCCAACTGTGAAAACCTTACCCCATACATAATCTCAGAAGGTGACCTCAGGTCTTGGTTGAGATGTGTGAGTATGGATTTCAAGGAATAAAGGAAGGGGGTTGGCAGGAGGATGACTCCCGTCAAGGAGAGACAGAGGGCACTCCCTGGGTGCGACCATGGGTTTACTGGGCGGTCTGCCGCATAATTCCTTCTTGATTGAGCCTCTAGAAATCAAGACATCAGGGCTTTACTTTTGTTTCATCTGATGCAATTAGGGTCTCAACCAGTCCTGGGAGGTGGGACTCCACGGCCAGACACTGTGACTGAAAGTAGGGCTGGTGGGTAGGAGTTGGGGACATTGGAACTAGGCTGGAATTGTGGCCCTGGCACTGATGGTGTGACCCTCCATAAAACCCCGAGCCACTCGGAGCCCCAGCTTCCTCCTGAGCACACAGGGAGCAGTCTTCCCTGCCCAGAGGGCCAGCATTAGAACTAAATGAAATGATGCCGGGGAAGCCCACAGGGCTCCTTACCCTGATGGCTGCTGCTGTCTTCACCGCCTGAGCAAACACTCATTCCAGTTTTCTGACCAGGAGCGATCCTCTGGCCCTGCCTAATGACCCTGAGTTTTACGTCGCTGTCTCCCGGCTGAGCTGTAACGTCCCACCTTGAGCCAGCCACAGGTGTTTACTGCCCAGAGTCTTGGATGGGAATGGGCTGGGTTGAAGGGGTTGGCTGAACTTAATCACAGGGACCAGTGCTGTACAAGGAAGGGTAAGAAGCAGGCACACTTCATCGTGATCTGGAATGTCCCTTTCCAGATGCTATACAAATGCCAGCTACAGCCTGGAAATCCACAGAGGGTGACACATTTTCCTTTGGAGAGAGCAGGTGGGGGAGGAGGGGCTGGGGGGTGGGGCAGAAGATGGGCAGGCCCAGCAGGGAGGGTGCGAGTGTGATGTTAGAACCTTGGCCGGCCCTCAGAGGCCACAAGACTGAAGGACACAACTGCACCATCAGCTCTGCATCTGAAACAGAACCCTGGTCCCTGGCTGTTCTTGTAGGCCATGCCACACTGCTTCTCCTCACCATGGAACTCCAGCACAAGGAATAGGTGAAGCTAAATGTTCCTGCTGAGGCAGGGGCTATCAGCTCCACCTCCCAGTCAACACCCCTCCCAACAGCCTCTGAGGAACCCCAGGGTCTCATGGATCCCAGTTAAGAGAACTACTGGGATGGGTCCCCCCGGCAGCTGTGGAGGGAGGGCGAGAGAGGAGAAATCCTGGAAGCTGGGGGCCAGGTCAGGGGCCAACTGTGATGGCAAAGATGGTGGGGTGAACCCCAGCACCACCAGGGGATACCACAGCTAGAACTAACTTGAGGGAGGAAGGGTGACTCCTGGTTCTCTCCCGGGTCTGGGTGGCCAGCGGGTGTTGTGACTGTAGGTGGGGAGGGGAGAGGGGGACGATGGCATCTTGGGGTTATGGCTCTCCATGGTGTTTGGAGTGATGAGGTGGATGGGAGTAGAGAGAATGCAGAACCAGGATCAATTTCCCTGCTCCTAATCGGACTTGAAGAGGTAGATGAAGTTTTGGTGAGAAACCTAAAGCTCTTTTTCACAAGCCTGAAGGCCAACACACATGCCTCCTGCACGCTGTGGGCTGGTGAGGGCACGGGGGCCAATGCCGAACGTGGCGCTGTGGGCCGGTGAGGGCACGGGGGCCAATGCCGAACGTGGCAGGTGCTCACGGGCTCATCCCTGGGGCCCTGCACACCTCGCTCCCTAAAGGTCAGGAGAAGCTGGGCTGCAGAGCTCCCATCCAGGGAATGGCAGCTCCTTGGAGCCCCAGGACTGGGAACACGATGAAAGCCAAGGCAGAGTGGCAGAGGGGCCTGGGTATCGAGAAGTCAGAGGGCGTCCACATCTTCTCTTTCTATGGCTTAAGCTGGCTCAGAAACACTGACAAAATGGTTTATGTCCTTTCTATGGGTTTATTTTTAAATTTTAAAATCCATCTTTTTTGCAAACAGGGTGATACTAGATTGCTTTTCAAAGTGCTCTGAGATGATTGCAAGTTTCCAAAGTAGGTAAGACAGGAAAGGCACATCCCAGACTGCGTTTTATTGCCACATTTCTCAGGGAAGGACAAGGGGACCTGCCAGTCCCCTTGACTCTCAAAGGATGCTTGCAGAGCCTGCTGTTGCGGTCAAAGGATGGAGCAGGACTCTGCAAGGTGGGTCCGGGGAACAAAGTATCTCAGGGTGGAAAATGCAACCTTCATTCTGTAAAAGCCTCCCACCCCCTAGACGGGGTGACCCAGCTGGTGCTACAGAGAAGGGTGGGGAGGTTGATGGAGACGGTGCTGCCTCACAATGTGCTGGAAATAAGCTCCAACCAAGGACACACAGCATCCCAATCCACACGGCACCCCAATCCACATGGTACCCCAATCCACACAGCACCCCAATCCACATGACACCCCAATCCACACGGCACCCCAATCCACACGGCATCCCAATCCACACGGCACCCCAATCCACATGGTACCCGAATCCACACAGCACCCCAATCCACACGGCACAATCCACACGGTACCCCAATCCACACGGCTCAATCCACACGGTACCCCAATCCACATGGCACCCCAATCCACACGACACCCCAATCCACACGGCACAATCCACACGGTACCCCAATCCACACGGCACCCCAATCCACATGACACAGTCCACACAGCACCACAGTCCACACGGTACCCCAATCCACACAGCACCCCAATCCACAGGACACCACAATCCACATGACACAGTCCACACAGCACCACAATCCACACGGTACCCCAATCCACACGGCACCCCAATCCACACGGCACTCCAATCCACATGACACCCCAATCCACATGGCACAATCCACATGGCAGCCCAATCCACACAACACCACAATCCACATGGCACCCCAATCCACACAACACCACAATCCACATGGCACAATCGACATGGCACCCCAATCCACACGACACCCCAATCCACATGACACCCCAATCCACACGGCACCCCAATCCACAAGGCACTCCAATTCACACGGCACCCCAATTCACACGGCACCCCAATCCACACAGCACACCAATCCACAGCACCCTACCTTCCTGCCCTTGCTTTCTCCACCTGTGCCCAAAGCAAGCACACTCAGAACTCATGAATGTGGCAGAGAAGGGAATATGCAGGATGTCTGGTGAGCCAGACAGCTTTCTGTGATTTTGAAATATACATTAAATGACTGAGAAAAGAGGAAGCTTTTCACTTAGGAAGAAAATGTCAAGATTTCACAAGTGTTTGTTTCTTAGAATGAATTAATACAGGCATCAACTTTGAAAGAGATGCGATGTGACGCACTCCGAAACGCTTCTTGCCACTCAGCTCTGACTGTAATGAGTTGCAGGCTCTGAAGCTATCAAGCGCTACTCTAGCATTCTGACTTGCACAAAGGATCCTCCAGCCCAGCCTTGAAGGACAGAGCCCTGATTTCCAGGCCTGTTCACCTGCAGCAGCTCCCGCTGGGCTGGCAGTTCCAGACTCCCACCTGCTGAGTTTTCAACCTCAGAGCAGCAGTTGTGTTATGTTGGCTTTGTTGGGTTCAAGCCCTGCTGGGCCTGGGACCCTCTCATCTGAGGGACACCAGGTCCTAGGCTTGGAGGCACCAAGGTTCGGTCATGCCCGGCAGAGGCGGGGAGACTGGGAGAGCATGCAGTGTGATCATAACCAAATTACCTTCTCTCAGGGGTTGCCCAGGTCTCATATGCATTTCCTACCATGTGGGAAAGAGGCGGAGAAGCTCTGTGGTGCCAAATGTCAGCCCCTGGAGTAGGGGCTAAAAGCACAGACCCTGGAGGTACATGGATAGGGCTTGAACCATGGGTCTGCCACGTGCTAGGGTGTGACCTACTTACCTTCCCATGTCCCTGTTTCCTTGACTGTAAAATGCAGGTGACTGCAGTGCCTGCTTCACAGAGTGTGAGGCAGATTAAGCAACTGAGTATCTATACAGCACTTAGGAAGGTCCCTGGCACGTGGGGAGCACTAAATTACTGTTTGCTTATTGAGATCAATGTGTCAAAGAAAACAGGGTTCAATAGAGAATAGCTGAGAACTTCAGGGACTGGTGGACAGGCGGCCCTGGGCCCAGAAAAAAACCAAAATGGCACACCCCACTCGACACCTGGTCTTCAAGGAGCAGAGGAAAGTGCCGTATGTTACCTGGGAGAAGCAGCGCGACTTCCCACAGCTCGCCTTCCTTTTGCCGGGGAGTTGAAGCCCTGTGCACACCCCCTCAGTGCCGGCAGGCATGGAATTCCAGTAGACAGAAGAGAGCTCCCTGCTTCTCTGTGCCACATTGCCCCTCATCCCTGAACAATGGGGAGTGGGGACCCTTTGCCGTGTCTGGTGTCTCCACAGTTCCCGAGCAGGCAGGGTAGGCCCAGCAAAGCTCCCAGAGACTGAGTAAAGATGGGAGCACCACTCTGAGCTGCAAAGCAGGGCAGCACTGTGACTCACGGTGCCTGGCTTTGCTCCCACATCTGCTAAGGCATGGCTCCTGGGGACAGTCTCAAGTGGGCTGTAAGATTTGAACTGCAAGGTTTTTGCATCATTAAAACTCAAGCTGCTCTCCACCCTGCTCCTGATGCCAGCCTTTGCTCAGAAACCTTCCATAAACTCATTGCAAAAGCTCAGTTCTGCCCTTCATCCCGAGCAGAGCCTCCTGCCCCAGCCTAGCATCCCTTGTTCTTGGAGGTTGGGTGCCTTTCCATCTCCGCTCTGAATTTTCTCTTCTGCCCAAAGCATGCCTGTGTCTGCACTGGCCCCTGGCCTGCCATTCAAACTCCTGCCTCTCAGCCTCTGTTGAGGGAGTCCTTTCCCCAGGCAGTGTCTTCTTGATCTCCTCCCCTGACCACATCTGGCTTATCTTCCTTGGTCTAGATCAATTACCCCTTCCTACAATAGGTAAATCTTCACTAATAATTTCACACTCCAGATGTTGGTCACTTCTTCCTCGATGGCCATGATCCTCTGATGTCAACCTTGGGCTGGGCTACCTCTGCCATGGGCCGTCGTGAGTGCTGTTGCCCTGTGGATGACCGAACCCTCTGTGTGTATTGTATGACTGTAGGTGTGCACTGTCAACCAGCTGAGTTGCCTGGGCGCTGTGAGATTTCTCCATTGCTCTGCAACAATAAGGTTGGACTGTGTTCACAGCAGGTGAGGGGGCATTTGGTAATCAAGGAAATTCATGAATGTTTATTCGCCCTGACATTTCCAGTTATTGAAAGGAGGTTGCTGAGTTGCCGGTAGACAAGACTGCCCAAGGGGGCTGAGCTCCCTCACATCCCACTTCCTAAGCGGGCACCATGTGTACATGTGAGTTCCTCTGCTCTGGAAGCTTGTCCCTGTTCAACAGTGGGATGCCCAGACACCCACTCTTCTGCAACACTACGCATACTACCCTCTTACCATGATTCGGACGCCGTACTCTTTCTCCACCTTTTCCTTCAGCTGTTTGAAACAGGCCTCCATCCTCTCGTGGAACGGCCTCAGTGCCTCCGTGACTTTGTCTCCATGGATTCTGATCCCTTCGGCCAGAAAAGGAATCTGGAAAACAGAGAGGTTGACATTCCTTATTTCTTGGATAATGGTCTAGGACGAGCAATGCACACTTGGGGAAAGGGGAACTGGCAAAACGATCTGCTTTGGTTTCCAAATCAAACCAGCTGATTCAATTTACCAGCAGGCATATTACCACCAAAGACCAAAATGTTTACATGAAAACCATTTGTGTTCTGAATTGACTATGTCCAGTGTGGTGCGCCCTACACCACGGCTACTCAGTTAATTTCCCAGAATAGACTTATCTGTGCTTTTCACTTGAGTTTGGGAAGAGCTACACCTTGAATTTGTTTAGATGTAACTTGTTCTATTAGCAAAGGGTCATGTCAGAGTGCGAACATTTTTTAGCTAAGAATATTGCCTTTACGAGAACCCTATTCCAAAAGGTAATTACATGTGATCTATAGTCCTGAAAAATCTTCCTTTTTTGGAAGTGAAAACCAAATTTATTCTTCTTTAAAACTAAAAATAATCGCTTCTCTGCGACACTGCTGTCACAAAATATCCATGCCAACACTTCACTTCCGAGAGTGGAGATGAAGCTGACCTTTAAAAACGTTCTAAGAGAGACATTTTCATTCTCCCAGCTGCAGAGACCCACCAGAGTTGCTGCTGTTGTGGGGTGGGAGAAGGAAAAGTCTCCCTTTCTGTCCCTGGTCTCTGCTTCCCCCCAGGGCTTGGACTCAGTTAGACATTCTTCCATGTAATCAAGCTAAGAGGCTTCCTCTCAATAATTTATAATTAAATCAAAATACTGATTAAAAACAGATTTTCCTAATAGGACAGAACACCAATCTAAATGAGCAGATTTATTAGTATGAACGATAATAAGTACACAATTGAATTTCATGTGAGCAAATTCAAGAAATCTTATCAAGATGAATCAACGCATCAAATGTATTTGGTTACCATTTATAGCACACAGCTGTTGCCTCTCTTGGTGCTCCAGGAAAGGAGGGAGTAGCAGCGCTCTCCTCGCTCATAGCCCTCCTAGCCTGCTTGGAGGCTGCACCGACACAAAAGTTTGTTTTGCTGACAGTTGGCCCCAAACCCTAGGCACATGTCAGGCCTTTCTGGCCAGTTATCACCGAAAGGACAGCATACAGAGAGATTTCAAAATACTTGGGATGTTTTAATATTCCCTATGAATTACTCGTGCAGATGGCAGCTTCCCCGGGGCTAGCCGCGGTTTACTCAGGGCCAGCAGTAGAAAATGCTCACTGTCAGCCTTCTGCCTCCTGAGTTCCGCCTTGGGGGATGACGCAGACAGACCGGGACAACTTTTGGTGGGATGTCGAATGTGTTGGGTCTCTCTCTGGATGCAAAGGCAGGGATGTGTGGAGGTGCTGTTGCAAGGTGAAAGCACAGCCACCCTAGATACTAAAAGCATTTCTGATTTAGGGCGGGCCTTTCTCAAACTACAAAATGTAATCTAGTTCCTGAGTTTTGCTGTTGTTGGTGTTGATGGTGGTGTGATAAAACTCTTAATGGTCAGATTCTTTCTGTCAAAGAAGGTACTTGTCAGATGAGAGTTAAGACCTTTTGGTTTAGGACGCTTGTGCTGCTCGAACTGCAATCTGATAGGTGAAATTTACCAGGTGTGAGAATTCACCACTCTCAGCAGTTCCTGACGTTGATGGGAAATAACCTTCTGATAGGACAGGAACTGGTTCCCTGTTATATGTCTACTTGGGGCTGAACTGCAGGTGTGATTCTAAATGAAAGAAGATAAGAGGATGCCCTGAGTAAACACATTCCAATGCACAAAAAGCACTTAACATAGACCGAGGGTCTGAAATGGTCTCTGGAGACCCTGTAGTTGAGTGGGTTCCACTCTGGCTAAGCATCAGAATCTCAGGTGGATTCCTGAACCCCACCTCCAGAGCCCTGATTTGCTGTAGGCAGATCCCAGGAATCTGCATTCCTAAAGAGTTTCTCAGAGCCCAGAGATGGGAGAGGACTTTCCCTAAGTCACACCTCTAATTAATCAAAGCGAGCCTGCAGCCTGCTCTACAAAGACGCCCTCCTGATGGGCCGTATTTGAAGTTTGCTCCTGTCTGTCCCCTGCACAGATTCATGCCCTGAAAGCAGCACAGAACATCTGGAAGCCTTGCTTAATGCTCCAGGAGCACCACCCCTGGACACAACAGTCATGCTTGTCATCAGCTGGGGATGATGGCTGAGTTCAGCCTTTCATCTTCGTACATTTCAAAAGAGAAATATGTATACATCACAGCAGTTTAATATGAGACTGTATGGATTTGTCTTTGGATACTCGGCAGGGATGCTCCACAATGACAGCTGTGTATGGAGAAAGATGGAATTGTGCCTTTGAGAAAGTGACTCATGACCTGGTGCCAGCCGCAAACCTACAAGAGGCACCACACAGTGTGCACCCTGACTGCCACCTCCCACCCAGCGAGGAGCAGGTCAGCCCATCCTCTGTTTCTGAGGCAGCAAGCAGGGCTGAGGAGGAGCTGCCTGGGACTTATTAACCAACCTTCACAAACCATTTTATGCATCAGAGCTGAGCTTATTATATATCGGTGATGAAAACTCTGCACATGAGTCCTGGGACTCCCAGGAGAAAAACCTCACTCTGCCCTGATAGTTTCAGGAAAAAACCAAACCAGATGAACTAATAAACAAAAAGAGAACAAAGCATTCTGATAAATTCAAACTTCTTATTTTTAATGAACATATGACTCAGTTGCCAATACCAAGATACGGGTTTTCCAAACATTTGCAAATGAAAGCAAAATCACAGGTAATGTTTGGAATATGCATTTTTCATCACTCTTTGATTTAATGAAGTTACTAGAAAACTGATTCTTTTACCTTTCCTGTGACCTGCTTTAAAATTCATCCTTTAATATAGTTATTAGGAATGATGACATAGTGCTGACATAAAGCTGCTCTCTGGGGAACAAATTATTTTCCTCTGTAGGACTTGAAACTCTTAAAATCCAATTTGCTGTAAAAGCTTATAGGAAAAAAAAAATCAATAGAACTTTTGCAGACCAAACTAGTTTTTGTATAGCAATAGTTTTATAGCCTGCAGAGGAATTTTGAATTTCGTACCCTTTAGTAAAAAATCTACAACATCTAAAATGGAATCATTCACAATTTTAAACTCTCTCCCACTTTTTTAGTTACAGAGGGAGACTGTCTACATGAGGCTTACAATCCATACAAAGAAGCCAAAGTTGGCCAACAATGTCCCTTTCAGTCAAACTCTGAGGACGTTCAAAACCATAATTCCAAAGCAAACAGATTTCAAATGCAGATTTGTGACAAAGTCTGATTTCTTCCCTTTTAATATAATTTTTGTTTATATATACATATAAATAAAACTTCTCACTCATTAAAATGGCTATTACTTAAAAGATAAACAGGCCAGGCACGGTGGCTCACACCTGTAATCCCAGCACTTTGGGAGGCTGAGGTGGGCGGATCACGAGGTCAAGAAATCGAGACCATCCTGGCCAACATGGTGAAACCCCATCTCTACCAAAAATACAAAAATTAGCCAGGTGTGGTGGCACACATCTGTAGTCCCAGCTACTCGGGAGGCCGAGGCAGGAGAATCGCTTGAACCCGGGAGGTGGAGGTTGCAGTGAGCCAAGATCACGCCACTGCACTCCAGGCTGGTGACAGAGCGAGACTCCATCTCAAAAAAAAAAAAAAAAAAAAAAAAAAAGACAAACAAAATAACAAGTCTTGTTGGGGGTGCAGAGAAGTTGGAATCATGCATTACTGCTGGTGGGAATGTCAAATGGTGCTGTGACCGTAGAAGAGTTTGGCAGTTTCGTGAAAAAGAAAACACAGAATACCACATGAGCCAGCAATTCTAAATTTGGGTATATACCCCAAACTATGGGAGTATTGAAAGCAGGGACTTGAGCAGGTATTTATACACCCACATTCACAGCAGCATTGTTCACACCAGCCAAAAGGTAGAAACAACCCACATGTTGTTCCTTGACAGATCCGTGGAGAAACACATTGCGGTCTAGCCCTATAATGGAGTATTACTCAGCCTTAAAAAGGAATGAAGTTCTGACACACACTACAACATGGATGAATCTGGAAGACATTCTGCTAAGAGAAACAAGCCAGACACAGAAGGACAAGTATTACATGATTCCACTCATATAAGCTATCTAGAGTAGGCAAATTCATAGAGACACAAAGTAGAATGGTGGTGACCAGGAGGTGGGTGGAGGGAGGAATGGGGAAGTCGTTCAATGGGTAGAGAGTTGGAGATTTGCAAGATGACAAGGCTCTGGAGATGGATGGTGGCGGTGCTGGTTGTACAACAGTGTGAATGTACTTATTGCCTCTGAACTGGACACTTAAAAATGTTTAAGATGGGAAATTTTATGTTATGTATATTTTATCACAATTATTTATAATATATACATAATGTATATTATGTTTACATATCAGTATAAGCACTTAGAATTATAAAAATCCAACCCATCCTATATATCTAAACACAAATTTAAGAGGACTCGTACCTTGGCTCACAACCAAAGCTCAGCCTTGCTCCACTCTAAGACGTCTCATTGGCCAATGTGCTGATGACAGAGAGGCCACTAAGAAGAGGCCCTGCTGGGATGTCAGAATAAAAATGCTCACAGTGGCCTGGTGCAGTGGCTCATGCCTGTAATCCCAGCACTTAGGCCAAGGTGGGCGGATCACCTGAGGTCAGGAGTTCAAGACCAGCCTGGCCAACATGGCAAAACCCCATCTCCATTACAAGTACAAAAAAATTAGCCGGGCATGGTGGTGCACACTTGCAGTCCCAGCTACTTGGAAGGCTAAGGCAGGAGAATCACTTGAACCCCGGAGGAGGAGGTTGCAGTAAGCTGAGGTCACGCTACTGCACTCCAGTCTGGGCAACAGAGCGAGACTTCACCTCCAAAACAAACAAACAAACAAACAAACAAACAAATAAACTGCTCACGGTGATGTCTCATAAGAGGAACAGCCTTGCCCTGTTCCTTTTTTTTTTGTTTTTTAGACAGTTTTGCTCGTTACCCAGGCTGGAGTGCAGTGGCGTGATCTCAGCTCACTGCAACCTCCGCCTCCCGGGTTCAAGCGATTCTCCTGCCTCAGCCTCCTGAGTAGCTGGGATTATAGGCGTGCACCACCACGCCCAGCTAATTTTGTATCTTGCCCTGTTCTGGACTGGGTGCAGATCAACTGCACAGCATCTCTGGGCCTTGACTGGGAGCCTGGGACCCCAGCTTAGCAAAGTGGCCTGGGCTACGACACCTGGTCCAAACCCATGCAGGCCTTTGCCCCCACCTCCCTCAACTCTCTTTACACAGTGTGGCAAGATCTCGGGGACAGCACCCTCCTTGCCTCCCACATGTGAAAAGGAAGCCTAAAGAGGCAGTGGCCTAAAGCAGCAGAGCAGGCTGGTGCCGGCCAAGCTCTTGTGAGGACTGGCTCTTGACCCCTACACTTCCAGGCTCAGGAAGGCTCTGAGAAGCACAGATGCATCCGTCCGGTTCTGACACTTAAACCCAAGGCACCCAGGGTCTGCCCTTTCAAGATGCTGGCCCTCTGGGAAAGGCTCCCGAGGCCCCAGGAGCATAAGTAGAACAGTGAAATAACTTGCACAACTTCAGCTGGGAAAACACAGATGAGGACGCACACCACCGCCAGAGGTGCACGGAGAACAGGGAGAGGGTGCACTGCAGCTTCTGACGTACATGCGTTTCACAGGGACTGCACTGGCCCGAGCGCCTTTCCTGGCACAGGCTAGAGCTCAAGGCTTCATGGCTCTGAGCTCACCTCAATGTTCTATCAATACAGACAGAGAAAAAGTTTTCCAGCAGCCGGCAGAATTGACCAAGGGGAGGAAAGAGACCTTGTTCATTTGCAAGAGATAATTTTCTGGGTGTTCAAATTCCTGACTGCAGCCCAGGAGCTGAGTTGATCACGACAGCAGTGGGTGGGTTCACCCAGGGACAATCACAGCCACGTGCATCAGGACTGCAGCCCAGGGACCTCCATGCTGGCTGGTGTGTGTGCTGAGCCTAGACCCTCCTAGCTTTCCTTCCCTCCAGCCATGCAGGACTCTTGCTGGACACTTTACCTGCCAAGCAATCAGGTCCTTGAGCTTCTCGATCTTTTCATGGGCCTCAGGGTGCTCCTGCAGGTACCGGTCTGTAAAGAAGGCCTGGTGGAGACAAGGAGAGTTGCTCAGTGCACCTGCTCAGCAAACACAGGTTTTTGCACACTTACTGTGTGCCAGGCCCTGAGAATAGAGCTGTGCATAAAACAGATCCACACGAAGCTCACTGCAGACTCAGGGTCACACCCTTCGCAGCACCCAGGACAAAATGTCCCACAAGGTCAAACACTGTAAGTGGAGCTAACAGGGCTGTCTACAGCAGCAACCCCAGTTCTTGGGGTCCAGGAAGGCCACAGCTGACCTGGTGGCTTGGTCCTGCTGGGTGGCAGTGAATACAGCCCTCCCAGCTACTCACACGCCCATGCCTCCTGCCTAGCCCCTGCACCTGCCCAGGCCTGACCTACACCTGAAGGCAACAAACTTCTTTGTGCAAGGGTGGGTAATCATCTCCTCGCAGCCTTCTCTCAGGCAGTATCCTTTTTGTCTCAGTTTTTGCTCTGTCTAGATCAGGGGTCAACAAGCTTTTTTTGTGAAAGGCCAGATGGTAAACATTTTAGGTGTTGTGGACCATACAGGTCTCTATCACAACTACTCAATGCTGCCACTACTCAACTCGCCAGTTACAGTATCAGGAAAACAGCCTCAGGCGTAAGTAAGTGCACAGGCGTGGCCTTCTTCCAAAAGAACTGCAGTTACAAACACAGGCAGGGGTGGTCTAGGATACACCCTGTGTCCTTCAACTTCTGCCCATTCCTACAGAGCTAGGATCCAGGGAGACCAGCTGGCCGGGCCCCCTCCACCGTCAAAGCGCTACCTCCCTAGTCCTGATATTCTGGTGTTTTTGTCTAACTTTATCTTTTGGCCTGTAAGATCCCAGACCTTGTAAAAGCCACTGGAGGCCTGGGTGCAGATAAGCCCAGCCTGGGTGGGTCAGTGGGGGCTTCCTGGCTGTCTGGGGATGCCCAGGGGAGCCTTGCCGGGACTCCGGCCTTGACCTTGCTGCAGGCTTCAGGGGCCGCCACTGGCTGCTGCTGCCTGGCCTTGGCTGGGCCACTGCTGAGATTGCTCAATGAGACCAGGGGCGTTTCTGGGCTTTGGGGACTCTCGGGAATTTTCAGTCTGTCCCCGGGCAGGACTGCTTGCCCAGAGCAAGCTGGTGGGTCCCGTACCTTTTCGTAGTTTGCGAAGCCCCCCATGACAGCTGGGTCCACGATGCCGTTCAGGAGCATGGAGAGCGGGTTGATGGGCAGGCTGGGGTCATCCAGGTGCTGCTGCACCATGCTGTTGATCTTGTCGTTCGTCAGCTGCATGGTCTCAATGGCATTCTCCAGGGGGCTGATTTCCACCTGCAAAGAGAGAGGAGAGCCCGATGTCAGCCCCACAGCTGCCTCCACTCCCAGGGTCTCACCAGAGGAGCCACGTGCTCTGGGGCAGGCTTCCTGCTCCTCCGTGAACCTTTCTTCCAAACAGAATTTTTGGGTGGCTGGGCATTTTATTATTATTGTTTGTTCCCAGAGATGAAAATTCCAAAGGAACAAAGCAAAGCTGCTGCTCAGCTCTGGGGGCGGGGCTGTGTGTGTGCATGTGGCTATGCACATATGTGGTCATCCCAGGAAAACACGCAGCCTTGAGTGCTTGAATACACCTGCTTCAGAACAGACACTTCCAATCCTGTTCTTGTTCTCTGCTTGTTGTGCTGAGGGAGAAGATGTTCGGGAATTTTGAGGAATCTAAGCCCGGGCAGCCTGCACTACCTGTCCGGTTAGGGAGGGCAAAGGAGGTCAAGGCAGGGCTCCGCCATGGCACCACACACCATCATGTGAAGGAAGAGTGATGGGCAGGCGTGGTGGCTCCTGCCTGCAATCCTAGCACTTTGGGAGGCTGAGGTGGGCGGGTCACCTGAGGTCAGGAGTTCAAGACCAGCCTGGCCAACATAGCAAAACCTTGTCTCTACTAAAAACACAAAAATTAGCCAGGTGTGGTGGTGCATGCCTGTAATCCCAGCTACTCGGGAGGCTAAGGCAGGATAATTACTTGAACCCAGGAGGCAGGGGTTGCAGTGAGCCGAGATTGAGCCACTGTATTCAGGCTGGGCAACAGAGTGAGACTCCAAAAAACAAACAAACAACAACAAAGAGAGCTCATGGCCCCTGGGGTCGGGAGGAAAAGGCTGCTTGGAGCACTCCAGGCCACCCTCACAGGCTTCATTTGCACACTTGCCATGGTTAATGACACCTTCAGTGCAGGAGGTAGGGGACTGACCACTGTCCTCCTGGCTCCAGTGCGTGTCTCTCAGGGACCTCCACCCTCTTTCTCTGAGGGCCCCACAGGGCCTGGCCTGGCCGAGTCCCAGCCCAGTGCCCTCCAGCTCAGCCCTAAGGTGCCAGGGCAACGTGGCTGGGTCTAAGGCAGGGACCACAGCTGCCCTGAGGTCTTGCTTGAGCAGACCAAACCTCCTCCTCACACTGGGCCACGGGGACCATGTCCCAGGGTGACCTCAGCAATAACTTTGCTCCTTCCAAAGGAAGCGTGATGGGCCCCCACCCATGCCCAAGAGCCCTTGGTATCTTCATGTCCGGCTTTCTTCCTGCTACAGCCTCTAGCGGACTGCCTGGGAGCTGGGGGTGGGGCAGGGCAGAGATGAACAGCGAATGGGCGATTCTGTCCGTCAGCAACCCTAGACTGGCACTCCTAGGTGGCTGTGGACATAACAGAGGTTGTCTGCCCACTGATGTCACTGTCCTTGCACTGATGGAGGGACAGCCTTGGGGAGATTGTGATGCACTGGTGTGGCCAGCCACGTGCACCCTGCTGAGAGGGCCCCTTGTCCGGTGTCCTGGACAGCAGGCATAGCCATGCTGTCCTGACCCCACAACTTACTTTGCCAGGCCCTACGACATTTCATCCCGGGCACACAGCTTCAACAAATGCACACTCCAGGGCAGTATTCCACCAGGACTGACTGTTACCTCCCTGTTACTAATCTCATTTGCACTGAGAAAGAATCCCTTCCTATTTTTATTGAAGAAGGTTAGCTGCTGCTCCCACAGATATCCCACGGGGGTTGGTCCCAGGTGGCACGAGGAGGGCATCAGGGTTTGGTAGCAGGACGTGAGTCCTGCCATTCTGGGATTATTTGCCTTCCTGCCCTCTTAGTCTGTTCAAAATGGCCAAAGCAGCCCGAGGAGAAGCTGCATCCTCACGAAAGGTCAGGGCTCCCCTCTCCACCTCCCTAAGCTCCTGCATCCGGCAGCTGTTGGCTGGCAGGCCCCGATTACAAAGGGCTCATGGGCAGAGGGTGATTAAGAGGATCACGGCCTGTTTAGGTGGAGGGCCTGCTCTTCTGTTGTCTCTCACATGTACAATGCCTCACTAGCTACAAAGGGACCCAGCAAAGGGAGTGCATTTTTACCACCTGACACATAACTCCCACAGCCTTCTATCTGTCAGGCACTGCCTGGCTGCTAGGGGCACAGAAAGGGAACTCCAGAGCAGAAAGTGACCCCAGGAGGGGTAGGTGAAGAGCCCTGGGTGCTTTGAGTATAAAGCAGTGGCTCTGACTGCGGGCAACCTCTCAGAGAGTGGCCCATAGCTGCCCATAGCTCATGCTGGTGTGGGCAAAGGAGAAGGCTCGGCGCTGGACACGCAGCTGGGCAGAGAGATGCCGGCCCCTAGAGACAAATAATCAGGTGTTTCGGGGGGACTCATTGAAAACTAAATGGCAAGTGCCACCCCCTCAGTGAGTTCTTGCCAGGTGAAAACAAAAGGCACTGAGACACATGAACAAAAACGTACAGATTTCAATCAGATGTTTTTATATTGCCAGTTGCCTTGGCCCTGACATTTCAATACTGTCAATAAATCTGCAGCCCAACTCTGGTTCATGTAAATGAAACTGTCCAATAGCTCACTGCAAATGTGAGTTTCACGTAAATGAAACTGCCCCATCTCAAAGCAAAGTTTAGCTTTGTTGAGAGCTGGAAATCGTTATTTCTTTAAAAAGGGTCAGGGAGGGGTATGTTCTCAGGCTATTTTTACTTGAAATGGGCAAGGACTATTAATTAATAGTTGTTTGTCATGTAAATGGCAATAAAACCATCAGGAAAAAAATCTTTAAAAAAGTTTATGTAGACTGGAATTTGTCTTCAACTTTTCACTTGGTTAACACAAAGCATTGTCAAAACAGCACAGCTATGACTGAATTTAAATACATTGTAAGAAGAAATGAAATCTTCATTCTGGTTTTTTGATAAGCTAGAGTTGGTCGTGATTACACAGCATTTCCACTAAAATATGGCTAGGCGAGGAGATATCGATGCTCTCAAGAACAGGTGGGGTGGTTATGGGAACTGTAGAGTCTGCTGTGTGCACGCTGCCACAGTGACCACGGGGCATGAGCAGGTGAAGAAGGCGTGGCAGACTGTATTGAGGAAGGGAACGGACAATTCCTTCTGGGGTGGGGCCATCCTTACCATGAAAACAGACTTGACCTCAAACCACCTTAAAATTCCAGGTAATTTATATGCAGTTGTATATATGGTTCTCTCGATCCACATATTCTGCAAAGGAAACACACACACACAACACGGGTTAGAAGGATGTCAGCAGGTGGACAGCTCTGCCCTAAGGGGGATTTATAGAATAACTCCAAAGGAGTCAGGTCCTTCAGCAGGACAGGGTCTGTGGTGCTCAGCACAGGGCATGTGTGCCTTCAGGTAGCACCTCACAAGCCACGCTCTACCTAACGGTCGCTCAGGATACATCAAAGTATCCCCTGTCCCCTAGCCAACATTGCCCACCACTCTGGTATTTGACAATGAAAGTATACTAGGTGAGTGAGAAAGATGTGTATACTCCAAAATGAGGTATGGGGAGCCCCTCTTGAGCAAACAGATTTTGAGGAAGGCTCCAAAGAAGTCTTACATTAGCTACAGTGTTCATAAGAAACTAAAAGGGGCAAATACATCTTTGGGAGACTGGATTTAATCAAAGTGACCTCTGATGTTCTGATAAAACCAGTCGGTATTTTAAACTTTAAAATGTTTTGACGTAACTAATATATGTTTATATGAGAACATAAAGATATGGAAAGAGCAGGAGGAAAAACCATCCCCTACCTGAAGCTGATAACCTATATGCTTTAGTATCTATTGTTCAAGACTTCTTACTAAGTATTAAAAAGTGTGTCTATGCATATTTTAAATAAAAACATCATTTGACAATGTGTTCTTTGTAAAACAGTATATTACCTATTGCAGGAAACTGTTCTAACCCAATAAATACAATTCTACTACTCTTTAAGGATTGCACAAAAACTCCAATGCAGGGGTCAACTGGAAATCCTTTATCCTACTGCCTCGTTCGTACTGTCTAGCTTGCAACAATCTTCTGCCATTCCAACCTCCCTGCACTGCAGGGTCACTGAGCAGTCTGAGTGTCAACAGGAATCTAGACTTAAGCAGATGGGATAATGGAATGCCAGTCATTCCAGAAAACTGGGACAAGCGTGGGGGGCTCACGTCTGTAATCCCAGCACTTTGGGAGGCCAGGGCGGGCAGATTGCCTGAGCTCAGGACTTCGAGACCAGGCCGGGCAACGTGGCAAAATCCCGTCTCTACTAAAAATACAAAAATTAGCCAGATGTGGTGGCATGTGCCTATAGTCTCAGCTACTCAGGAGGCTGAGGCATGAGAATCGCTTGAACTCGGGAGGCGGAGGTTGCAGGGAGCTGACATTACACCACTGCACTTCAGCCTAGGCAACAGAGCAAGACTCTCTCTCAAAAAAAAAAAATTTTCAGAAAACTGACTTGGATCTTGGAAAGCATTTATCCCAAACTTCTTACGTTCCATAGGAGGAAAGGGAAGGAGCTGGCTGAAGCCATAAGGACACAGGCAAGGCCTCCGTGTCCCACACCAGTCCTCTTTGCCCCATGGGGACGGCTCCCTCAGGTTTTTGTCCTGGCAATGGAAACAGGTCTGGCCCTCTCACATCCACCTCTAGACCAGATTCCAGTGCTTTCTCTCATGTCAACATGCCCTGAGACGGACCTCTGGGTTCCATCCTGGGCTTTACGGCCAGCTCCTCCTCACGCAGGCCCTGTCTCATCTTCCTCCTCGTCAGTGCCCTCACTCCCCAGCACATCAGTCACCCCTTGCCAGGTCTGCAGGGATGAGCCACCTCGCACTGCTCTCGGCCTGGTGGGCAGCTTCCCCAGCCCCCTGCACTTGGAGCCAGGCTCCCCGCTGGAGGGGCCGAGGCTGGCTTCCCAGTAGAGCAAAAGACGTTGCACTTATCTAAGGCTTTGTGGGGCATGTGAAGGACCAAATCCTGCAGCTTCCGAACACTTTGTCCAAGTGCCCGGACCTCAACAGGGCCATTAGGGGATTTCAGGGCCATTTAGAAGAAGCATAGCCTCTGAGGCTCAGCATAGCTCAAAATGTCAAGAGCCTTCGTTATTCTTAGCTCTGCACCCAACTGGCCGCGCACCCTCCAGTGGCTCACTTGACCTCCTTGTGTCTATTTCTTTATAGTCTAAGAATATATCTACTTGCCAGATGGGAGAGGTGTGAGGGAAATTCAAGAACTGCCTATAAATCCCACAGTTGAGGGACTCCATATAAACACTAGCGTTAGTGCTTATGATGACAGTAACAGGTGCAGTCTGCTCTGAAAGCCACTGCCCTTAGCGAGGGTGTCCAGGTTGGACGTGCCTAGGTTCTGCCCGCACTGTTGCAGACAATGGACACTGTAGTGACCAGTCCTGGAGGAGGTCCAGGGTGCTGGGTTCACCAACAAATAGGGTGAACATAATCTTCAAACAACCAGCCTGCTGGGACTGCACAATACTGCAGATTTCACCAACTCCAAGCTCCTTTGTGCTCCTTGGTGACACACAAGGAATCTGGCCTCGGGGCTGGAAGGAACTTCCCCATGGCTCTTAAGAGCTGAGCTAGGAGACTCACAGGTACTGCCCTGAGGATCCCATGACTGGCAGACCCCTGAGGGATTGGGAGGGAGACTGGGTAGCCACCACTCTTTACTTGAGGCAACCCTGCTGGAAGGGTTCCGAGCTTTGCTCTGGTCAGGAGTAGGGTGTTAATTCACCTTTGACCTTTGCAGCCTAGATGCCTTCGGACGGCACACAAGAGAAGCCATTCTCAGCAGAGCCGGTCCTCCTTGGGGGTCCCCGGGCTAATGCCTCCTTGCAATACAGGAGTACAGAAGGATTTCCGGAGGTTTCCCAGGCAAGACGGATAAACATTAACATTTTAAAAAAATTATGGCTTATTTGATGCCTTTTCAACATGGATCCACTCACTTGAGCCCAGGAGTTCAAGACCAGCCTGAGCAACATAGACCCCACCTCTATATAAAAAAATAAATAAAATAAAAATACAAATGAATCCATGAAAGCAGTTTGTATGTAGAATTTTTAAAAGGCTCTAGGGCCAGGCGCGGTGGCTCACGCCTGTAATCCCAGCACTTTGGGAGGCTGAGGCGGGGGGATCACGAGGTCAGGAGATCGAGACCATTCTGGCTAACACCGTGAAACCCCGTCTCTACTAAAAATACAAAAAATTAGCCGGGCGTAGTGGCGGGCACCTGTAGTCCCAGCTACTTGGGAGGGTGAGGCAGGAGAATGGCGTGAACCTGGGAGGCGGAGCTTGCAGTGAGCTGAGATCATGGCACTGCATTCCAGCTTGGGCGACAGAGCGAGGCTCTGTCTCAAAAAAAATAAACAAATAAAAATAAAAAAATAAAGAAAAAAGGCTCTAAAGATGTTTGCTGTTATTTCTACAACTCGAATGCCGTGGTTTGCAACAAGGGGCAGATGTTTTATTTTGCAATGTCTGGAAACTTTATTTTTTTGATGGAGTTTCACTCTCGTTCCCCAGGCTGGAGTGCAATGGAGCGATCTTGGCTCACTGCAACCTCTGCCTCCTGGGTTCAAGCGATTCTCCCGCCTCAGCCTCCCAAATAGCTGGGATTACAGGCGTGCACCACCACGCCCGGCTAATGTTGTACTTTTAGTAGAGACAGTGTTTTACCATGTTGGTCAGGCTGGTCTCGAACTCCTGAACTAATTTGATCTACCTGCCTCAGCCTCCCAAAGTGTTGGGATTACAGGTGTGAGCCACCATGCCTGGCCTGGAAATCTTTTTGATTGGTTGTCCCAACTGGGGTGGTGGCACTGGCACCTAGTAGGCAGTGTTCAGGGATGCTGCCAAACATCCCTGGATGCACTGGATGGTCCCCACCACAGAGAATAACCCGGTCCGTATTGCTAGTAGTGCTGGGGTCAACCCTGCAGTTGTGTGTTGTGCTCCACTGAAGTTCAGGTGCTGGATACTGAATGAGGAATGAGCACCCGGGTCCAGATCCAGTTCATGTGCTGACTGCTGTGTCACCTGCAGAAAGCCACGTCAGCACCCCGCACCTCAGCACTCGGTGGGTCCATTTTTAACTAGAGATGACAGGCACCTGCTCTCTCACCTGGGGCTCGCAGGGAAGGCAGTGCGCTACTCATATGGGAGCTCCGGCATTTGGACGGCACAGTCTCCTTATTAAATATCTCAGTGACCTTAGTCATATTGTTAGTGAAATGGCAATTAGTTTTTCTAACTTTGGAGGGGGTAATAGATTAAGATTTCTGCACATAATACACAAAGACATTTAATATGGCTCCGTGGCTGCCTCTGAGGCCACGCTTCTCCAGTGGCAGTTCTACTGGTGGCGGAATGATATTTTTTGTTGTTTGGTTTGGTGGTTTGTTTGTTTTTTACCGCAAATTCATTGTCTGGGTTTTTCTCTCCCTTCCGGATTGGCCGAGAATATTCAAATCGCTGGACCTCGTTCACCCTGTAAAAACTGTACAGAGACAGACAGATCATTAGATATTTAACCCGGCAAATAGCCAATTTGCTTTTGGACACGGGGTCTGGCCTTAGAACATGTCACTGCCTCCTGTAAAATGTCCCTAACCTTGACCTGAAGCCATCGCCTTGGTGTCCTCTCCCAGCCAGGGAAATGTTGGCAGGTGGAAAAATTAACTTGAGTTTTTGCCTCTTCCCTGTCCCTGCCAACCCTCGAGGGAAAACAGAAGCTGAGTAAGAGTGAAATGAGCAAAAACAGAGGAAAGGTGAAGCGAAGGAGAGAGAAAAAAGCTTTTGTGTTCAACGTATGTGTTTATTATTATTTTAAAAAAGTATTACATACCTTAGTTTCAGATCTACAAAGCACAGATTTTGCAACCACCCCAAGAGTGACACACAGGAAACATAAGTAACCTGCCTCCGCGGTCGGGGTACGAGGCAGGCTTTCCGCATGCACAGGGCAGGGCGTGGAGAGACTGAGACTGATTTCTCCCCTGCACTGAAATGCAGGCAGGCTTCCACAGCAAAAGAAACTACTGCATCTGAGAAGGCTCTAAGCGTCACTATTTGCTTAAGGCCTCTGAAAAAAAATGTTGCAACCCTTAAAATGTATGCCTTGCGAGAGCAATCATTTGTAAATAAACAGGGTCCCAGTTTATTTCCCATTATTGCTGATGCAAGGTCAAAGAAACGATGAAAGGTTAAAGAAACCACCAAACTTCAGGAAGCAAAATGAAGCTGATCCTAAGGAATATGAGGTCATCAAAGAGATTAATATTTTCACCAGAACATGGATCAAACAGAACAGAAAAGTCTTAATATCAAACACATCTGCTAAAGCAGGTCTTTCTATGCCATTGCTAAGTCAGGTGCGATACAACTGACAGGCAGAAAATCTCACTCAAATATGGACAGTTGACTCAGGAGGTTTAAAAGCCCCCTCATAACCCTACATTATGGAATTGCTGTGCTGTAAGGCTGAAGGGTTCTCCTGTGTGTCACCAGGAGCAAATGTGCAAATCCCATTTCCCGCCTTCTAAAATGCAAACATTCAGGCCACACTCACATGTATGAACTTGGCTTTGCTGGGAACAGGCAGGACTTGTGCACTGCTGTGAAGTTCCCTAGGGGATTGTACCCCACAGGGCAGGTCTATAAAGGAGACCAGACGGCCTCCACTGCCCTCTTAGGTTTTTGCTGTCAGCTGACTTTGGGAAAGGAATAGGCTTTGCACGCTCCCAGCACATGGATTAACATCTCCTGTCACTTTTTTTGGATGCTGAAAATAATTAGCTTCCCTTGCTCTTCAAAGAGGACAGAAAGAGCATTTGGAAAGCGAATCCATGGCCAAAGTCCGTCCTTTAAAAGGTGGAATTATTAGCAAGAGATCTGTACACAGCCTCTTACAACCCTCACGTTGGGTAAGAAAAATGGGATTATTACCTTACAATCTGCTCTGACACTGGCCTGTGAAACTTAGGAGGCAGATCGAGTTTGGGCTTCACTGTGAAGCACTGAATATCTGAGGTGAGGGGGTTAAGGATCACTAAGGCAGCATAGACATCAACCATGAGAGAGGCCCCCCACCACACCCAACCACCCAAATGAATGGCATCACCATGGTTTCAGAGTTGATGAGGTTGTCTTAAAGGATACACTGGCCAGGAGAGTTTTTAATATCGTCGCCTGGTGGAGATGTTGTCTTCATTTTCTCGGCGTTTGGAAACTGAGTTAAGAGCCGAGCCTCAAAATCTTCCCGGCGCTCATACTCTTTCCCTCGGTAAATGAAAACTTTTCCCTGAAAAGGGTGACATTCATTTCATAACACCACAGAGAAAGGGCCAGGAAGAGTTCACATGCAATATGCTGGCCTTAAAATATGCCTTACGGGTTCTTACAAAATGTCATTAAATTTAAGAACAACTTGTAATTTTTATTTTTTTTTGTACTTGCGTTGGCTTTGTTAATCAAGAACACATGGTCATCAAGCATGTAAGTTAATACTGTTTAAGAAGCACTCAGCACTGCGCTACTAACATCTGTGATATGTTTTCATCTTGACAGTAACAACTGATTTAAAAACTATATGAAAAACCAAATGAGCACTCAGAAGCCCACACTAGAATGGGCATGAAATGGTTAGAAGGGGGCAAGGCAGCCAGGACAAGTGGATAATGATGTCCACACTTTTTCTTGTTTTTGTTTTCTTCTCAGGTAGGCCCTAATGAAGTTGTTTTCATTCTGCCATAAGGAATTTAAGAGAGCTTGAGCTAAGGTGGGGCCCCAGCACCTGCACACGGCCGCCGGGCGCTGACTCCTGTGAGACACAGCCGAGGCGAGCAGAACCCGAGGGGAAGGGATGCAGACCAGAGCCGAGAGCTACTAAGTTCCTGGCCTCCCCCGAGTGAGTGACTGGCGATGGACGGAGAGCAGGACTTCCCTTCCTGCATTCAGAATGTGTGTGCAGGTCATTATTCATCAACACATGTCAAGATAAAACATACAGAGCTCTTCTTGGAAGGGCTGGGTTTGGTCCATCTCAAATGACACTTTTGTCACCTCCATAAATTCCAAGATGGAATGTCAGTCCACTGGGGTTGTTATAGACGGCTAGGCTAGACTAGGCAGTCCGGGGCGGGGAGGGGAGTTAAGTAGGTAAGTGTTCTTCCTTCCACGAGGCTGTCTTGTTGAGGTCATTTCTGCCTGAGTGTGACACAGTCCTCTGTAAATATACCTGTAAGGAACGTTTTCCTTGCAAGATACAACAGGTCTCCGTTTTTTTCCCGATTTCAACACGTGTGTTCTGAGTGTGAACTCGGTCACAGAAAGGGGCCAATGAGTACCTAGTGTAATGCTGCTGCTGGTTTTGGAAGCCTTCTGCCTCCCCCCACCCATCCTGTCCCATCTGGGGCTGTCTCAACCGAAATGAAAACTGCCACAAGGAGAAGACAGCGAGCAGAAGCCACAGGGGTACAAGAAACAGAAGTCTGGGGTTGGGGGGGTAACACTTTCCAGGACGGGGCGTGGTTGCTGAGGTGCTTCTGTTCTTTGATCAGGGGACACGGGGGAAGAACCTCCAGGTTGGCTGCTCCCAAGTCAGCTGCAGCCCTGCCCCATCTGCAGTCATTCCTGGACAGGTGCCAGAGAGGGAGACGAACAGAGACAGAGACAGACAGAGAGGACAGCATTTTGCTGCATATTTTTACACTTACCCCCTAAAGACTAAGATTGAAGTCAAATTAAAATTTGTCTAACTAAAGGATTTTCAAAAGGATTAAGAGAGATTCTATGACACTGAATCAATTGATCCCTGCTGTGGTCAGAACGTTTGTAGTCCCCAAAATTCAGATGTTGAAACCTAATCACCAAGGTGATAGTATTAGAAGGTGGGGCCTCTGGAAAGGCTCCACCCTTAGGAAAGTCATCAGTGCCTCAGAAAAGAGGCCCCAGAGAGCTGCCTGCCCTTTCCACCCCATGAGAACAGGTGGAAGGCGCCATCTATGAGGAATGGCCCTCCCCAGACTCCAAATCTGCTGGCACCTTGATCTTGGACTTCCCAGCCTCCGGAACTGTGAACAATACATTCCTGTTGTTTATAAAGTACCCAGTCTAAGGTATTTTGTTACAGCAGCCCCAGTGGACTAAGACAGTCCCCTTCCCTTGCCCCAGCTTATTCTGAGTTCTCCTAAATCGCTAAAAAAAGAACCAGTTTAAGAATTGAATTCTTTTTCACTTTGTGCTTAGATATGTCTTAGAAGTACCATTATGGAAGAAAAATGCTCTATTTCTCCCCACCGCCCCCCCGAAAAAAAAAAGTCAAGCAGAAACCAGATAATATGTCATCTTAAATACAGTCTGAGCAACTTCTAAGGCTTCTATATAAAGCCACGCACTTCCAAAATTCAGTAAGATTTAATGGATAACAGACTACTATCAAACTAGCAAGCATTTTTCTTATGCTTTACATGAGAAAACATAATAATAAAAATGTATATAAAGACTTTAATAGAAAAAAGCTAGTGAGTTATAGGTAAAAACACGAATAACATTTTCTGAAAATGTCAGTTACTTTGCATTCTGAAGTGATCCTTTTGAACATGAAAACAAGGGGGAAATGTACATATAGTCAAAGATATTTATTCCTTGTAAGGTCTATAAATATCAACATGAGCACAAAAAACAGTGAGACCAATTTTTAGAGAAAAACAAAGCAAAAGGGACAGCTAGTCAGTTCTTGGAGGCTCCTCTCCAGCAGGGCATGAAGCACGCAAACATTCTGCCCACGTTTTGGTAACTGCCAGTGTCATTGGCAGATTGACCCCTGCCAGCTCATCTGTGAAGTGTGATAAATATATTGCTGCAGACCCACAGAATGATCCAGGTGTGGCGGGAAAGTCAGTTCAATATTAATCGAGCCTGTTAACCTCCATTCAGACTTTTCATTTTGTCCTTTTGGTGGTGGAGATGACCCAGCACCGCCCCTGGAGCCTGCTGTGTGTGAGCTCCTGGCACAACCTGGCATCTATTGGCTCGGGAGCTGCAACGTGTCCTCCGCACCCGGCACTGCCCTCACATAATATTCCACGCAGGCTGCTCCCTTGCTCTGGATTCTGGGATAACCATCCTGCACGGATCCAGAGTTGGTGCCTACATACCAGAGGTAGATCTCCATCCACAGGGGCCACACGCACCATCTAACACCAAGCACTGCACAAGGCTGCATGGCTTAGGGTCCACCTGCCTCCCTTTCCTAAAGATGTATGTTCCGGAGCACACACACACTCGAATTAAAGCCTTTAGCAACAGTAAGTGGCTTTAACTCCAAGCTCATTCCACCCTTCAGCTTTGTTTTTTATTGAGAATGAAGCTAATTTCAAATTTGTCTCTAATTTAGAGCTTGTAACTAAGCCTCCTTTATTCATTCTTTGGAAGGGAAGACTTTGTTCAGAATCTGTGCTTCTGATCAACCGCTGTCTTTGCTGCACGATGAAGGCAAGAGGAGAAGCTGACCAGCAGTGACCAGGAGTGACCAGGACAGGGCCAGACGCCTCCGTCACCAGGCAGGACACTGAGTGGGCAGCCAGCCTCACCTCCTAGAGCAGGCCAGAACTGTGGTGCTCCCCTGTCAACAGTGACATGCCCTTCCTAAGGGGAGGTCTGTATCCTCTGGGTGCCGTGATGAAGAGATGTCACACTATTAGTGACTCCCGTGGAGTCGGAAACACAGGACCCCAAATGAACAACGTCTGGAACCAGGGGAATCTCCCAACTGGTTTCAACTGCCCCAGACGGCTGTGCTCAAGACACAGAGCTTCTGCTTCCTAAAGCCAGAGCAATCACACATAGTCTCCTAGGATAAGAGAAAACCAAGTGTCCAAAAAAAAAAAAAAAAAGTCATAAGAAATATCAGGAAATCATGACCCACTGGTCAATGGCATCCAAAGAATGTGTTCTTGAGAAAA
This sequence comes from Homo sapiens, assembly GCF_000001405.40. Taxonomy (NCBI): domain Eukaryota; kingdom Metazoa; phylum Chordata; class Mammalia; order Primates; family Hominidae; genus Homo; species Homo sapiens. The sequence goes on along the minus strand of NC_000010.11, from coordinate 127,405,372 downwards.
TGTATAAACAATTCTATGGTAGGCCAGGCAGCACTATTAATATTTATGTAACTTCTCCTTTGGCCTCATGTGAATACTGGGAAATGGGCACCTGGCAGGTGATCACGGTTACTGCTTCAATTACATGTCTGAAAGCACATGCCTGTCTCAGGGATGGAGCCTGGTTTGGAGTTTCTAGCACCGTGGCCATACAGATCCATTTCCAATTTCCCATATAATTAAAAACATACATCTTCATAGCAGCACATTGGGCGGGGACAACCCAAATGTTCATCAGTGGATCAATGAATAAATAAAATGTGGCCTCTCCATGCAATGAAATACCATTCAGCCTCAAAAAGGATAAAGTTCTGACACATGCTACAACCTGGATGAAACTGGAAGACATTCGGCCGAGTGAAACAAGCCAAACACAGAAGGGCGAACACTGTACAATTCCACTAATACAAGGTCCCTACAACAGTCAGATTCATAGAGACACAAAGTAGAACGGTGGCTGCTGGGGCTGGCAGGAGGGAGAATGGGGAGTTCGTGTTTAATGGATGCAGAATCTCAGTTTTGCAAGATGAAAAAGTTCTGAAGGTAGATGGTGGTGCTGGCCGCACAACAACGTGACTGTATTAATGCCACCGAACTACACACCTAAAAATGGCTAAGATGGCAAATAGTATCACATATCATATATCACACCTCAATTAAAATAATACGTGTAAATCTCTGAAGGAGGGTCCTTTTACGGAAAAATCAGATAGAAAGGTTATATGCAACCAAATAAAATCCTGTCAACCCCTCTCTGCCCCCCGGGCTAACCACCGAGCTATGGCAGTGTAGAGAGTTGCACGATCCCACGCGGATGCAAACTCCCCACCCTTCCTCAGAACGGGAAGGGGATTTTCTGCTGGGGGAACAATCATGGCTCAGATTAGGCAGAACCAAACTTTACCCGCAGGAATGTGGGGAACCCTTGTCCGTAGTAGCCAACAGCAAAATAGTCAGGCTTGGGCCTGATCACTTTGACGATGTTTTCATAAAACTGAGCCTGTTTTTTCTGGAAGGAAAAAAGAAAATGCATTTCAGGTTTGAGTATTCAAGCATGTGTGCCTCTGGATTCTTCTTGCGGGCTCTTTAAAAGCTCTGGCAACTTCTATAGGGTGGGAGGGGGAGATGGTGGGAGAGGGAGATGGTGGGAGAGGGTACTGAGGCTTGCACCTGAATTTCATCTCACTCCATCGTTTTGACATTATTTTTCACTCATTCTCCATCATTCCGCAAGGGAATCTGAACCAACTAGCCCAAATTCAGCAAAAAGTTGTGACTTATGGGTGTTTTCAATAACCAAAGAAGTGCCATAGAAATGGCTGGCCCTTAGTATTTTTTAAAAGGTATAGGTCAGATAGTGGGATACGTTCAAAGAGAATTTAAAGGAACAGAATCGTTCTGTTCTAAATTCATGACAGACATTCCCACATCATTAAGGTGATCTGCTGAATACAAAAATGACAAGGTGGAGGAGGTAGCAATTAGAAACTAACAGCATTCCCATGGCAGAAGAAAGGTCTGGTCATTATCTATCCATCCCTCTCTCATAGAAGGGGTCAGGTTTTTTTGTTTTTTGAGACGGACTCTCACTCTGTTGCCCAGGCTGGAGTGCATTGGCGCGATCTCAGCTCACTGCAACTTCCACCTCCTGGGTTCAAGCGATTCTCCAGCCTCAGCCTCCCAAGTAGCCAGGACTACAGGCGTGTGCTACCACGCCCGGCTACTTTGTTGTATTTTTAGTAGAGATGGGGTTTCACCGTGTTAGCCAGGATGGTCTTGATCTCCTGACCTCGTGATCCGCCTGCCTTAGCCTCCCAAAGTGCTGGGATTACAGGCGTGAGCCAGTGCGCCTGGCCTGGGGTCAGTTTTAAACTAGTACAAATGTTCACAGACTCCTGGGCTGTCAAGACCGCTATACACAAGGTCAGCAGTTGTTTACGTACAATTTATTCATAGAAGCCTTAAGAGTTTGGTTATAAGAGCTGACTTGGGACTAAAAAGTAAATATTTATGGGCCAAATATCAACCAGCAAATTAACTAAAACCATCTTCCTAGGCAAAACGGAGGGACATGGCCAAGGTCCCAGAGTGCCTGGGGTGAACCCTAACATTGACATGGAAAGAGAGATTCCTGAAAAACCAGCTGAGATTGCCTGTGTTCATTTAAATAAAAAGAAATAAAGACTCACCAGCAATTCGCTGAGTTGCTCATAATCAAACATTTCGTTCTCATACTGCTCGGCTAGCTCCTTGCCCAAGGCAATGGCCTCCTCCCACATCTGTGAGTTAAAATAAAGAAAAGAAAGAGAAGCCGAGGCCTGAATTGTGCAAAGAGTCAAACAGGAATGCAATCATTCAAAATAAAACAGTGTAGAAGTACATTTGAATGAAACATTATGGGAATAACACCGAAAAAATACAAATATTTTCTTGAGTCTCATGTCTTTTGGCTCGTGACCTGCGGCATCAGCTGGCCAAAGAGGTCAATCACTGGCATGTCAATCACGCAGGCCTCTGGCCATGGTAACAGCAGTCTGTCAGCCAGTCCTCACTGCTCCTGTCTTTGCTCTCCTGCTGCCAGCTGTGGCCCGAAGCCCGTCTGTCGGAGCAGCCTTGGAGCCAGGGAAAAGGAACCGTAGGGTGAAGAGAGGCTGTGGGGTGCCATTTATGTAGAAACTGGGCGCCTGACTTGGCTCTTTTCCCAAGCTGTCCACCTAAAAAATGCTATGTCGAATATCACCAATGATCAGAAATAACAGGGCAGACTTCGACTCTAAACTAAAGCTTGCAGAAAGTTTGATGTATGTGTGTGACTATGCTATGGATATAAAGCCTGTTATCATTTTGAAAAGGGGGAACTTTGTAAGGTAAGTAACTTTCCAAATAAGTGATTAAAATGTTGATAAGCTTTTGACACATGTGGAATAATTTTTTGATAGATAGTTGGCCTGAATTTCCCTTATTTTTCTTGGGAAAAACAAAGCGGATTACTGGAGAAAACCATGGAAAAGTAAGAGGAACCACCTCTTCCAGGAAGCCTTCCTAGCTGCCGCCCACTCTCCTCCTCTGTGCTCCCACAAAGACCCAGGATCCTGCTGCCTCAAAACTTTTGGTAAGGTACTGAAACTAGCATGACCCTTTGTCATTCCTCCTCAGAGAATATAAGCCCTTGAGGACAGGGGCTCAGCTTTATCAACCTGTAAAACCTCTGGACCTTAATCCAGGGCCTGCTTAACAAGGTTTAGTGAACAGAACTGCAGGATGCTGAGTTACAATCAGGAAAGCTTCCTATATGCTGCATTCAACTTCCATCATTCCCACAAGACGGTAGCGCCAGTCCTGAGGGGAACCACGCAGCTTTGGAACCACCCAACAGGCCAGGCTTTCTAGGCCGCGAATCTAGACTACCCTTGGCACTGAGCCCCCACCCGCCTGCTGCACAAAAAAAGATCAAGGCATTGCAGTAAAGAAAGAGTTTAATTGACATAAGGCCAGCCATGCTGTTACAGCAGGTAGCTAGTCAGGCATGAGCGGGGCAGGAGAGGGCTGTCCTGACACCCTACCAGGAAAGTCAGGTGACCGTCAGATGATGGTCAGGCAGGTGTACACTGTCTCTCTAAAATAATAATTGGTCACAGACAGTGCCAGGGAAAGGCAGTTTCCCAAGAGCTAGAAACACAAGCTGGTGATCAGCAGCTTCCTGATAAGATCTCAGGAGCTGGGTGAGTGGGCCCAAGCATGTGAATTGAGAGGCAAAATGGCGGAGTTTAACTGGTAACCTTCCAGGGGCATTCCACCGGAAAAGGGGTGCACGACGCTGGAAGTAGGCCAGCATATCAAACCCTAAGTCCAAGGTCAAATGGGGCACTTGACCTCCAAGATGTCTGCTTGGCCCTCTTCCAAGTGTACTTTCTTTTCATTCCTGCTCTAAAACTTTTTAATAAACTTTCACTCCTGCTCTGAAACTTGCCTCGGTCTCTTCTTCTGCGTTATGCCCCTCAATCGAATTCCTTCTTCTGACAAGGTGAGAACTGAGGTTGCTGCAGAGCTATACAGATTTGCGGCCAGTAACACCGCCACGTGGGAGACGGTGTCATTACTCAAATCAATCTCCCCAAAGGTTCCTAGGGGAGGGGCTTTTCAAAGGCAGTTTGGGAGAAGGGGTGGTGGCGGCCAGGTAATGGATGCTTGCTGCTGATGAAATCACAGGGGGTCAGAGCTGTCCTCTTGAGCTGAGTTGCTTCTAGGTGGGCCATAGGAGTGGGGCTGGTGGTCTGGGTAGAGCCAGGTGTCAGACATGCAAAAAACCTGAAAAGATCTCAAAAGGCTCATCTACGATAGTGAAGTTGTATATTTTGTGAGCAGTCTACACCTTAGCAGAATTCAGGTTTCTCCCCTCTTCCTAGCCTGATGGCCTTTCATTAGCTTTATCAAGGCAGCTGAGTTTTAGGGAAGGCCTATTATCATTTAAACCTTAAACTAGAGGTCTCCCAAAGTTGGCTTAGCCAAAGCCCAGGAATGATTACAGGAGAGGCATGACTGGGGGTGGGAGGTGGGTGAGGATTTAGATCAGATCTCTTTTACTGCCATCATTTCCTCACTGTTAATTTTTTTTGCAAAGGTGATTTTGGCTTTTCCCAGCTTACTCTATGTCCAGCCACCTGTGCTCTCCGGTTTAAGGCCTCCAATCACCTTGTCAGGTGGGCATCTGCATTATACCCATTTTGCAGATAAGGAATCTAGGGATCAGACTGGTAAGTAGCTTGCCAAGGACACACAGCAGATAAGCGGTGGGCTTGACCCAGCGTGGCCTTTTTGAAAGTCCTTGCTCCTGATGGCCACATAGCAGCACTTCCAAGCTGCTTCCCCACCTCCTGCCAGGATGGATTTGAAAAGAGTCCAGGCTGGCCTTGAACTGCAGGTTCCCACAGGGGAGGCAGACTGCCAAGCCCCAGACCTGGGTCACCCATGGCACTGAGCCCCCACCCGCTCACTGGCCTTTGCCTTTCCTTTCCAGGATGACCCCACTGAAGTCCTCACTCACTTCAGAGCCACCCAATAAACTTAAGAACACTGTTTTACTTAAATGCTCCCAAAGTACTCTTGTCATAGCCACGACGTAAAGAAACCATCTGCTTTTTTTTTTTTTTGATGAGAGTAAAAGTTATTCTACAATCAGAGCTGCATTTTAATACTTTGAATAACAAAATAAAAGTAAGCCCAAAGAAGACAAAGGTTTCAGAGCTGGGACCAGTGTCCAGGGAGGGTAGGAGGTGGCCCAAGACATCCTGCCTACGGTCCCTGCTCTGCTACCTGGTCCCTTCCCAGAGTCCCCATCTGTCTGTCTCCCCCATCCTGCTGAAGGTTTAAAGTTGCCTCCCATTCCTGGAATATCTCAGTCTGCTGCTCTAAGTCTTTCGTATGTCCTCTGCCAGAGCCCCGGCTCACATTTTCTAGGAAGGGAGAACTTCCCTACTTTTAACGTTTTTTTAAAGCTCCAGTGACCACTTCCTCTCTGAGCAGATTTCCATTTCAAAGAGAACATTACCTTTCCTTGTAGGTCTCTTACACTGGATTCTTCTTCTTATTTTTTTTTAAATTTTCTGCAAGCGGATACAAACTCTGTAGCTGCCTAGAATGCCAGGGCTTCTAATTCATTCCTGAGTAAAAGCCTAATCTGTTTTTATCCTAAATGACAGAGAAGATACTTTAGATACATATCAAAAGTAATTGTTTTTAAAAGAAATACAAGTCATGAGTAAATATCTTCTCAGACTCACCCTCAGGTTGCATGGTGGTATCTTCTATCAGATTTCCTATAAATATATATCTCTCATCCCTCCCTGCTACCCCTGGCATGTTCTAAAGGACTCTGCATTAAGGAGATTTTCATCTACTTTTAATTGGATGGGGCTTTAAAGAGAGTGTGGGTAATTCATACTTCCAACGTGAATACCTTGGAAAATGTTTCCGTGCCAGAGAGAAGGCAGATTCAATATGATCTAGATTTAGATTATCTCAGTGAAAGAATCACTTTAACCTCTGCGATTGAACACCCTGGTTTGGCTCCGTTCTCAGAAGTGCTACAGGCTTATGAGGTTTGCCACAGCCCCAAATGAAAAAGCCCCATATCAGCAGAAAGCTTTATTTTCTGATGCGAAATCCTTAATCCAATTTACGGCATTCTTGAAATTGCCGGTTGACTTGCAGCACGGAGCACGGTCTCCCCACCCTGCTTTCCCCCAGATGATACGAGACGTGTTCTCTTGAGATGATAATCTTCTCTCTATTCTTCTGAACCTCTTGGTTTCAGGAAGTTCCATTTCTTCAAGTTCCATGAATAGAAACTTGAATAAAAATTTTCTTTTATAATAAAGCTCCTTCCTTAGTTCCCAGACAGAAGCAGCTGTAGAGAACACAGCAGGAATTGATTTCTTACCCATGAGGTGATGTTGACAATTCTGATAGGATGACAACACGGATGTCACAGGACAAGGGAACAGCAGCAGATGAAAGGAAAGATGCCAGCCGGGACAGCCATCCCTTTCTAATAATTCAGGCTGGCGATGACTCACCAGGATACTGGTGGGCGACTCTGGTTTCATTTGCTGACTAGCTGTAAGTAACTCACCAGTGGAGATACCTCACAGGATGCTTGAATTTCAGACATTCTTCTAAAATTCATCTGTTCTGTTTTTTCACAGCAGTTATTGGGAAAAGAGTCATACTCAATTACCTTCTGAATTTCCAGAGTCCCACACAGGTCTCTGACATCAAAATGGATTAAAATCACTGGTGCGGAAGAATCTGGAACTCTGGGGGAGGTCCCTCAGCAGCACAGGAGCCAGGGAGGCCCAGGACTAGCAGGAGGCTGCGTTCAGTCCGTTCTTTGCTCAATGCGTGCTGAGTGACAGCATCCCTTCCAGGTGTGGGGCTGGCGGCCCTGGTGAGGTGGGCCTGGATGATTCCAAGGGCCCAGCTAGTCTTGGTGTTGCCTGCAACTACGCTGCAAGGAATGGAGACCCTTTGCAAGCATCACCACTCTCTCCAGGCCCCTCGCTTTTTCCTTGAGCCAAGCCTCATCCTTGGTCCTCCTGGAGTGCTCAACCGGCACTGACTGATGTGGGTGCAGGATTGACTTTTTGCAAAGACCTTTCTGACACAGACTCAGGCCTGATTCCCTGCACCAGCAAAGACGGTCTGCAGCTCAAAGCTGACTGATCTTGCAGTAATGATGCCAAAGTCACCCCAAGTGTGCACAAGATGGATCAGCCACTTCAATGTCATACTGGAGCCACTGCATGTCACACAGGAGCCCCATCACACGGGAACCTCTGCCTTGCCAAATCGGAGTCACTGTTGTGTAATACAGGAGTCGCTTCCTGTGTCATCCAGGAGCCACTATTTGTGTCATCCAGGAGCCATGACCCATGTCATAGAGGAGTCACTGCCCAGGACATGCAGCACCCACTACCCAGGACATGCACAGGTCACACAGGAGTCGCTGCCCGGGTCATACAGGAGTCACTGCCCGTGTCATACAGGAGTCACTGCCCGTGTCATACAGGAGTCGCTGCCCGTGTCATACAGGAGTCGCTGCCCGGGTCACACAGGAGTCGCTGCCCGGGTCATAGAGGAGCTACTACCTGTGTCATGCAGGAGACGCTGCTGAGATCACATAGGAGTCGCTGCCCGTGTAACTCATGCTCAGATCACATAGGAGACGCTGCCCGTGTAACTCATGCTCAGATCACAAAGGACACACTGCCCATGTAACTCATGCTCAGATCACATAGGAGACACCGCCCGTGTAACTCATGCTCAGATCACATAGGAGTTGCTGCCCGTGTAACTCATGCTCAGATCACATAGGAGACACTGCCCTTGTAACTCATGCTCAGATCACATAGGAGTCGCTGCCCATGTAACTCATGCTCAGATCACATAGGAGACACTGCCCGTGTAACTCATGCTCAGATCACATAGGAGACACCGCCCGTGTAACTCATGCTCAGATCACATAGGAGTTGCCGCCCGTGTAACTCATGCTCAGATCACATAGGAGTCGCCGCCCGTGTAACTCATGCTCAGATCACATAGGAGTCGCTGCCCGTGTAACTGATGCTCAGATCACAGGAGACGCTGCCCGTGTAACTCATGCTCAGATCACATAGGAGTCGCTGCCCGTGTAACTGATGCTCAGATCACATAGGAGACACCGCCCGTGTAACTGATGCTCAGATCACATAGGAGTCGCTGCCCGTGTAACTCATGCTCAGATCACATAGGAGTCGCCGCCCGTGTAACTCATGCTCAGATCACATAGGAGTCGCTGCCCGTGTAACTGATGCTCAGATCACAGGAGACGCTGCCCGTGTAACTCATGCTCAGATCACATAGGAGTCGCTGCCCGTGTAACTCATGCTCAGATCACATAGGAGTCACTGCCCGGGTCACTTATGTTCATCAACATGTCTCCTTTATTCCACGGCAAGTCCTTATTAGTCAAAACAGAAAACTACTCACTGAGCTTGTAATGCCCTAGATAAAAAAATGAAGATTTTTTTTTTTTTTTTTTTGTAACAGAGATATGACATTTTTTCTTTAGGCCAGGACATTTGTAGTTTTGCAAAGAAAGACCTTGAAAAGACTAAAGCAGGCAGCAAGAGATACAGTTGCCTCTTGCTCGGTGCTTTAACTGGACAGAAAGAGACACCGTGCTGCTCACTCCTGCCTTCCACAGGCAGCTACTGGCCACTGGTGAGGGAGTGGACTCCAGAGACAACAGGAGGAGAGGAACAGCAAGTGCAGACCATCCTTTACGGAGTGTTGTAGAAAGAGGAGGAGAAATGGGCAGTGGCTGGACAGGGGAGTTGGAACAAGAAAGAACTCTTCTTAAAGGTGAGAGCAATAATGGCATGGTTGCAGGTGGGAGGGTGGGAGCTGACAGAGAACAACACATGGGTGCTGCAAAGGGAGAGTGCAGACTTGCTGGTGAGATGTCCTGGGATAGGGGGATCCAGGGCACAGGCTGGGGAGTCAACAAACATCACTGCAGCTGTGACCTGGCCCAGGACTCTCTATGCACCCAGCATCACTGCAGCTGTGAACTGGCCCAGGATTCTTGAATGCAGCCAGCATCACTGCAGCCGTAACCTGGCCCGGGATTCTTGAATGCAGCCAGCATCACTGCAGCTGTGACCTAGCCCAGGACTCTCTATACACCCAGCATCACTGCAGCTGTGAACTGGCCCAGGGCTCTCTATGCACCCAGCATCACTGCAGCTGTGACCCTGCTCATTTCTCCCTTTCCTTGACACCCTCCATTAAATGCCCTGCACAGGACTGCTCAGTGTGCACCCTCGCTGCCTTGCTCAATGCTGAAAGGATGAAAGGACCTCCATCTGCTCTCTGCAGCAAGTGAAGCATTCCCTTCCTACATCTTCCTCCCGGCAAGAACTCTTGGCTTCTAGGCCAGTGGGTGCCCCAGCCACCCCTGGCACTTGCTTTTCTGGCTTTAACCCTGTTCAAGGGTCTTTGACACTGTGGAATCTGCTAACTTGAAGTCTCATGACATCACTTCCATCTGCCACTGGCTTTATGGGGCTCAGGCCTGGCCCAATGCCCCACCCCTCGTCTCGTCTCTGGCTCCCACCCTCCCTCCTCTAAGTCTGCTGCCACCATGTTGCCAGAATTACCCCCTGAAAAGAGGAAAATGAAATCATTATTTTCTACTTTCACGAAATTTCCATTGGGTCCTTGTAAGCCAAATCTTCAGGAGACAATACAGGGCCACTGACAAACTAGCTCCAATGTCTTTGCTATGCTCTGAATATTTGTGTCTCCCTCAAATTCACGGGTTGAAATCCTCACCTTCAAGGTGTTGGCATTAGGAGATGAGGCCTTCGAAGGTGATTAGGTCATGACGGTGGAGCCCTCATGAATGGGATGAGTGGCCTCAAAACAGAGGCCCGGAAGAGCGCCGCCACACCTGCCAGGACATGACTACTCAGAGAAGGCACTACTTATGTGGAGCAGGCAGAGGGCCCTCTCCAGACACCAAATCTGTGAGTGCCTTGATCTAGGAATTCCCAGGTCCAGAATGGTGAGAAATGAATCTGTGGTTTATAAACCACCCAGTCTGTGGCATTTTGTTATAGGAGCATGAAGGGACGAAGACAGTCCCCTGCACTGCTATCTCCCAGAATGGCTCTACTTCCCCGGAAAAGCGAGATGTCATCAGGAGCTCTTCCCCTTCTGGCGCTATTCTCACACTCTGAAATTCCTGTTCCTCCCAGCCATCATCTGGCAAACTTAATTTTACTCTTCAAGAAGCACGAAATGTAACCACCTCTGTGAAGTCTTCTCTAGCTCTCCAAAAGAAGGCATCACTCCTGCACCTGTGGGATAGGGAGACCCAGCGCCCACCTGTGTGATGGGCGGAAGGTGGGTTTTGTTATTTATCTGCTCATATGAGAGCCCTGATGCTAGAATCGCCTCGAGGTGGGCCTGGCTCCATCTCGGTATTTCACGGCGCAGGACGGCACTGGGCACACTGTGGGCTTTGGGTGGAAAAGCTTGTTAGTGATCCCACATAAGCTAAGGGAGCATTGTTGTTACTGACTCGAAAATGGACTTTCTCATGCTTTGATGATCAATTACTGCATAGGAGCAAATCATAATGAACATATGATCTCTTTGAATATTCAGGCCAAATTCTGGCTGAATAGGTTCTGCTAATATCACATTTTCAAAAATTCTAGAAATGCCAACAAGAAACCCATATGAGGGCTTCATTATGTTGACCTGCAGTCCCTCTTAATAACAACTGTGTTTCCAAAGGGAAACTTAGAAGATGTGAAAATTTCACCCCAAATACTTGGAAAAGAGATGCAAACATTTGACCAAAAATGGAAATTTGCTCCAAACTCCTATTTTTAGTTTACACAATGATGTAAAACGCTTTTTTTTTTTTTTTTTTACATTGGTGCAAGGCAAAGTGTGAACTTTGTCAAGGGAAGGTTATTTTAAGGGAAAATACAACAGAGCTCCAGCTGAAAATAGTCACAGGGCTTCATATATCACTTGGGCTACAAATTATGTATCGCATTTGTCAACCTGCCAGGCTGTTTCTTGATTTCAGAGGTGGCTGGTGTTGGCTAATACTGACTGTCTCACTCTGACTGCATCTTCCTCATAGAAGGACTTCTATTTTTGACCCTCATCCTCCACAGAGAAGCCTGGTAATTTTCAGTCAAGTACTTGGATTAAGGGCTTTATCGAAAATTACTAGGCCTCAACCAAACACAATAAGACAGACAATTCAGAGCATCTTCAGAAAAGAACACTGGTCTGCCATGATAAAACCAAACAGAAGGCTTTTGGGGCACACTCAGGCGGGCGGCAAGAATGGAATGGAAAAAGAGCAAGGAGTCATTATTAGCTCGGGAAGGAGGAAACGTAAAAGAATGAAAATGGAAACAGATGGAAATGACATTTTGCAGAGAGAAAGAAAAAGATTAAGAAACCAAGAGCTAGGCTGAAAGACATTCAAAACTTTAAAAAACGGTGGAAAGGCAAAAACAGAAGAATGATTCCGTGGGGAAGAAATACAGAAAGATAACAGAACATCATTCAAAAGCCCGTGTCCAATATAAAACAGCAGCAAATCCATTTTGCCTTGCTGGTTTCCAAGCACAAAGGCAGAGAAACTTTAATATCACCCGATTCCCGTCTCTCCCTGCCCCCGCCCACTCTCCCGGGGAGCACAGAGAGATGCCATCGCAGGGGGCCTGGGATGGGGACCCCTGCTCCCTTAACAGCCTGCTCAGCCTTGTCCAGAGGCAAGCTTGTCCTGGATTCTGGAAGCCCCTATTTCCCGTAGGAAGCTGTAGACATTTCAAACAGTGAATGAGCTCTAGGGTGTATATCCTTCCCACAGAGTAAGTACGTAATGAAGATTTCCTTAATTGCATATGGAAATGGGCCACGAGGAGACAGGCTGGATCAGTGGAGCTGTAGCCGGGTCATGGTTTTGCCAGACTGACGTCCCACCTGGCTTCCATTTTATCATCTTGCAAGCCCCGGTAATCACTGGTCTCCAAGCTTAACTGAGGTCTTAAGTCTCCTTACCCCAATACATTTGTAAAACTGGAATTGCGTTGTTTCCCCTAAAATGAAATACATGTAAGATCGAACCAAGGAAATTCTTGTAAACACTCCAAGGGCTGTGGGCACACGCTCAGGACGTGAGCCTGGTGCACGTGGCGCTCTCAGTCAGGTCGGTAAGTTCTGTGGATGCTGACGGCCCTCCCTGCATGCTTGTCTGCCCGTTCGGTCACTTAATAAACTGCTGTAGTCATTTGGACGGAAGATTGTTATTTTTAACATACAAGATTCTAGACAGGAAAATCCAGCCCTGCTCTTGCAAGAATTTGTCTCCGTCTGATCCATAACCTTTGCAGTGAATGTCGTGCTAAAGTCAAGTTAGTGTTAGCCTTGGGAAAGGAGCACACTGACAAAACCCAACTGTGATGCGGCACGTGGCAGAGTGGGGTGGGATCTGCCCCCGACCCGGCGCTGGGGGTGGGGAGGTGGGAGGCATGGCCTTTCGCTCTCCCAGGGGCTCAGTCTGAGTCAGGATGCAAGATCCGTTAACAAACAAAATATGCCCCAAATAAGGAACTTTGTGGAAAGTCTGGGTGACGGCCACCTTCTTGATTGTGTGCTGTTTGCTCAAGTGCTGGCCAGAATGTGCTCAACTCACTAACAAATGACCACCCTGAAAGCCCCGTGCCTGTGTATGTGTGTGGGCAGGGGGTGTCTGGGACCTGGCTGTACTCACTGTTCCATGTTGCTGTGAGCCTAAAACCACTCTTAAAAAGCTATTTAAAAAAATGGAGTGGAGCCCAGGCCACGGCACAGCTCCCTCAGAGGGAGATCCAGAGGTGGCAGCCACAGCCACTGCCTCTGCTCTCAGGAGCTTAAGTCAGCACAGGCCCTGGGGACTCAGGGATGGTCCCTGGAGCAGCTGGGACATCACCTGGGAGCTTCTCAGAAATGCAGAGCCTCGAGGCCCACCCCAGACCAGCTGAATCAAAATCTGGATTTTAACAAGATTCGCCGGTGAACTCCAAAAGCCACGAAAGTTTGAGAGCAGTGAAATATGCCCAGAAGGCAGGAAGGCAGCTGTCATGGCAGCCGTCACACGAGACAGCAGCAAGAAGCAGCCGGTCCACGCCGGGGCAGACCATGGGAAGGTGCAAGGGCTTGGGGAACAGAGGGCATGTTCAGAAGGCCAGATGCTGTGGGTGATGAGAGGGTACATCTGGAGGCTCGATTCCTACTCTAAGGGGCCTCATGCCAGGTGAGAGGCCTGGATCGCCTGCAGAGGAGATGGGAGAATCCCTGAGGTTTGGGCATCTTTGAAGCAGTTCACGCTGTGATCCAGAGGCCACTTTATTAGAAACCAGACTGCTATCTATCTGCAGGAGCGGAAGGGTGGAGACAGGCATGGGGCCTTGGGGAGGAGAGTGGGTAGGGATCTCAGACAGACCCAGGTGAGAGGGACCGAGAGCTTACAAGGAGACACAAAGTGAACTGGATCTAGCAGCAGGGCTTCTGCCCAGAGGCCCGAGTTGTTCAGAAGTGGCCCAGGTAGAAGTGGGTCAAGATGGTGCAGATCTTAGAGCCAGTCTGTCAGCGGGGAAGGCTCGCTATTCCCTAAGGCACGTGCATAGACAGATCCTGAGGAGCAAACGTGACTTATCCTTGCTAAGCCCGGGAAATGAAAAATGAGATTATAATGGGATTTATCCAAAGCACAAATGAAAACAACATCACCGAGGCGCATAATTCTAAATTTTAATAATAAAATAGGTATCGGAAAACTCTGTCTTGCTCCAACAAGAAGATGCTGCTTTTTCTTGATTTCTTACACCTTATCTTGGCAGCTGCCTGTTTCTACCTCTCTCCTATTTGCCTCATCTGTATTTCCTTAAGGGCCATGTGAGAACTCCCAAGTCACCCTTCCCTCCAGGTTCCCGCTGGTAACTGCCGTAGTCTTGACAGCTGTTTCACCACTACAGAAATGAAATTGAGTCACAGGAAAAAAACATCATATCTTGGTGCTTGTGATCATGCTTTTTTCCTTGCCATTTCGACATACATTTTATTCTTTCCAGACTTGAGTCCCCATTTTGTAACTCTTTCAGAAATATTTTCGCTGTTTAAATATTCCTGTAGTCTAAGGAGTAGATACCAACAGGCAGGCAGGCAATTCTACTGCCTGTGAGGCCCCACAGGACAGTGGGCAGCTTCCGCTTCCCAGCCGCATGTGGGCGGCAGTGCTGGTCTGACGATGTTCTTGGCGCTCAACAAGAGCAAAGTCTTTGACTCAGAGCAGCACCGTCCAACAGGAACCACCGTCCAATAGGAGCCACATCCGTGAATGTTGCATTTCCTAGCTGCTACCTTTTAAAGAGTAAAATTAATTGTAGTAATATTGACTCTATCTAAAATATTACTATTTCAACATGAAATCTATACAAACAAATGAATGAGACACCTGGTATTGGTATTAGTTTGCCAGGGCTGCCATAATGAAGCACTGAGTAGGTGCTGGGGGCGTCAAGTCACATTCATTCACTTCCTCACTGTTCTGGAGGCCAGGATTCTGCGATCAAAGTGTCTGCAGGGCTGGTTTCCTCTGAGTCCTCTCTCGTTGGCTTGTAGATGGCTGCCTTCTTGCTGTATCCTCAATATGGTCTTCCCTGTGTGTGTCTGTATCCTAATCCCCCTTCTTATAAGGACACCAGTCAGATTCGATTAGGGCCCACCCTAATGACCTCATTTTACCTTAATTACCTCTTTAAAGACCCTATCTCCAAATATAGCCATATTTTGAAATACTGAAGGTTAGGATTTCAACATAGGAATTTTGGGGGGATGCAACTCAGCCCATAAGAACATTTGTTTTTTTGTACTTGGTCTTAGAAAGATGGTTCACGTGGGCCCAATGGCCGCATGTGGCTCAGGACTCAGTACTGGACAACAGTGAGGGTTAGAGTCCTACCAATTAATTGAGAGTTGGTTTCTCTGGTGCTCAGCTGCTCAGAGGGCTTAAAGAAATATCTGAGACTGAGTAATGTATAAAGAAAAGAGGTTTAATCAGCTCACAGTTCCATAGGCTGTACAGGAAGCATGGCAGCAGCCACTTCTGGGGAGGCGTCAGGGAGCTTATACTCACGGCGGAAGGCAAAGCAGGCACAGGACCGAGAGCAGAAGGCAGGGAGGTCTCACAGCCCCTCTTTTTTTTTTTTGTTTGAGACAGAGTTCCTGTCGCCCAGGCTGGAGTGCAGTGGCTCAATCTCGGCTCACTGCAATCTCCGCCTCCCAGGTTCAAGCGATTCTCATGCCTCAGCCTCCCAAGTAGCTGGGATTACAGGTGCCTGCCACCACGATGGGCTAATTTTTGTATTTTCAGTAGAAACGGGGTTTTGTCATATTGGCCAGGCTGGTCTCAAACTCCTGACCTCAGGTGATCTGCCCCGCCTCAGCCCGAAGTGCTGGGATTACAGGCATGAGCCACCACGCCCGGCCGGTCCCACACACTTTTGAACAACCCAGATCTCACAAGAACTCACTCACTCTCACGACACAGCACCAAGGAGGAAATCCACCCTTATGACCCAATCACCTCCCACCAGGCCCCACCTCCAACATTGGAGATTACAACGACTTCAGATTTGGGCAGGGACCCAGATCGAAACCATATCAGGGCTCCACACCAATCAAGGCCCTCCTTCAAGTTTCCTTGGGCTGTGTCACCTGCCCACTAAGGCCTGTGATGACCTGTGGACCATTTAAAAAGTATTTTTCCCCCAAGATAATTACAGTCTGGGAATGGAGTGTGGAAAGGTGTGCCCTGGGCCCTCCCAACTTCAAGCTTCTCAACCTTCAGCCGTGGCCTTTGTCATTCCACTGCATTTAGGAAAGGCAGGAGGACGTTATTTCTCAAATGATGGCACATCCCCAAAGCAGCCGGGGATACTCAGGCCTCAGCCTTGTTTCTTAAACAAAAGTGATTCTAAGTCCGGCACAAAACATCACACTTCGAGCTTCTACTGTGTGCCCCCTTCCTCCTGCACTGGCCACCTGGTGGGATTCCCCACATCGCAGTCACGGGGGTCAGGAGCCCATTCTCTCAGGCTGCTTCTCCTGCAGGGTTCTGCCTACCTAAGCCCCCTCTTTAACGGAAGAAGGAAACTCCACGACAGAGAAACGAGGATTGAGGCCCAACAAGTTTTATGAGATGTTATTCTCACATCTCTAGTTGTGGGGAAGCCGAGTTATTTGGGAGACTAGTGTGGACGTCGTCTTTCTCAGAATACATGCATACTTAGGGGATTTCTAGATGAACTTTTGTTAATCTAGATTGGATGGTGCCCTTGATTGTTAGACTCACCTGTCTAACAAGCTGTGTGGTGCACGTGGGTGCCGCTCACACTCACCTGCCCCTAAGTGCACTTCTCCACCCCTTGAAGTCTGGGGTGATCATGTGATCTCCTTCAGCCAATGACATGAACACTGTCATTTTGGGGCAGAAGCCCCAGGGCGGGGGACTCTTTGCTGTCCTCTCCGGCTGTGTTCCTCTGTGGCGGAACCTCTGTTCATCTGGGTTCCGAGCCAAAAGGAGGATTCGGAGCATGTGTGAGAAACACACCTGTGCTGTTTGGAGCCATGGAGATTCGGAGAGGTTCAAACTCTAGTGCAGGCCATCCAGATTGTTACGGAAGATGAATTATTTCCTACTGCTCTTTCTCCCAGAAAATGTAATGCTTGTTGATGTTAAAATGAATTTTTTGCCTTGCAGCTGATCACTCAGATACTTCAAATTTCATTTTATCAAATTCTTTCCAGCACCTGTTCTTCATCTTACTTTAGTTTTAGAGGGATAAGGAGGCTTTGTTCCTTTTTAACATTCTCGTGGAAATATTATGGATATTCAGAAGTGGCTTTTCCATCGGTTTTATCAATGCAGCTACTACGAAGAAAATCCTCCTAAAACTCATTCTGATTCAAGGCCAGCCAATGATCACTTTGCCATAGCCTTTGTTCTGTCTCCACCAAAACACAGGGACATCTGAGGACATTCCTTGAGTCTGTTTTGCTTTAGCTGCCCATTCCATTTCATCACTTGAATTCATTTTTTCTAAGGAGGGCTTTCTCAACCTGGACACGACAGGGATTCTGGGCTATTTCTTTGTGGTGTGGGGGCCATGTGTGCACTGCTGGAGGGTTAACAGCACCTTCTCTTCCCCCAGTCAGGAGAACCCACAATGCCTCCTGCAGATCTCAGTTGAGAACCACTGTACTGAACCGAACACATTCGTTTTGCCCCTCCATATGATTTTTTTGATGAACTATCACAATGTAGGAAAAGATATTTGGCTACCTTTGCTAAAAAAAAAAAAAGACTCTGTTTTTTGATTTATCATTTATTGAAGGCCACCTGTCCTGCCATACATGAGCATTTCTCATCTGTCAGGAAGCACTGTTAAATGCTGACTTTTCATTCATTTGTTCATTCTTTCCACACACGTCCATAATGTAATGAGCATGTGCTGTGTGCCAGGCACTGTTCCGAGCATTAGATGCATGGTGGGGAATTGACGCGTGAGGTTCTATCTTCACAGAGCTCAGAGCCTACTGGGGAACTCATTAAAGAAACACACAAGCAAATCTATCATTGCAAATGATAGTGGGTGCCATAAAGGAGAAAAGAGGATGTTTCCGTGGCTGGAGAACAGGTGACATTTAAGCTGAGACAGGAAGGAGTATGCCCAGGGCACTGCAGGGAGACATTCCTTGAGTCCACCATGCACGCGTGGTCCTCTACCACAAAGTAACAGGTAGCCCAGAATGCCAATCATGCCCAGATTGAGAAAGCCTGGCTTAGAAAAAGCTAATTCAAGTGACAAAATGGTACAGGCAGCAAAAGGAAAACTGACTCAAGCAACGTCCTCAAGGCAGTGCAGCAGAAACCCGCTGGGCAGTGGCAGAGAGGGCTGGTGCATTTCAGGACGCAGAAGGGCCAGTGTGGCTGGAATGCAGAGGGCAAGGGAGGGAATGAGGGTGGAGAGGTCGCGGGAGCCAACGCTGGTCAGAGGATGTGCTGCCACAAAGAGAGCCCGGCAACAGCCATCAACAAATGCGCACATTCCTTCAGTCCCGTGACCTCTGGCCCTCGGGCCTCCCGGCCACCCCAGGGTCCCTGCCTCCTGCCCTGCCCTGCCCTGCCCATTCTGTAGCACTGCTCACCCTGGAGCCAAGAAGCCACTGCCGGGAAGGGATGGCTGCATTTGCTCCATTTCTTTACCAGTTTGCTGAGAAACAGGATTCTCCTGGCTAACCTAGTACAGTTATAGTAATTGGCCCTAATCCTCAAAGCTTCTCATTCCAGAGAACAAAAATATATCCTGTTCCACTACAGCAGCGGTCCCCAACCTTTTTGGCACCAGGGACTGGTTTCAGGGAGGAAAATTTTTCCATGGACCGGGGTGGGGGATGGTTTCAGGATGATTCACGGGCATTACATTGATCGTGTACTTTATTTCTATTATTATTACATTGTAATACATAACGAAATAATTATACAACTCACCATCATGTAGAATCAGTGGGAGCCTGAACTTGTTTTCTTGCAACTAGATGATCCCATCAGGGGAAGATGGGAGACAGTGACAGATCATCAGGCATTAGATTCTCATGAGGAGTATGGCACCTAGATCCCTCACACGCACAGTTCACAATAGGTATCATTCTCCTGTGAGAATCTAATGGTGCTGCTGATCTGGCAGGAGGTGGAGCTCAGGTGGTAATGCGGGCGATGGGGAACGGCTGTAAACACAGATGAAGCTTTGCTTGCTCACCCGTTGCTCACCTGCTGCTGTGCAGCCTGGTTCCTAACAGGCCACGACCTGTACCAGAGGCTGAGGACCTGGGGTTTGGGGACCCCTAAACTACAGGACTGGGTGTAATTCACAGAACATTTCCAATCCTTATTTCCAACCAGCCTTTGGGAGCCCACATGCCATTCTGAAAACGTCAGACTTTCTCCCTGTGTCAAGAATGGCAGGGACAAATAAAGGATGCCGCATCGCTTACTCCAAATGTGAGCAGAATCCCAAGCTCGTGACCACGGGGACTCTGTCGAGTCATTGTTTTCAATGGGGTTTGGTTTACGTCAACAGCCACAAAAAGGGGCAGCCATCATCACTCCCGGGCATCAGTACAATTGTGGGTAGGACTGTGTCCCCAGAAATATTTAAAGTCCTAACCCCTGATATTTCTGAATCTGACCTTATTTGGAAACAGGGTATTTGGATGTAATCAAGGGAAGATGAGGACCTGATGGAGGAGAGTGGGCCCTCGTCTAACCGCTGGTACCTCCTAAGGAGAAGGAGACTGAGACAGAAACTCGCATGAGGAGAAGGCCTGTGATGACGGAGGAAGGGCTTGGAGCGATGTGGTTACAGATGACCAGTGCCAGAGACCGCCAGCAACACACCCAAAGGAAAAGGCACGGGGCAGATTTTCCCCTGCAGCCTTCAGAGGGGGCGGCCACGCCAACACTGTGACATCAGGCTTGCAGCTCCCAGCACTAAGCTATGAGAATACATTCCCGTTGTTGAAAGCCACCCAGTTTGTGCTACAGCAGCCCTAGGATGTGAACGTCGGTACCTTCATAAAGTGTGCTAGTCAGTTTTCTCAAAGGAAAAAAAGAAAAATAAAACAGGTTCTGAAATGAGTTAGGAATCTTGATGAAACCAAAGAAGGAGTTCCAATGTCACTTCGGTGGCAGGTTTTAAAAACTTCTGAAACTGAAACAGCTTTTTTTTTTAAATAGTTACTGCATACCTTAATCAGAAGAACTACAGTGATCAGATATAATACTGGCTGATTAAAATGACAGCAGGTTTCCTTTTAGTGGAAGTCAAGTGGAATCTATAATTTTGTTTAAGCCAATTAAACTAGAAGCCACCAGGATGGAGCAATATCCATCCTACCATGGGATTAATTCTTCCGTGCCAACAGAAAAATGCAGGATGTCAAAGGAATACATTAGCTCTGTGGGCACGGAAACACCTCCGAATCAGTGTTCCAGACTTAGTTCCCTCTGGTAAGGGTTATAAAAATACTTGGTGCTTTTTTAGAGCATCTATAAAAGGGCTATTGATTTTTTTTAAAAGAAGATTTCTACTTTTAAGTGCAAGCTGAAGGAACATGCATAAAACATTTCAATATACAACTTGTAACAAATTTCTGGTTCTGCAAAAATCACACGCTAAAAAACGTGTTTACAACACTGCAGGTAGGTGCATGGAAAGAGGAAAACAAGGACAATTGCTTTTTGTGTTTTACCTTGCCTTTGTCGAAGTAGTGGATGATTTCCTGGTAGAGCTGCTCCTTCAGCTGTCCCTGCGTGGTGGCCTGGTACCCGTCCCGCTGGGTGAGGTGGGCCACACACACATCCTCCGACCACTAAGGGAGAAGCATAGCATGAGCGGACCCGAGGCGGAAACACCCAGGGACGTCAGAATGGTGTGAGCTTCGCATCGGACACGCGTGTGGGCCGCGGTTCTGGAGACATGTGTGGCTGCTGTCAACAGGCTGGGGACTGCCAGGGCAGAGCCTCTGTCCGGACATACCGACAGGCATAAAAGACACAGGGGAGGCATAGCTGCAGTGGGGTTCAGACAAAAGAAAAACCCAGCAGGTTCTGCAAAGCACGGAACTGGCAGCTTGCAAATGACACCTCCTAACATTCCGGGACAAATCAGGAGCCAGGTGATCCAGGGCCATCCCAAGAGCGGCACCCCAGGGCTCTGGTCTCAGTGCTGCGTGGGTTGGCATTTTAATCAACAGCAAAGATGGTACATGGAACACACAAGTCACCCAGAAAGGGACTAGAAAGGCTGTCAAGCTCCTTAAAGATGGGGAGGTGTCTTTGCACCATCAGCCATAGGCAAGGTGCTGGGCACAGAGTCAGGGTTTGGCCAGTATTCCTGGAAGCATTGGTGCAGTCGGCGTGTGAGCTGAAGATGCACGAGGAGACATGCCAGAGGGAAGGCAAGGCCACTTAACAGATACAACGTGTCAGCTCCTGAACTTGGGCTCAACACATCAGTGGCATTAAGTATAAGGTTCAATAAAATTCAGCAGCTATTTGATGAGGACCTGCTGTGTGCCACAAACCAGGTCAAAGAGGAGGCGGAAGATGCCTGACTCCCAGGATGGTGCGATTCTACATTAGAGAATAATGACACAGAACAACACTGCGTGAGCTAGGACCAGGCTACTGCACTCTAGCCTGGACAACAGAGCAAGACCCTTCTACAGGAAGAAGAAGAAAAAAAAACAGAACAAGAAAAAGAACACTGTGAAAAAGACTCCATGGGCACCTACGGGCAGGAGGCATGTGCTCCCACTGGGCAGCCTGGAGGCTCACGGGAGGACACGGTGAGCATGGGCTTGCTTATTGCTGGCCCTAGGAGAGGGAGCTTGACCCTGTTTTCAGCCAGGCCAGGGAGGGTGCTGCAAAGGCACTAAGTGGGAAGCTGGGGTCCGGGCAACGGGGCAAGGCTCCGTCAGCTGCTTACTGTCTTAGCAAAGGTCCCGCCCCACTTTCCTGAAACCACGGGCTGGGGAGCACCTCCCGCTGGACATCAGGGCTCCCAGGCACAGGGCACGGGCCCTGTATGGCTCTGCCTTTCCAGAAAGGTCAGGCAAGAGTGAGAAGCCTTTAAGCGGTCTGCAAGATTTTTCACCTTAAAATTGAACTTGCATATCTCCATCACAATTGGACAAACTCTTTAACTTTGAAGTTTGTACAACATAATTGGTCTACTTTTATTGGAGGATGGAGAATAAAAGCAAAACTAGATTCTGAAATGTAACCACAATAAAATAAATTAAGAACAAGCAAGTTCAGAATCCAAATGACTTCCTTGCATTTTTAAATCACTTTTGCAAATGAAAACATGGACTAGGGAAGCAAAAATCCTCTCTACCTTCCACTTCCACATGGAGATGTAATAATTTGATTGCTAGGCGAAAAACTAAAGTTTTTATTGCTCTTGGTTTTGACGAAAGATATGCCTAACCAAAAAAGAAGATTCTATTTGAGGATTTTCAGTTAATAAACAATAATATATCTGTCATACTGAAGAATTTTCGCAACAACATAAATCATGTTCTTTAGTGAGGTGATTAGCATGAATTCACATTTACAGTAATATCAAAACATATTTAGAAAAAATTGCAAAATGTAACGGGGCAAAAGATATGGAGAGAGATTATGTAGCATTCCCCATTAAACTGGAAAATTCAGAAGCCCAGGGGAAACAGCAATGCAATTGGGCCTATCGATTTGAGTTGTGAAACAAACCATCATGCAGTTTGTGACAAACCCATCTGTACTCAATAAATCCAATGATTAAACAAATGATGCCTTTATGCACATATATATGTTTTACATTCACACATGCATATAAAAGTTTACGTTCTATGAGGGACGGAGTAAGGGTTGAGTGAGCAGTTTGTCAACCCCATTTTAATTTCCCTGGGGTAAAAGAAATAGCTTCACATTTGCAAAAAACACCTTGCTACTGAAATTTGAGTTTTGAATAAATGAAGGCCATCAGAATTCATAGTGGGATAGCTGGTATCAGATGTACCAACTGAAATTTCCATCCTTATAAATTATGCTCCTTGGGAGAGCCCACGTGGCACGGGGCAAAATGGGTCCTCAGACAGCCAGCCTCAGGAGGACAACTGATGAGGTCCCTCCAGACTGAGCTGAGCTTTGTGTGTTTTATTTGTAACAGACACTGCTGTTTCCAGGCAGAGGCAAATTTCCATACTCGCAGGTCTCTAGGGCAGCCTGTGTATATTTGTGTCACAGAAACTATCAGAAATTTCAGGATCGGGCCAAAGATGGAAAGAGTCTTACCAGAGTTTTACTCCATAACACAATGTCTTCCTTAACTCCTATTACCTAATTGACACTACTGAATGCCCATTTAATGTAATTTTCTCTGGTTTTCTTTCATTACATTTTTGGTTTTTGGGAGGCTGGCTTGGATTTGGAAACATGACTCCTTGAATGAGCAGTCTTTGTGGAATGCCACCAAACTAAATTCTAATTCTTGTAACTGTTCTTATTTATCCAGTTCATAATTTTTCAAATTTTTATAAGGATGTCATGAGCAAGATCATCTAATAACTTACTGAGGTTGTGAAATATAAAACTAGAGGCTGTATAGCAATTTGTCCATCCATCCATCCATCCATCCATCCATCCATCCATCCATACGTCACTGTAAACAAAGAAAGTCAATGTCTGAAGCTATCTGAGTAATAAAAGAACCACTAAGAGTAGACAGTTGTCATGCCAGACTTGTGCTAGGAGCAACACTCCTTAGAAGAATCAGGCAGAGAGCACTAGCAGGAGGTCTCAACGTGAACTGATAGAGTGAAAAGTCATGATCTGGTCCCTAACTCTTTACTAAGACAATTAGGGGTATGTCTCATCCTATCTCTTAGCTGTTCTACCAGGAAAATTCCTTCTTGATATTGTTCTCCACCATCCTGGAGTCCTGTAGTCCTGAACAAGGAATTGTAGAATCTCTAACTTGCTGTCAGCTCACAGCCAAGTGATGGGAGTTTATAATGCTCAGTGATCACCTGCTATGACATCTAATTAAATCTGCATTCAGCAGGGACAAATCTCTAATCAAAGTACTTCCTAAATATTTTTGTTCATATCCTTGCATTTATTTAGTCAATTTCATAAAACCTTAAGTTATAGGCCTACTAAAATTTGCCATGGAAAAATACAATTCTGAATATTGTTAGAATTTATAACAATAGAATCATCAAGGTGACTGGTAATTGACATTACCTTAAGAAGCTTTGCATGGAGAAGCAAGGTGTAAGCCGCTTCGGTGTAGTTATCACACTCCTTGTGCAGGTCACAGAGCTTGTACAAATACCTGAGACAATAAAACAGAGGTATGTTCTTAAAATGTCACTAAATAATTTGTGTTGAGGATTGCAAGAGCTAAATTCTATGTTCAACAGTAAATCATGGCTACACTTCCTTTTTACAATGTTCATAATTCAAAATGCCTTAAAAACTTTTGGTACAGAAAGCACTAAGAAAAACTCAGGAAAAAAATAAAGATGATACACAAAGGTAGAATTTTCCTTCAAATTTTTCATTCCTTTTCATTTTCCCTTAAACATTTTTAATGAGACACACAATACTTGATTGTGATTTTCTGCATTTCTACTGAGTCCAAATGCACAAAAAAATCCGTAAAAATACAAATCCATCAGAATAAAGAGCTCCAATGATTACAGTCAATGTGATCGAAAGAATTTCTTTGCCATAAAGAAATAAAGGTAACTGAGTTATTAAATTCACATAGTATGTTCTTAAAAAGGAGAAGTAAAAACAATCTTAGAAATAGAAAATTAGACAATCACCCTCAGTGTAATAAACACATCACTAAAAACTCATGCTGTGTAGGTTACATCCTTCTCCTAGTCTCCAGAGTGGTAATCTTGCTAATTATTTGACACGAGACTTTAGAAGTAACCAAGAGAGAAGGGCTCAATCACAGTCCCTCACTCCAGGGAGCAAGGCGAGTAGGGAAGCAAAATCCAGCAGGCAATGCAAAATGTTTCTCTTCTTCATGGAAGAAAGACATAAAAAACACGGGACTATGGCGTCAGTTAACTAAGAGCAGACTGAAAAATTATAACTCCCCTATGTCTGGTAAAGTTATAACTGGATTTCTCACTGGATCATATAACTTACTGTGAAACATTAAAATTTATGTGCTTATCTTTTTGCAAAAGGGCCACATGAGTTGGTCAACAGGTACAAAACGCTGTGAAACAATTATTTGTAGTTTTGCTTTTGAGTTGGCTAATGGTGACCACCAAGAACTCTGCACTGGTGTGGACAAGCTATGCAAGAGCTGAGAATGTATCTGGGAGCTCCACCAAACTCTACCTTATACGTTTCACAATTTTCTACAAAATAAACCTTTGCGGCTATAACACATTTCTTAGCATACGTAAACATACAACATATATTATTATTTATAATTAACATGCAGACAAGCGTGATGCATACATACCTTATATACATTTCTTCTCTTTCAATTTCTTTGTAGAAATTCTGAAAAGTTAAACCATAATACTGTTTTAAGAAATCTGTTCCACAAAAGGTATCACATGCACAATAAAAATTCAAGATACTTCATCTTGTGTCAAACACAGCCAAATGGACCCAGCTCTTTGGATCAGAACCATAAATTCACATAAATTGCAAAACCATCTTACACAGTTCTTCACTTTTTTTTTTGCTAGTCAAACACAATTACATTTCTACACTGAACACTGTGATGACTAAAATCAACTTCTGTCACTTGAAAGTCACTTGTCTTCAATTAAAACAAGGTATTGCCCAAAAAGACATGAAGACATGATATCTTAGCCATAGTAATCTCATCAGAATAAATGAATACATAAATAAATATCCCAAATTTGGGAATAAGCAAATAAGCATCATCAACATGATTTAAAGCTTTCTGGGCCCAGCCTCAGCAAGAGCTACAAAGACAATATGATAATACAGACCTGAGTTATGCAATACACTAGCCAGTAGCCACATATATTAAAAGGTAAAGTAAATTTAACTAACATTGAATAAATAATTCACTTCCCCAGCTGCACTTGCCACACTTGGAGCGCTTAACAGCCACATGCGGCTAGTCTACTGTATCAAACAGTCTACACAAGACATTTCCATTATCCCAGAACTTTCTGGTAGATAGCACTGTTCCAGACAGGCAAACCTTCCAAACCACAGTTAAAAAAAGAGGGCTGCCTCTGAAAAAGCCCCCTGTGTATAAACACTGATGGAGAAAGCTTAATTAGTAGATTAAAACCAATGGATTATTTCTACATATTTACTGGAAAATATCGTCTGGTTGAGCAATAACATTTCTATCAAAATTATATTTCTTAAGGTGAACATCTCCATAAACACTTTAAAATCTTTTTCACACAGGAGCCACCAGAGAGGCACAGAAGTCACCTCACAAGGCCTAAGGTAAGGAAACATCAGAGTCACTTTCAATGTGAAATTTAGCACCTAAAAATGATGTTAGCCCTCTAGAATCGGAGCCTGAAGTAACTAGTGAATATCACCATTACAGAGACATACAATTATCCAAGAAATGGCATAGGCTCTTTAATTTCATGAGCAAAACCCAGCATTGCTTCTACAATTGATGTCTCTGAAAAGAAATGATAACTAAGTCTAGAAAATAAGCGGGGGCACATTTAGAAAAATGCACCAAGATTTTCAAGTTCTGTTGCCTCTGACACTTTACTGTCCTCCAGTTCATATGACACGGCTCAGTAATGAGGATATTTTCAGCTGACAACTCACTGTCGCAACAAAGAGAATCTGCATCAAAGGCAGAGGATAAGCCCTTCATTTCCAACTCAAAGTTGCCAGTATTTACAAGCTACGGTTTCACACCATCCCCTTTTGTACTCATATTTTTAATCCTTTCTAAGGTTTTGATCATTTTTCTTTACAATTTCACAACGGGAATATCATGCGACCTTCATTCCTCTCTCGGAGATACGAAATGTCTTCTATTTTCTGCCTGTGCTGAGTCCTGTTCCCTTCCTAGGACTTCAAAACCTCTCCACAACCGAAGTACACTCATCTCCAATCCCAATTTCTATATAAAACCTTTGTGTTTCTTACGTAAAGGTTCACGCGGTGCTCCCACTCCTCCTGGGCTCCGCGGGCAGCCTTGTCTCTCAAGTCCCCCCACACCAGCGCTGACTGACATCTGTGCCAAGCTTGCAGCTCAGCTCCCAGAGGAACCCCATTGGGACCGGCCCCCCAACTCCAATCCACCGCTAGGCATTGATCTTTTAGAACGCAGACATCTGCATTATATTTCCATTTTGGACTAAAACAGATACCAAGATTTTAAAAATACTGGACCCCACTCTGCATTTAATTAGCCTTGCCAAGGGGCTATGAAGAGAAGTAACTGGCATGTGCAAAGTAATGATGCGCCTACCAGTCACAGAGATGGGACGTGTGGATGACTGCACAGAAGCACTAAGTGACACTCAGCAACATTAGTGACCAATAATTAAAGATGCTCGATTATGAGCTGTCAGTGAAATTCTAGTTAAAGAATTACAAATATACATCCAAGTTCCAACATACATGCAGACATCCTTGCAGGAGATGTCCTGGGGACTTAGGTGGCCAAGCAGAGTGACTGCTGCGTCTCTTACTTTTTCATTTTCTTTCTTCTTTTTTTTTTTTTTTTTTGAGACAGAGTCTACCTCTGTTGCCCAGGCTGGAGTGCAGTGGTGTGATCTAGGCTCACTGCAACCTCCGCCTCCCGAGTTCAAGCTATTCTGTTGCCTCAGCCTCCCGAGTACCTGGGATTACAGGCACCCAACACCATGCCCAGCTAATTTTTGTATTTTTAGTAGAGATGGGGTTTTACCATGTTGGCCAGGCTGGTATCAAACTCCTGACCTCAAGTGATCCTCCCTCCTTGGCCTCCCAAAGTGCAACAGGCGTGAGCCACCACACCCGGACCTATTTTTGTTTTTTTAAGGGCAAGAAAATAGGACATGAAGGAGCCTACACAACTTACAATGTTCCACTAACTGTGTTTTGTAAGAAACCACGAAGCTGGTTCTAAAGGAAACTTGGCAACAGACTTACAGAGCATTGGTAAATTCTATGTTCTTTATTTTATTAATTTAATTTTTTAACTTTAGGCTTCATTTCTTCTTAGTGACTAACAGAGTATATTTTATACATCTCCAATATGTATACATCTATATTCATTTAGAGATGGTTATACATACCCATCTCTATTACACTCTGTTTCTGTAATAAAAGTACCAGGAGAAAAGGGAAAAACTGACCAGGAAATTGAGCTGGGCAGTGAGTATCTATGGTTAGGACACCTATCTACCTATCTTTAAAACTCTGGTTTCTTGTTTCCCTTTATTCCACAGATTTATTTTCTAAATGAAAAAACTGTGACAGTTGGGATCCATTTTATCATCCCCAGGAAATGGTTAAGAGCAGAACATTTGATTTTTCATCAAATGATTCAGGACGTTCCCATTTGAAGAAAGTTAATAATGTCAGATAACCTTGAGAACCCAGGGTGTGTTTCTTAGTTAAAACTGAGCAAGTGCTGACCACAGTAAAAGTACGTGGGCACTGAGTCTGGCTCTGAATTAAAGAGGAACACAGGTTCACATTAGAAACCGTGATTGTAGGTTTTATTACAAGAGTTTGTTTCCTGACCCTAGATTCAGGTAGTAAGAGCCCATATTCAGAGCACACCACCATTTCTCCACTGTTTCATGTCCTGGTGAGCATAAGAGATCTTGCTTAAAACAAATAAAAGTCTCAATCATCAAAGTTGGAAGACTAATAAACTTATTGATAATTCTTCCTTCTGGGCACTTATCAGCCTCTTAGATCCCCTTAAGGATTAGAAGGAACACTATAAAGTTATGTCCATAGTAGGGAAGGATTTTGTAAAGTTCTCCATTTCTTTCCCATAGAAAAATAATAGTTCCTATTTCACGTCAATCACATTGGCACCATGACAACAAATTACTTTGAACGTTGGTCAGAATGCAAGAAGACAGTGAAGTAAGCGCCAGGTTCTTTTCTGTCTGTAAGATCAGACCAACTGACCTGGGGCAGAGCTTGCTGCTGTACCACTTGGTCAGTCTCCAGGTGAATATAAAGACAAACACAGCCACAGCCCAGACCTCAGGGCCAGACATCAGAGACCAGTAATTTCTACAGTAGCCTAAGACACATGATGCATCTGCAAACATTCAGATTTTTCAAGTCCACAGATTCTGTGTCCAGTTGATTGATGAGACCATCAGAGGCATTCTTCACACTGTTACAGTGTTTTAGATTTCCAGAATTTCTTCTTGATGATTTCTGTGAGTTTCTACGTAGTTTACCCACCTTCTTTTATGTTTTATCTACTTTTCCCATTAGAGCCCTTAGGATATTCATCACAGCTGTTTTAAATTGCAGGTCTGATGATTTCAAAACCTCTGCCGTATCAGAGTCTGGTTCTAATGCCTGCTCTGCCCCTTCACTGTGTTTTTGTCTTTAGCGTGCATTGTACTAATGCGTTGAAAGTGAATATGATGGACTGGGTAAAAGGAATCTAGTACTGGCTCCAGTGGTGGTTTCTGTTTGGGCTTCCACTCTGTGGTTCTCTGTATCCTCCTGTTTCTTTGACTTTGGGGTCAGAAGTTTATCTACAGATCTAAGAAGACGGAACTAATAATTGTTGATTGTTTTCAATTTGTTCAGCTTTTTTCTTGTTGTGAGGACAGGAGTGACAATTTGCAAGCTCTTTACATGCTGGACCAAAAACTGGTCCCCTATATTTAGATTTTTAAGGAAAAGAAAACTTGTTACAGAAATGTTTATCATTAGCCTAAACAAGCTGTCCAGCCATGCAATGAAGGGGCGAAGACTGCTCATGAGCTTTCAGCTGTGAAGTTCCTCATGGCAAAGCACAGATCCAGCACTGATACCATAGTCGATGAAAAGTGAAAGCATTCCTTTTCGTTTATCTTTTTAATCCACACAACTCTGGCTTTTTAAAGAGTGAATGATGTGTCATGTTCCTCCTGGCATGAAAGTCCATTTCCATGAGCATAAAGCACCCACAAGTCCACACAAGGGGTGGATGTGGCAGTGAGGACTATGTATCCACATGTTGTTGGCGACTCTGAAATCCTGAGGCCAGTGGCTGGGCAGAGAAGGGAGGTAAGTAGAGCAAAGCAGGAGTAGTGTTTTCTTGCATTCTTGCCATGGGACAGGCAAGGAAACTTGAGGAAAGCCCTACTATGGCCACGAGTCAGCCCTTGTGTTTCTTTATAAGAGAAGCAGCAAAGGGAGAAGCAGAGAGCTCTGGAGCCAGGCTGTGGGAATCACAACGCTGCTGAGAGCCATGAGGCTGGCCGGGATCTGAGCTTGTGGTAAAGCTTCCCAAAAGCTCATTGGTACTAATGGATTTCCTGGATTAGGGACCACAATGACATCAGGAAGGGGGTGTCCACAGAACCCAGCTGTATCAGGGCAACAGCAGGAATGCAAAAGGCAGACAGATGGCAGCAGCCAAGGTCGCCCAGGCGTCTGTTCTCCATGGTGCCCAGATCTGGTTTCCTGTGGCTGCTGTAACAAATTACCATAAACCTAAAACAACAGATATGTTTCTTCTCACAGTTCCAGAGGCCAGAATCTGAAATCAAGGTGTGAGTAGGACAACGTTCCCCTAGAAAGCTCTAGGGGGGGATCCTTCCTGGCCTCCGCAGGCTTCTGGTGGCTCCAGGCATTCCTTGGCTTGAGACTGGGTCCCTCCAATCTCTGCCTCCATCTTCACAAGGTCTAGCCTGTTTCTGTGTCTTCTCTTTTGTCTCTTATGAGGACACCTGTCATTGGAGTTAGTACCTCTCCCCTCCCCTTGCAGGTAATCCAGGATAATCCCATCTGAGATTCTTTTTAATTATATTTGCAGGGCCTCTTGTTTCCAAATAAGGTCTCATTCACAGGTTCTAAGGACTGGGGTATTGCTCTACCTTTGAGGCCACCATTCAGCCTATGTACTACATAGCACGCGTTTATGGTCTCCTAATCACAAAGCCTTAAGGCCGTAATCCATGAGGCACTACCCTGGCTGCAAGATACGGTGAGTCATCATTCACAACGACAAGGAGAGCGACATTAAAACGTCCAGAGATGGGACAATTTTACAGACTTATTCAGAGTGGACGACTTCATGATTCCTTCCCTGCAGCAGATGAGGAAACAAGCGAAGGAGATTGTTCTGCGGTGGAAAGCTTCGTGGCTGACTGTCATAGATAAGGGCTGGGGCAATCCCCGCTTCAGTTTCTGGTGTGCTGTGAAAACTGAAAAAACGTGATTAAGCTTTCACTCACCAGCACATTGACGGTGCAGCTCATGCGGTTTTCTTTGTTCTCGTCGTGCATGATGGTTCTATAATCCAAAAGCCTTTCCATTAAGCGCACAACGAGTTTTACAAAAGTTTCTCCTGTTTTGGCGAGGTATTTGTGCTTCCTGCAGTGTTCCAGAAGGCTGAAAAATAATTATACACACCTTGTTAATCACACTCAGAAAAAGAAACTCAACAGAGGTGCAATTTTAACTATTTTCCATTATTAACACATTTTAATTATTTCTGGGTTACAAAGTTCATTGTAGTCTAATTACGGTCTCTCTGTCTCTGTATCTCTCAGACATAAATCCCACTGCTAATCAACACTTACATTTTATCAAATAACACTTTGTACTGTTCGTCTCCTCTGCCTCCTTCGACTTCATGATCCAGCTTGGTGATGATCTCATTTTCAAACTATAATTAAACAGAGGAAGCGTAAATAATCAGCATGGCGAGTATTTCATTTTATGACTTGAGTGTCAATAGAACATAAATCGGCAAGAGAGATCATCATAGATGGCTACCCTCTGCCTTTGAAGCCTCATTTAAGAGTTGCCAACACAGAACCCCTGGAGGTTTCTGATGATCCCTTGCCATAGGGGGACCTCTCATTTCCTTTTCTGGTTAATGGAGCCTGAACCTGCACGTCCTGATAGCAGGAGCAAGAACCAGGGGAAGAAAGACAAGGAAACCATAGGGGGAAAAAAAAATCAAAGCGCAGCATGAAAAAAAGTCTCAAACTTCATCTCTACAAACACGTAACATCTAAAATAGCTTGTTGGTTCCTGAAATGAACAGATGGTGTTTCCCCTGCCAGTGAAGAGTTCTCGGCAATCTGAAAACATCCTAGGGGCCACTTAGCTGCCATTCCTTGATAGATCCTAGTGAAATACCTCACTCTGGCTGAAAAAATGTTCTAAAGAGCAAGAGGAGCAATGTCCCTAAAGACAGACCAGCAGGCACCTCAAGAAGGTCCATCTCCAGCCTATCCTCCATCCCCAAAGCTTCTGATTAAATTTCCTGGGAATCAGGGTGCAGAAGGGTCGCCAGTACCAGCTAATTATGTCTCAGATCCATGCTTTTAGAAAAACTCTAAATTCTGGGGGGTGGAAATCTCTAAAATGTCTTCAAGTGTCTGATCAGGCTGAAAAAAACCTCGATAACAATGGACATGTTTTCCCCATCCTCACTGCCCAGTTCCCCATCTCTGGCAGAGTTCATAGCCATCTGAGTACTGGGACTCCGGCCTGGTGACTAGCCATGCTGCAGGGGGCCCTGAGGTTACCATCAACTTGTGCCAGTAGCAAGGAGGGGCTGTGAGATTGTTCATTCCCATAAAGATGAGACATGCACACTCTAAACTGAAGGAAGATGGACAAAGGAAGAATTGAAGAAAGCTGAATCCAGGGTTCAGAAAGCAAGTACGCCATGGGCATGTATGCAAGGGTCTCCAGGATCTCTCTAAAGCCATGTTCAATCACCTACTTTCTCAGGCAACAATTCTCAAGCCGCCTGCTGTTATTAGGATCCCAGTGGAATTTAAGCTGAGTGAGAGGAAGAATTTTTCTTTGGTCATTGCTCTAGCCAGCCCCAAAACCTCAAACAGTGCCTTTGATGCTCTAATGGAATGAATGTGCTGTGTGCACATAAACTACTGAATACAGTTGGTCTTAGACCAACTTAGATTGGATTAAAGTGCTTAGACTGGATAAAGCTGGAGAGGGCTTAATATGTCAGCAAAGGAGCGGTCTAGAGGGTTGATAAATCACAACCTGCATTCTTGGCCAGGCCAAGCCCAGTCGTGAAAACTGCTCATCCAGAGTGCCTGTGACAGACACTGTGGGCACCAGAGAC
Source organism: Homo sapiens (assembly GCF_000001405.40). Lineage (NCBI taxonomy): Eukaryota > Metazoa > Chordata > Mammalia > Primates > Hominidae > Homo > Homo sapiens. Next base: position 127,372,340 of record NC_000010.11, on the reverse strand, counting down.
TTGGGGATGCCCCTGCAGGAGCAGCTGACTGTGGACCCCTGAGAAGCAATTAGCAAGGAACGGTGAAACCCAAGGAGGGGCCTCCAAATGGACACAGACGCCCTGCCTGTCCTCGATCAGTACACACTGCCCAAAGCCACAGCTACAGATGAAACAAAGGCTTTCAGGGCTGGAGAGAAGTACTGATTCTTGCCTGACATCAAGGACTCAGCAACATCCCCAGAACCCGGACCTTAGTGAATCTCTCCAATTTTCTTCTTGATCTTCTCCATGGTCTCCTCCCCCAAATAAACACTTCTTTTTGATTCTGTCTGGCCTAAGAAGTTCAAGGATTTTAGCAGCACAGACAGATGGTTCTATTGAAGAAGGAGGAATGAATTGCTTTAGATTTTTTTTCTCCTGAAATCTCACATTAACGATTTTTACTGTAAAATAACAACCTTTTGATACTAACCACTGCTATCCTGCCCTTTACAGAAAAGAATTCTGCAAAAGGTAGTTCTTTTTGGAATCACATACAAGGGAGATCGCTTGGTAGTAGCCCAAAAGTTGGCATTTCAAGGCAGTGCCATCTCCCAGATGGTGCCATGATCCAGACAGACTTCAAAGATTAAATGTTTGATGAGGGCTGATGCTTCAGGACAAATAATAGAGACACAAAATTAAATTAAATTTAATCAAAACATGATTCAATTTCATGTATGTTTAATGAGTACAGACAACAAGAAAGGTACAGAGAATGCAGAGAAATGTGCCTTCTCCTGACATGGGCAAACATACAGGCATTTAAAATGCCCATCAATGGTCAAGCCAAAGGGATCTGAACACAGAGTGTAGGTTATGAAAACGGCATGTTTTCTCTGCTTCCATGTAAATCTAGCTGTCACAAACACAGGCAATGAGGAAGCTACAGCTACCTAGGTATGCTGCTGATCAAATTCTGACTGATGAACTTAATGATTTCCAACAAAGGTGGATGAGTGGTAAGTAAATCACAACACAGCTGATTCTAATTTTACTAACCCTAGTCCAAACTAAGTAATTTACACAAACACCTGGCCACCCTGATCTGTTTATTAGCAAGGATTCAGTACCAGAGATCCACAACTAGCCTCTAATTCCAGGATCCTCGTTCATTTTTATAGAATACACTCGAATTGATTCGCTAGTGTGCTATGAACTGTTACTATAATCAGAATTAAATGATCCTGTCCCACTAAATTGGAGATAGTACATTTGCTGATAGAGCAGAGCTGGTTTTATCAAAATCATGCTTATTATCTTCCTCATAAATGCACATTGTCTGGTGATTTGCAACAAGGTTCTCTATGGCTGGGATAAAATTAGCAAGGGTTTACTGTGTTGCTCAAAAGGTGGCAGAGGCTCACTCACGTAATAAGCAAAACCATTATATTTTCTTCTCTTTTCTGAATCACTAATATTGCTCCAAAAATATTCACAGGGTGTCCAACTGAAAATACTGAACAGAGAGTCTCTCAGTGTCTGATACCAGCAGCCCTCTGAGAACATGAAACAAGAGAACACTTATGAATAGAAGGCCTTTCGGAAAGTTGCTGTTAAATTGACGTGACGGAGTCAGGGGGCTGTGCTCGAAGCGATATTGACGTCTTGTTAATTCAATTAACTTAAAAAGGAAACACTGCTTTTACCACTCACTGCCACAGCTAACCATAGGCTATTGGCACCTATTTGAAAGATCATGGAGAGAAGGATCCCAGTAGTAGCTAATCCAAAAGCCAATTATATTTGGTTTGGAACGCATAATTTTTGTTTTGGGTGAGATTTACTATTCTTACTCTAATGCATCTATAATTTTATACATCTGTAATGTATAAAATCAGCCTGCACTTGCCAGACATCCAGGACCATGCTTTATATACCAGAAGAGCTCTAGGGTTCTGTGGGAGCGCAGCAGGAGGCTGGGCCAGGGTGGAAAGGTTTGCACAGACCACTCACCGCCTTGATGGAGGGCTCCGAGGTTATCAAGAGCCGGGTGAGATCTGAAATCTATGGACATGATCTGCTAAGTACATTAGCAGAAGGGCTTATTTGACCCTTTAAAAATAAACCTTAGTACAATGCTGCTCTTTGCCCAGAGTGCTCTAGTTTCTCCTGTATTTAAAGAAGAAATGCTCAGAAGATACTGCAGGCAGAGGGCACCAAGGAATCAGACTCTCTCTGCCTTCTCTCCCTGGGTCGGGGCCAATCTGATGAAACTGCGCAACCACACCTTACCCCCTGAGCATGTGCAGGGGGAGGTGGGTGGGAGAAAGTTGCTGGACTGTATCTGGGTGGAAAACATGGTTAAGAAGATGAAACAGGCAAGGTTCAGCAGAGAGAAGTGTGACACCGCACAACCCTTGGGGCTCTAGGCGCCCATGCTGACATCCTACAAGTGACTGGTCCCTCCCGATCCATCACTCAGCCTTGAGTACCTGTGCTCAGACACATTCATATCTTTATGTATAGAGCATTCCTCTTGCCTAACTGCTCTGGAAACTTAATTACACACTAATTAATCGGTGGCACTTCATCCCACATTCAAAAACCTCCACATCCTCCTACGTCCGTCAAGCAAGGGGCTTGCTGACCTTGGAGCTCCTGTGAAACACTCATGAGCCTGGAGGACCCAGAGCCACTCACTTGGAGCTGCCTGGCTGGGGATGCATGGCTGCATCGCAGGCCATGACACCTTGCTGATGCCTGAGACAGGTGCAGCGGCTCCTTATGTCTACATGACACAGATTAAAGAGTGACTTTAGGGCTGCATGCAATTCCAGAGGACTCTGGGAACATGGCCTCAAAATTAGTCCTGTTTAATCTGGTTAAAGGGGATTATGGAAGAATCTCTTTGCTGGAGGGCTTTTAAGAATGAAATTCAATATAATCGCAGCTCCTGGAGTCAAGGATCTTGGTTTCCATGGCCTCTCAGACCATCTTTGGGTCTGGATTCAATGAAACAGAAGCCTCTTGTGCCATATTTCCTCTTTAGGCAAGAATTATTTTGACATTGAAAGCAAAAATAAACAAACCAACAAATAAAATCCTAATGAATTAAAGAATACACAAGATAGAATTGCTACCAAACTCATTCACATTCATATTACAGTGGAAAATACATTGGCCTTTCCACCAAGTGGCAGAGCCGCTGACATTCACCCGGCTATTCAATTACTGGCTTCCGGTTACTGGCATGGGCAGTGTGAAGAGATTATTCAAACAGGAGCTCGGCAACACTGATGACACAAAGATTATTCATGTTCTAATACTGTTACAACTAAATGGGAATTTCTGGAAGTTGTGCAGCATTTTACTGAGCCTCACAAAGATGACAGAAAATAGCTCCATGATTGAAAATATTATTTTTGCTGGGCAGCTTTTTCCATTCCATTTTTATTAATGGTCTATGGCCCATATGGTCATTTGCTGCAATTCTCAGCTGTTAGTTCTGTATTTTCCAAAGGCGTAACAAATGGAATTCTTTAAAAAGATGCCAGGAGGGAATTTAAAAGTATGCTTTTTATTATGAAGCAAAATCCAGTATGAGGGTGAGACTTGGAGTGCGGTCCACGGGAGGGCAGGGTTCTTGGTGAGGCAGGGAGAGTCAGCTTAAGGCCAGGAGAGGGCTCATCTCCTGTGACCAAGGGCAGGCTCATCCAGGTGGATGGGATAAGGGGCGCGAAGACCCCAATGCCTCTCCACATTTCCCCTGCCAGCTTATCAGTCCTGAAATCTTCCCAAGTAGGACCTCTCCTTTCAAACAAATGGAGATTCCTAGAGTCCTGAGTTTAGGGGTAAGCATGCTACTCTCTGGATTGGGGTGGGCACAGGGCGAGGGGGTGGGATGAACGCAGCTGTGGTGGTGTCTCGAGGAGTTGGCCAGCTGTAAGGAAAGGGGGCAGAGAATGTGCCCTTAGGCACCAGGACAGGAAGAAGCAGCAGGGGAGGATGATTTAGGAGAATGGCTGGGGCATCCGGATCATAAAAGATTCATAGAAAGTGCTGGAAGAGCCAGGATGACCACAGACAGCTGGAGCACCCAGAGACAAAAGAGGCAGAAGAAATAAGAAATGGGTTTTTGTTGAGGAGCTGCAGTGAGTGCCTTAGGTCAGCTTGACAGAGCTGGCTCTGGGGAGGTGGTGATGAAGCTCTGCCAAGGCCTCCAGACGGAAGGTCTCTGATGCTAATGGAACTTCCCCTGTGAAGGGCCATGTTCTGGCAGGAGCTTGGCCAGACAGATGCCTATGAGATAGGAGGCCCCAGATGTCCACAGTGGCCTTGAGTATGGACAGGGCAGGGAAGTGGCACAAGAGTGCCCAGTGATGGAGGGGGTGGCTGACAGTGGCCACAGGGCTGGGGGCCACCCCAGGGGCATGGCTGCAGTGGGCATCCACTGGGGCTTCCCACATGTATCCCCACCTCCCCTGGCTTGGAGTATCCACACTGCAAGCACTAGGAGGAAAAGAAACCCCACAGGCAGCAGCCTCCTGGCCGTACACAAACAGGGATGGGATGGCAGAGAGGTGTGAGATTGCAAGAGCGTCATGCAGCGTCCAGTCGCTGGGAACGCCTTCCTGTCAACGGACCGGAGCTCTATGGCTATGGACCCAGCCCACAGTGAAGCATATGACTTTGAAGGTAGGAGGGACTTCTAAAAAGAATTCAAGGCCGCTGTGCACATCTGGGGCCTCCCATCTCACAGGCTTCTGTCTGGCCCAGCTCCTGCAGAACACGACACTTCACAGCAGGCTTCCACTAGCATCAGGGACCTTCAGCCTGGAGCCTTTTGTGGAGCTTCATCGCCACCTCCCCAGAGCGAGTGCTGTCAAGCTGACCTAAGGCACTCACTGCAGCGCTGGACAGAGAGTCCCAGGCCACAAGGAGGACATGGCCCATGAAAGGATAACTCCATGCCACCCCATCCCGCCACCAAGAGAGCCCATTCAACACATGGACCCTGGAGAAGCAGGATAAGGGCAAGGCTGAGCCTATTCCGAAGGAACATTTGTGCTCTTTCTTGCACAAGTGGAGACAGGAAAGGAGTAGGCTCTTGGGGAGGTGTAAGGGAAAGAACGTTCTAATGAAATGCCCGCCACTGCGGCTGAAGAGCACGAGCACAAGAGCAGAAACTCCGGGCAACGTTAGAAAAGCCAATTTGTAACACATGCTTTTAAAATTCCAGTAATGGTTTGGTGCAGTTTAATCCTGAGTAAAATAGCAGGTTTTTCTTCTGAATCCAGCAGGTCTCCTCTCTACTCCAATTGTAAGAGTAAAATACACCTGGACATATATATTATTTCATATTCCATAAACAGTAGCATATTGACAGCTCTACTCCAAAAGACACAGCAACCTTTAAAACATAAGCTCTATCACGGGTTCAAAACACTAAAGTGTTGTAAAAACAAATCCCCCTAATATCTTCCCCCTACTCCAGTAGGGTTTGCACATCTGCTATAAAAGCTATAAAAAAAACTTAAGCCCCTGCTGACGTGACTAATAAGGTGAGGTAACTGGGCTTATGGCAGAGGAGTTAGGCAGCAGCCGACCATCCCCATCCCAGAAGCTCGTGGATGGAGAAGCAGGTGGGGCCAACCCTGCACCAATGTGCCACACACATGTCCACTCTACACATTCGCCCACATCACCGACAATAGGGGCCATCCCTTGTGCTTTAGGAAGACCAGCTGAGAGGGACAGGTGGAACTGGAGTCAGAAAGGACTTAGAAAACATAGATAGAGCAAGTCAAGAGACAAATACTGTGGCCCAGGAATAATCCTGGACTAGTGCAATGGTGATTGCGCAGAGGACGGAGGCTGCAGATGAGACAGAGGGAGGACTGATGAAGCTTCACAACCGACTGCCACGGAGGCCAGGGGAGCAAGCAAAGGCCAGTCCAGCATGACCCGCAGCCGGAAAACCCAGTGACAAGGAGACTGGCAGAAAAGGGGATGATGCTGCAGGCTTGGGAGATTCCAGCTGGGAAGCTGAGGTGGGCACATCAAACAGAAGAAAACTGATCTTTTCCCAATTACAGAAGCAGATTAACATACAAGAGGGATTTTTTTAAAACAAGGGTTAGTTTTTCTGCCCTCATTTTAAAGATCTTTAATGTACGCTATCCCTCGTCTGCAGAGGTTCAAGCAGATGACAACACAGAGAAACAGGTGACTCTGAACCAACAGTTCAGGTAGCTGACCACGCTCAGCCTGACAGTGGGTCCTTCTTGTGGGTGAATCTGTGTCTTCAGGCTTATGCTTGGATTTACATACATCCAAGCACGGCATGTTTCATGCTAGTGAAATAGTTTGTTGTTTATGAGATGGAACTAAATGTGCCAATTACTTCATGATATTACTCAAAAACAATTTGGTTTTCTGGAAAGATGTCTCCTGACGCTGGGTCAATGTTGAAGCCCCAATGGGAAGGCGGTGTTTAAAATGGTGGCACAAATTCTGTGGCTCTCGTTAACTTCGGACCATTTCCTAGCAAACCTGGGGCCCCTGCAAACTGGAGAAAATGAAGCACTTCCTCAGAAGATTGTTGTAAGATTTTTTAAACTACCACAAGGCAGCCATGAGACAAAAGAATGTGAGGGAAAAGGGGAACAATTCAGAAACCAAACTCTCATTCTTCTTTATTCTAACTGCCCTTGACCTTATTTTGACCCAAAGACTGATTAAAAAATGACAAATAGAATGATGTTTTAAACACTTTTGACCTTAGTTTTCTGTGCCAGTGACATTTATCTATATAAATACACTTTCCCCCTTAACCTGATTCTTTAATAGCAATTTTTCACAAAGTCCTTCTTTGGGCTAGATTTATATAAAATTCAAAAAGTCAAATGAATTTTCTGCCTAGGAAAAAGCATTTAAATTATAATTTGTAGTTCCAATGAGTTGGCAGTGAAACTGGGGCCATGATATAGTGCCAGCAGCAATGGAGATGGGGCAAATCTTATCGTATTAACATCAAACCATTTGGCAATAATTTCAAAAGTTACAAAAATATTTGAAATCCGTAATTACATTTATAAGAATGTATACTGGGAAAATTTTCAAAATAAATTCAAGCTATATGCATGAATGTGTTCACTGCACAGTTATTCACAGCAGTGAAAATCTGCAAACAACTTACATGCCCATTTATAGGCGATGGATAAGAAAGTGATAGTTAATTTTATGCCATCATTAATATCATGGTTGCTATGTTGTAATTAAGGGAAAGCTCCTTGATATATTATCAAACAGAAAGAACATTAATAAAAAAAATCTAGGTATAATATTTACAATGTTGTATTAGTACAGTCTTTATACAAAGACTTTGTATATACACAGACTGACAGTGAGCCAGAGAAACAAAAACAGCTGTTCTTTCAAAAATGAATTATCTTTAATATTATTAAAAATAAATACAGGGAGACCTTCTGCTATCATGGAAAAAAAGAGAGAGAACGGGAGGAAAGAAGGAAGGGAGGAAAGAAGGAAGAAAGGGAGGGAGGGAGGAAGGAAGAAGGGAGGAGGTACTAACACCACTCATTCCAGTCCAACTGACATTACACTGGGGAAGTTAAACTAAAGCCCTCTCTACTGTCCACGGTTGGAATAATGTGAAAATAACAGTCACCAGTCACCTTATAAAAAACTGCCTAGGGCTGGGCACGGTGGCTCACGCCTGTAATCACAGCACTTTGGGAGGCTGAGGCGAGTGGATCATGAGGTCAAGAGATCAAGATCATCCTGGCCAACGTGGTGAAACACCGTCTCTACTAAAAATACAAAAATTAGCCAGGCGTGGTGGCACGCACCTGTAATCCCAGCTACTCAGAGGCTGAGGCAGGAGAATCACTTGAACCCGGGATGTGGAGGCTGTAGTGAGCTGAGATCGCGTCACTGCATTCCTGCCTGGCAACAGAGCGAGACTCCGTCTCAAAAAAATAAAAAAAAAATTAAAAAACTGCCTAGTGGAGCAAAGTGCAAAAAACAAATAATGATCTCCGAGCCAGGTGTTAGGCTCCTCTGCAATGGGTTTTCAAGCACAGCTGTGGGTGTGTAGAGGTTAAAGGAAACGGCTCCAGCAGTCAGACTCTGTTCATCTCCTGTGTGCTCCTCCCCGGCTTCCGGAACAACCCTGACGAAATGGCCATGCCCAGGTTTGTATGCAGCGTTGGGCCCCATGGTCCTGCAGACACTGGGGGCTCACCCTGCAGGCTGCCCCCTGCACTCCACAAACACCCAGACCAAGGGAGGTTCCGGCCTTGAGAGAAGAGAAGCATCCACAGCCACCTTTTATAGTGCCAGGCACCGTGCTAGGGATTGTACAGGTCTGATTTTATTTCATTCTCACAACACGCCTTTCTGGTAGATTCTATTTCATGCCAATGTTACAAGCTTGAATTGGAGACTTAAAAGATGTTGAGTGATTTGCTGAGGACCCAGATAATACCTGGCTAAGCCTGTGAATCTCAGTCTCCCTGCCCTCAGTATCTAAACTCAACTCACAGTGTGGAGACTGTTTTGGTTTCGTATCTCTCTTTTCTGTTCTAGGAAACAGCAAAATCATTCTTCGTGGATACCGCCTTCATGTGATATGATGAAGATGACCAATGAAAATCTATAAACTACTCAAAGCTCCCTTAAATGATAAACTGTAGAGGTGGGTAAGGATAATATACCCTTTAATATTAGATCTCACCAACATTAAGCTATCTTGATTGATGAAGTTTTGATTTCCTTTCATTATAGGAATTTTTCTCCAAATTCCTCTAAAATCTATGTAAAATGCTTAGTATGTTGACTTACTTGAATTGCTATAATAATTTTTAATATTTATTTATTTATTTATTTAGAGACAGGGTCTGGCTCTGTCACCTAGGCGGGAGTGCAGTGGCGTGATCACAGCTCACTGCAGCCTTGACTTCCCTGACCACAGGTGTGCACCACCATGCCTCACTAATTTTTGTATTTTTTGTAGAGACGGAGTCTCACCATGTTTCCCAGGCTGGTCTCGAACTCCTGAGCTCAAGTGATCTGCCTGCCTTGGCCTCTCAAAGTGCTAGGATTACAGGCGTGGGCAACCACATCCGGTCCAGTATAATGATTTTTAAAAGGTATCTTTCAATTCAGAGGACTCCCTAGTACTTGGGCTTCTCCCAGGTCTCCTGCAAAGCATCATGGCCAAACCATTAGTACACTAAGGAGAAAGTCATAGCATGTGCATGTGTGTGTATGTGTGCACATATGTGTATATGTGGGGATGTACGTGTGTGTGTGTGGGGGGAGGTGCATGTGTGTGTGTGTGTGGGGATGTGCGTGTGTGTGTGGGGGGGGATGTGTATGTGTATGTGTATGTGGGGATGCACATGTGTATGTGTGTGGGGGGATGTGCATGTGTATATGTGTGTGTGGAGATGTACATGTGTGTGTGTGTGGGGATGTGTATGTGTGTGTGTGGGGATGTACATGTGTGTGTGTGTGTGTATGTGTGGGTGTGGGTGCCAACCCAAGAATACATAAACAGTATACTTATTTTCTTGGGATCCAGAAGGAGATTTTGTTACTTCTTGAGCATAAGTTATGCAGCAGAGTTTGTCCCTCATGCTGTTTGTCACAGTATGTTTTGAGCACTTTATATACACTTTCTTAGAGAATTTTCATCAGTTCCATTGCACAGGCAAAAGAACAAGACACACACTTAAGAGAATAAAAGCAAAGACTTTAGCTTTCAAAATACCACAATTCTGCAATAAGCAGCCGGTCTGAGAGAATGTAACACATAACATTTGATTAAACGCTCTACAAGAGCACGTACCAAGAAGTGGGAGCAAGAGACTTTTATCCAGGGTGCAATGTGTAAGTAAACCCAGATTAAAAGAAGTAAGTAAGAGCTAAAAATTGAGAATAATCCTCCCAAAAATTGAGTGCAAGGGATGATAAGCTTCTTCAATAAGGAAAATCATAGGCTTTTTCTCTCTCAAGCTGTAGGAAAATGTGTTTTCCACGTTGGCACCTTTAACTCTAGAACTGTCTACAGGTTTCTTTGAAGGTTTTCAGGTTTGCCTCCCTCATGTCCCCCGGCCACTCGCTGCACATCTACGTCCTTACCATTTGGAAGCTTCGGGTCGAATGGAATTCACACTGCATCATATCAAAGAAGATGGGGATGGTGGCTTTGCGCAGCTCCGTCTCGGGAATTAATGTCATTTCTAATATTGGGCCCACCATTTCTGGAATGAACTTTATCTTGTGTTGACCTTGGAAAAAAGAGGTACAATATTCAGAAATAAAGAAAAATAGAATTCTAAAATGGGCTTAAATGGATAAAACAACACAACACAGATCACTGTGACTTTGAGCAGCAGGATCCCGAAAATGTGCATCCATTTCGCGTCTGCAGATGATGATTTTGAACTTTCCCAGCCATTAGTATAAGAAGTGGCCTGTATTCCACATGTTATAAGTGAAGCTCTTCAAAGATCCGCGCGGTATAAGCCTGTAATCATGACTTCTCTGTCAGAGAAGATGAACACTGTTTTATAAGTAGCCAGTTCCATCACACAGATTCAGAACACATGCAGCTAATTCCCAATTCTGAATAGAGCAGGGGCTGCGAGTCGGGGGTCTCAGCCTCTAACTCTGTGCACAGCGACAGGAACAGGAGCCGACAAATGAGAGAGAGCAGATAGTCTCTTGAGTCCTCTTTATCTCCCACATCTTATGAAGATGAGTTTGCTATCTGACACCTCTGTAAATAATGCAGGGTGATTTCTGCAACATGCCAAACGACTCCAATCAAAGTAAATCAAGGCGCCGGAATCTGAGGCTGAAACCCTAAAAACAGCAGTGATTCTACCTTTTCGAGCTATTGTTTGATAGGAAAATGCTTATTTAAATAACTACTTTAGGCCGGGTGTGGTGGCTCACGCCTGTAATCCCAGCACTTTGGGAGGCCAAGGCGGGCAGATCACGAGGTCAGGAGATCGAGACCATCCTGGCTAACACGGTGAGACACCGTCTCTACTAAAAATACAAAAAAATCAGCTGGGCGTGGTAGCGGGCGCCTGTAGTCCCAGCTACCTGGGAGGCTGAGGCAGGAGAATGGCGTGAACCTGGGAGGAAGAGGTCGCAGTGAGCCAAGATCACGCCAGTGCACTCCAGCCTGGGCGACAGAGCAAGACTCTGTCTCAAAAAAAAAAAAAAAAAAAAAAAAAGAACTACTTTATTAATCTCATTTCACCTATCTTGTTCCAGATATGATTTTTAAAGAACTCAGAAAAATGTTTCTCAAAAGTTTTTCAAATGTGAATAATACTGAATATGATCATATTAGTTAGCATTTACAATTTACATGACAAGCTCAAGATAAAGCATCATCTCACTGAATTTTCACGGTAACCTTACGAGATGGTTACCTTCTTAACCTGTTAAACAGACGAGGAAAGTGGGCTGTACCCAAAGCTGTTCTGTGAGCTGTTCAGAGAAGTGGAGAAGCAGGATTTGAACCTGGGTCTGAGATTATGAAGGCTTAGCTGTGACCCTCATTTTACAAATTCCTTCCCTGTTTGCTTGTCTCAGGATCTTTGCATGGCACTCGGACCCTACCCGACTCTCTGAAAGAGAAATCGTTTGAGCTGTCCACTCCCTTATTTGTCCCCCCTAATTGCAAAATGAACAGAGAGGTCAGTGATCTGTCATTTTCCATCGTTTTATCCCTCACTGTTGAGACATCACAATGCTAAATAAGCCCCCAGAAGGTAGAGACTGGCTTCTCACAAGCACTCAATTTATGTTTTTAATTTCAATGGTTTTTGTTGGAAATCTTGGTATCATACCTTCCTGGGTCTCTGTCGCTGACTTAGAAAGATGCTAGCGCAGGATCACCATCAGGAAATCTGGCGACTGGGCAGAGCAGCTGGCAGCTGGGCCTGATGTGGTGGCCAGCCCCTCCCCCTCCTGCTAGTTGTGGGTTGGCCGCCATTGTGCTCACCCCAGCCGGGGACCCCATATCCTGTGGGTGCGTGGCTGCGGTACTCCTGAGGATCAGGGTGAGCTCCTAAAGAGCTTGAAGTGAACCAGGCAAGTTCAGAGAGATGGGAGAGGGAGGAAACCACAGCAACTGCCAAGCTTCTTTCACTGCCTGGACACTGCACCTCTGGAATGAAGCTCCTGGAAGACTCCTTTCTAAAAATGGGGCTGCGAACCTTAGTTAAGGTGACATAATGAAACTCAGAGGCAGGTCCTATCAAAAAGGTGATCTTTTAAAAGCTGACCCTCTTGTCTTTCAGAAATCTTGATTTTGTTTTCATTTCACCCCACTGCAACTAAAACCATTTCATTTCCAACATATAACAGAAGAATGCCTGAGAAATTAAATGTTTGAATAAAATATGTGCAGTATTTTAACACCAGCAATGTATCCCGAATTAACCAATCTTATTAATATTTCTACACAATCAGGAAACCAAATTCTTTAGTTTTCTTTGCAACTCAGTGAATATACATTTCTGTAAAGAGAATCATTAAAGAAATGTGGCTACTATAACGATACTTAAGAGAATACGTAATCCTCATAATTAGACTGAATTACTTTTTATTGGGTGGACATACACACAAAATGTAATTAACATCTTATTTTCAACTTTTACTAAATAATTAATATTTTGACTAAGGCTATCATTGTGTGATTCTCACCACTTTCCCAAATGCTTAATGTTTCTGAAAGTCCTGTAACTGCTGCAAAGCATTCTCTTGAAAATGCTATTATATTCCATCTCTCAGGTGACACTTTCCTTGTATTATGCCTAAAAAATGTCAGAGCCAATGTTTCAGAAAACAGATGATGGTGACAGCGAGTTGTTCATCAACCACAATTTCAGCGTCATAAAGTTCTGTCTGTCACCAACAGGTTTTATTGTTCCAAGCTGGGAAAAACATAGAAAGCAGTCACAAGTGGTTGTAGAAGCAGGGATTGGAAAAAGAAGCTACCAAAACGACAGTAGCTTAACCTTTTATTATCACCCTCCTTATTAGTACAGAAGACACACTGGCCTGGAGCTGGTACTGGGTTCTATGGATAGTGACAGCCCTGGGCACTGACTCTTCGTAAACCAGTGGTCCCCAAGGTGAGCAGGAGTGGGTGGGGAATGTTCTCTGGTAGCCACCTTTTTTTTTTTTGACATTTGCATTATAGATTTCCCCTGGAGCATATCTTGCTCAAATTTAATGATGAACTCAGGTTTGGAACCAATGAGGACCAAGGTGACTCCTGCAGTGTAGACTTAAAGAAAAAGAGGACACACTTTTGAGCCAAAGGAAGGTGACGAGGAGAATATTTTACTTCCAGTCCTTGCCGGTCTCATAGCCCATCTAGAGTCTATTTTAGTTACAGAACGTGGAGCTCTTTCCCCTGGGAACAACATCTTGTTTTCTCACGAAGCCAAGGCCTCCCTAGTCAGAAGCCTCCCTGTGGGTGTTTAAATTATCTCTTTGCAATCACTGGTGTTCAAAAATCTGGGACATTAAACATAGACTTATCCCAGAAAAATCTCTGTATACACAAGAGCAGGCAGAGCAAAAGCTTCCACCACCTGGCCACACCCATTAGGCCACAATGTATACGGGTTTTAATGAAAAGCACACAATTTGCCCAGTCGCCAAAAAACACCCATGAAGGGAATCCCTGCATGAAAAATATCCCAAACCCAACGCGGTGGATAAAGATCTTGCTCCAAGCACATTCGTTCTGGCTGGCTGGGGTCTAGTGCTCGCTCCAGTGTGCTGGATGTAATAAACAAAATGTAAATTGAGGCGGCACAGGCAAGGAGATCAGGTGCTCCGGCAGGCTGCTGCACAGAGTGCGCTTTGATAAATAACTCAGGAGCTGGGTAAATAAGCACATTTTCCCCCCTTTTTTCTTTTGAGAGAGAGCCTGCTTTTGATTTCCCCTTTCAGACTCAAAATATGACAGGTTTGGGAGGGAAAGAAACACATCACTCTGTCCCATGGGGCAGTGCCATGTTTGCCCTTGCATTAAATTGAGCAAAACAGACCCCAGATCCTTGCTCTGAGGCTGGGCAAGGAGGAGGCAAGAGCTGAGATGCTCCTCTCTATGGGCCATGCATACTATTGGAAAGACTGAAGGAGGAGACTCATGGAGCATTCAGCTGAAGGTCTGCTCAAGTGACAGTTTATTAATTGTAAGCAGATAAATAGATCTGATTTCCATTTCTATTTTCTTGGCAGAGTCGGTGCTATCATCCTGCCAATATGTTCCCAAACCTGCACCCATTTACAAAAAGTAAAATTAAAATAAAAAAAAAAAAACTATGTAGAAAGTAGGTTGTATACATCCTGGGAAACTGAGATGTGCTGTCATAAATTTGGAGTGTGACAGCCTTGGCAAAGACACTCAGGCACCTGGCACCATGGCAGGAAGGAGGCCACCCCGTGGTGCTATCCTTAGCCATCCTGAGGGGCTGCTTGGGGAGGATCCTGTGGGCTGCAGGTGCTTTTAAGATCACCTCCCTCACTTTGAAAGATAACTTATTTTACCAGCAAGGAACCCAAGTCTGGTGGCTGACTGTTACTTCTTGTTGTTTCCAAGTCCCTGACCCTAATTGGCTTTGGTTTACTTTTGACCTCTTGGCCGCTTCTCAGGCCACAGTCAGTGTTCCTGGCTAAAAAGCTGCAAAACACACACCTCATGCATTAATCACCATATTCAAATCAGCCACTGATAGGAGGGAAGGGGGGAGCTTGCTCACTTCACTGCAACCTTTTCCAAATCAAAAGTCTCCTGTCGCTTGACTTGGCCTATCTGGAGCATGACAGATAACGTCAAGAGAACCAAGTGCTCTGTGTCAGACCCAAGTGTATCCTCAGAAGGCCAGGCCTGCCCAAGCACTTGGAGAGGGCACGCGGAGAAACTCACCCTTTCTGGGCCCGCCTTTCCTTCCTTCATTGTTATCATGGCACGTAGCACAAATTGAAATGGAGCCACTTTCAGTGGTGATCAATCTCAGGGACTACAGAGGTGACATTAACTATACTTGCAAACAAAAACAAAAACAATCCCAAATCAGAAAACTAGAAAGGCAGGAGCACCCATCAGTCAGGGTGACCTCTGGCCAGCTGTGGCTCGAGCTGAGTTTTAGAGGCTCCCTTGGTGCTAGGCAATGACCTTGGCACATGGAGAGCAGTGGAGGATCCTGGGGGTGCTCAGGGGCCAGGGTGAGTCAAATGGTGGCTGCAGTTGTGTACGGGGAGAAGGAAGCATTTCAGTATGTAATGACCCATCAGACCCTCCGCTAGGGTGGTGTCTCTAATTATCATAAATGATGTGAAATGTTACCGAGCCATTCCAGAATGAGAACCTTCATTTGAAAGTATATGTGCAAGTGTCCTCTTGGGGGAAATAGGCAATTCCCTGTCTATACTTTAGAGTTGAAATGGAACAACACAGAAGAAAATGGACTCACTCTTTTAGGAGGGGCCAGGGTAAAAGATGGCCTCAGAGAGAGCCTGTGTCCAGAGAAGAGGTCTGGGGTCTGCCCTGAGAGCCCAACTGTGGCAGGTGGAGCTCATATCACCTCCTTCATGAACGTTGGTGCCTATAAAAGTCCTGGACTCACTGAGTTCCAACAGAGAACAGCCCCCCTCCATGCCATTGCTGTGAAAGCCCTCCCCCGTCTCCTGCCTCTCTCTCTCTCTCATGGGACCACACTGGGTCCCTGCCTGGTGTGGGGCCTGCCGTCTGGCCTAACAGAGCAAATGACAGATGCATCTGTCAGAGCAGGATTTTAACAAAGAACACAGAGAGATCAATTGGAATGAATCACGGATGGTCCTCCTCCCTGTTCTAAAAGCCTTAGCACGTTATTACTGAGATCATCGTATATATATGTCATAGAATTATTGAGTTTTGGAATTGGAAGGCTCTTGAAAAATTCAGTCCAACCACTTTATCTAACGGCCCAGAAAGACTGAGCCATGTGAATCAGGCCTCACGGGGAGGCAGGAGTGGGAGAGGATGAAAACTTCAAGGTGGGACTTATCATCTCTCTTGACTCTGAGCCTAGAGCCCCTACCTTCCTCCCTGGGATGGCAGGAAGGCCAAGGACAGGATGGTGCCTGGTAGGTATCATGTTGCAGAGATCAGCAGGCCCTTTGACAGCTGAGACCCAGTACTCAGATTCTGGACATAGGAGCTACTGCAGCAAAATCATGTGCAGAGACCTAGCACAGAGCTTCCTCGAGGAGTCCTCCACTGACTCCAGGACTGACACGCAGAAAGGATGCAATGGTGCAGGTTCTCTTTGTACTGGGAGGGCACAGGCAGACAGGGCCACTCTGACCCGCTCTTCATCCCCACCCAGGAGCATCTGCTGTGGCTTTCCATTCCTGAGAACCTAACTGGGCCTCATGTCAAACCAAAGAATGGCAAGGAAGATGCAAAAGCAAACAGTGAGCTAGAAGTGAAGCGTGGCTCGCTGGGTTCTGCTTCTTTCTTGCCATGCTCTCCAGCCACTGCAGGGAGTCACAGCTGCTTGGGAAGTAAGCAGGCTGGGGTGCAGCTAAGTTGTCCCAACCCTGGTGCAACAAGTGAAACCCTAATGCTACGAGGCTAACAGAGTGATGCGGACAGACCCCTGCCTCCTTCTAGTAGGAAAAGATTCTCTGAGGTAGAGGGGAGAGTGGAGGGTTTCTTGCAACAGGCCAATGCAGGCTTCTCGTGTCCATTTGAAGGAAGGAAGCAGAGGCCTGGAGATCCTGGGGCAGAAAAGCAACTGATGCTTTGCTCAGGACTGAGGCAAGGCCACCAGCACCCCATGGCCTAGGACACCTCGGCACAAAGCAAGCCCGAGGGCTGACGGCAGGAGCCAGAGAGAGCTTCATCTCAACGAGGAGTGAGGCCAGATTCCTAGAGGGTAGTGTAAAGATGCTGGGAAGATACCAAGTTATTGTCAGTCATTGATTTCTTGAAGGGGCTTATCTATAAGAATTACATGTCACATTGGTTAAAATTTTAATAGAGAATTTATTCTTACTGTTCATGATAAAAGTAGTTGGAAAAAATTACTTAATTTACAAATAAACTCCTATTAATTTCATATACACACACAGACCCTTCACTGCTTTGAGTGCAGGAGCATGTTAGGCTGCCACCAGGTAGATCTGGTTTTGAGGAGGGGAATTAACCCTTTAGAAGGCAGAGTCTGTAAAACTGAATATGGTAAGTGATGGCAAATGTCACAGCAGGATGAGCTTCCTATTTGACGCAGAAGGAACTGAGGCAACTGAGGGAGGGAGGCAACACCAGGGAGGGAGGAGCTCCAAGCCACGTGTCCACACAACACAAGAGGGTGCTCTGTGGATTTTTCTTTTTGCCCCACCCGTGAGATTTTCTTTCCTTGCCTTTGGTCTTCTATCTCTTAATTCCTGAAAACAGTTACTACAAAGAGTAGCAACTGCTGTCCAAGGAACAGAAGCCATTAAGATCTTAAGACATCCCAACACTGATGAACACGGCCAGTGCCATGACCCACCAGGGATGCAAGATATTCACTATGCCCCCACATCCAGGCTACTCACCAAGGTTGTACCACATGTCTCTGATTTCAAAGCCAATCTGTCTCCTCATATCTCCGTACCTGGAAATCAGGGAAAAGAAAAACGCTGAATCACTCCGGAAGGCATTTGAAAATCGGACTGGAATTATTTTTAAGTGCAATTAAAGCCTTCTAGCACTGAGGCAAATAAAGAGAGTGTCAAAGCTTCAACTTCTCTTGCCACCAAAATGAATCAAAGGAGGAGGAATCTAGCTGGGGGAAATCTCACTTTCTCATCACTGAGGGTTACACAACATCTTCCCCCCGGTGGGAACGTGGAGGAACTTGTGGAGAGTCATGAAAGCATTTCCCTTTCTTCAATCTCTTGGCTCCTGGGCCCAAGGGGGAGCTTGGTTCCATGCATGTCGTTAGCGTCTAGGCACTGCAGACACCACATAACATCCTACTGCACACAACAGGTTGCTTTCCAAAGTTAAAATTAAATCCAGAGTCAGGGCAGACCTCTTCCAAAGTTCTTGCATTCCTCTATGTCATTTTAAATGTAAGGAAGGGCTTAACACCAAAAGATGCCAACAAATCTTCCACTGTTTTTGTTTATCAGGGAAAATAAATGCTAATTTTCCTCTCGATGGGTGCATAGAGGAGGTGTGTGTTTCATGAGTAAACAGAATTTGATGCTCCAGAAGATAAACCTTTATTAGTTTGTGAGCAATTTAACTTTTTCTTTTATTGCCTAAGGAAAAAGCTGATATTAAAAATAATAATTTGCAAAATTATCATACAGGATTACAGTTGAGCAGCTGTGTCATCGAGCCTGCTCTGCTCATCCTCGTGTCAGGAGATGTGAGAAGGAAAGCACTGATTACAGAAGAGCGCACTGTGGTTCTTGAGGCGAAGATCCTGGCCGGTAAATCAACAACCGCGGCCAGCTGCCACCTTATTAGAGAAGACTCTGGTGCCCTAAGCACCTGTCTGTCACTCACGGCATGAGTGGGCTACAGCCAAGAGTGATCATCTCAACCACAGAAGATCAATCTCACCTGGCAGCTCTGCTGTGGTGCGTGGGAGGCCATGCGCCTTGGCCCACAGTGCTGGTGAAGAAAAGGAACTGGAGCCTAGGCCACTCCCTACCAGGACACGCTAGCTCTAAGCGCAGCCCTAAACCAGGTGAGCACTGATGCAGGCAGACTCGGTTAAGGAGGGGGCATCTCAGCTGGGGAGACGGCCCAGCATTGAGGCCATGGTAGGAGAGGCCCGTCCATGGTTGGGGAAAGCACGCAGGCAGCAAAGCTACTGGACTTGGGTGGGTGGGAGAGAGGAAAGCGCCCTGCATAACTCACGCCCCCCAATTGCCCAGGAAACACACGACCTGAACACTGCTTGGAGGCTTGTAGTGCTGGCTCCCCCATTCCCATTTTGCTCCTGCACTAATGACAAAGGGATCCCAGCAGCTGCTGCGGCCAGGGCTGGGAAAGGATGCAGTTGGCTGCAGGGTGACCTGGCAGGCTGACGTCCTTGCAGCATTTCCCAGGGGTGGGACACACAGAAAGCAAAACTGTGGTGAAGCCCTGTTCTAATCTTTCCTCTGAGGTTGGTGAGGTTCTCGATGTGCAGGTGGGTGAGTCCCCTTCCAGCCAAGCAGGGGTTGGACAAGCCCAGGAAAGTGGCATCAGAAAGAGGTGGCCCCCCTGAACACAAACACCCCCTGCGCCCATGTCCCCCAGCAGAGGTGAAATGCTCACAGTGGGATCGGCCTAGCATGTACTGACCCACTCAAGCTCTGCACATGCTTCTCACATCCCAGCTACACAGAGTTCTTCTCATTCTGGGATGATTCCCTCAAAATAGGAAGGCCCAGGCCAGGTGCGGTGGCTCACGTCTGTAATCCCAGCACTTTGGGAGGCCGAGGCAGGTGGATCACCTGAGGTCAGGAAGTCAAGACCAGCCTGGCCAACATGGTGAAACCCCGTCTCCACTAAAAATACAAAAATTAGCTGGGCGTGGTGGCACATGTCTGTAATCCCAGCTACTTGGGAGTCTGAGGCAGAAGAATTGCTTGAACCTGGGCGGCGGAGGTTGTAGCGAGCTGAGATCTCGCCACTGCACTCCAGCCTGGGCGACAGAGAAAGACTCTGTATCAAGAAAAAAAAACTGGCCACTGCTAGGCTGAACTTCATCAGTGTCTGTGCCTTGCTGGCCCCCGACTCAGTTACTTCTCTCAGGTCCCAGAATGATTAGAATGATAATGATCCCAGGGAAATCCTAAAGTTCAGACATCCTAAAGTACATGATACTCAGCTGCAGTGGATTTTCCACTTGCGGTTTGGGTAATTCAGGAGTGACTTGCTGTGTTTCCAGAGCTGGCACCACAATCTGGATTTGGGAGGCCAGGTGCATCCGCTCCTCCCCATCCTCTTTGCCCCTCCCCACCCCTCCCCGCTCCTCTTCACCCCTCCCCGATGCTTCCCACCCCTCCCCACCCCTCCCCGATGCTCCCCACTTCTCCCCACCCCTCCCCACCCCTCCCCGATGCTCCCCACCTCTCCCGGATGCTGCTCCTCCCCACCCCTCCCCGATGCTCCCCACCCCTCCCCGCCTCCCTGCACAGTGCTTCTCCCTTGGGTGGTGAAGGAGGCTGAGGGGTGAGGGATTTCCATTCTCAGATAGACTTTACTGTCCTGTAGGTGGAAGATGACAGTTGCTGGTAGTATTTGAGAACTGGGGGATTAGCAAGGATACAAGAGCCCACCCCTCAGGAGAGCCGGGCCTGCGGGCATCAAGGTGCTAAAGATGCGGTTTTAATTGTCAAATAGGACAAGGGAGCAGCAGCAGTGAGGAAGAGTGGGGAGCTGTGAGGGGAAGGGCCGGCTGGAGGTCCCTGGCAGTGAGAGGGATCTTTTCCTTGGTTTTAATAAGAAGGGAGCTTTGATGAATCTATACATGCCCCAGAGTAATCCCCAAATAAAGTCACAGCTGTCACCAGACCTCAAGGGGGCTTCCCAAGCCATTTCTTAGTTCTTCCCATGGAGGAGGAAAAAAGGATAATTGAGAGCGTAGGGCTAATAAAGCTTATTGCCTGGAAGCAGAACCCCGGGCTGGTGGCAGTCCTGGGGACCATAACTAAGTTCCTCTCTAGCAATAAACAGCCAAGGGGACTGCACTAGTCATACAGGAGAGAAGCAAAATGACATGGCCATCCTCACCGGGAAGGAGAGTAGAGAATCCAAGTCCTCAGACTCCCACACCCACAGCACGCACCCCCAGGACAGGGACTTTCCATGCCTCCACAGCACGACACAGCGTCACATCTTTCAAAGTGCTTTCCTTTCACTTGATTTTGGAATAAGACTATGAGCTGAGCAAGCTGACATTTCTGTGCCCATTTTCTCAATAAGAGCTGAGATTCACAGTGGGGAACACACATGCCCGACTCCACCGAGCCAGGATGGCCTAGAGCTGGGGTCACCGTGCTCTGCCCAGAGCTTCTTACCTGAGCCCACCCACGGTGTGAGTGAGCAGGAGAACCTACGCTTAGGAGGCACACTTCCTATCGTCCAGGGAGATCTGGGATCCCACATCCAGGCTGTAACCCGGACATAAAATCGTGTGAATTTGGTCCCTGTGGCCTAATCTTAGCACCTGGTTTCTTGCACCTTCACTCCAAGAAACATACCCCCGAGTGATAGCTCAGGCTTGGGGGTAAGGCCAGCCTGAGCCTGAATCTAAGCACACCGGGCAATTTACTTGACCACTCTGACCCTCAGTCTCCTCATCTGTAGTGCTGCCAGAATGGTGCATGGTGCTCAATCCTAGGCTTTTGTGAACAACAAGAGAGTGATGATGTCCCTGTCTATCTGGCAAGCACTGGAGCCACTCTAGGTCCTTCCTTTAAAATCTCAGGCTGGGCACAATATTCCTCTCATGGTTGCAATGGTCATTTAGATCGATTCATTTAGTGAACATTTATTGAGCACTTGGGCCAGACACAAAGCTAATGTGGAAATATGAATATTCATATTGGAATATTAATATTACTATGATATGGAGAACAGACAAGACTCACAAACCACAGTGGGCTATGAGCATGGTAGGAGAGACGAACATTAATAAAATAATCACACAAGATAAACACGGATAGATACATAGAGGAATTGTTTCTGCAAAAGCCAGGATCATGGCTTTATAGGGAAAACATGGGAACTGTGAGAAAATGTAACAGTGGGCTCAGCTTGGCTCTGGCAGGAGTTCTCTAGGACAATAATATTTGCTCTGAGATTTGAAGGAGAGACGAAATCTGGACGAAGAGGGTAGGGAAGAGCATTCTGGGCAGGAGGACCAGCAGGCGCCAAGGCCCCATGGCAGGGAGGGAGTAGGGGAGTGCCTGGTGGGTGGGGCTACAGAACACAGAGCTGGCTCCTGTTTGAGAGACCAGGGGGTGAGGGGTGCACCGTGAGCAGAGGCTGCAGGAGGCAGGTTTTTTTTAAAGCGTCCCCGCTGCCGCCACTTTTTTTTTAAGTTTCATAAACTTTTCTGACATAAAAAATACATGTATTAACCAGCACATATATTAATATACATGCATGTGTATAAAGTTTTATGAAATGATGCTTAACCTTACTGCCTGCAATGAATGCTGATATTTTTTCCTAGATTCTATTTCACTGAAAAAAGAAAAGAAAAGTCTATTGGTCATGACTAGTGTGGGTTGGATTGTCTCCCCTTTAAAGCTATGTTGAAGTCCTAAACCCTGGTATCCATGACTGTGACCTTATTTGGAAATAGAGTCTTTGCAGATGTACTCAAGGTAAGATGAAGTCATACTGGAGTAGAGTGGCCTCTAGATCCAGTGACCTCTGTCCTTATAAGGAGAGGGAGATTGAGAGACACAGACACATAGGAAGACACAAAGAAGAAGGCCACAGGAAGATGGGGCAGGGATTGGAGTAAAACAGCCACAAGCCACGGAATGCCAAAGACCGGGGCAGCCACCGGAAGCCAGGAGAGAGGCAGGGAATAGCTTCTCCCTCAGAACCTCCAGAAGGAACCAACACTGCCCACACCTTGATTTGGGAATTCTGCCCTCCATAACTGTGAGACAATCAATTCAAGCCACCCGGTTTGTGTTCACTGTTATGGCAGACCAGCCTAGGAAATGGATATGATGGCCCTTTAAGTGAATATTCTGACCCAATCAAAGGTTGAGACCTGCAGTTTGAAAAATGCTTTCCTAAGGAAAGAGAATAGAGTGTGAAGGCCTAAGACCAAGGTGTGCGGAACCCCCACCGCCACTTGATGCTGGGGTGCAGGGGTAGGAATCTGACAAGAGAGAGCAGACACCAAAAAGCTTGGAGAAAAGCTCAGGAGAGTCCTGAGAGCGAAGAAAAGCATGTTCTGAGATGGAGGGAAAGAAGAAACATGTTGAGGATGTGGGGAGAACATCTAGGGAGCTGAATACCCTCCATCTGCTTGGGGGCAGCCAGGACCTGGCTGAGGTTCTGGGGCAATGCAGTGCCCAGAGCCAGCATCGGAGTGGGTGGGAGGTGGGGAAAGGAGACAAGGAAAGGGCTGAGATGGACCTAAAGGAAGCTGGAGGGAGCTCATGGCTGGGGTGAGGCATTTTTAACTTCATGGGAAAGACTGGTGGGTTCCTAAAGAGGTGAGAGGGGGTGGGACATCAAAAACAACACCACCGGTGCATGTGGGACACAGTGAGCTTTTCTGACTTGAAGTTGGCACAGGTCACCACTTGTTAAGTCTAACTCCCTGAGTCTCCTTCTAATAAGTGAATTTAATTTTGAATAATTTCAGTCTCTTGAAAAAAATGAGCACAGACACAAATTAAATTGATCGTATCTCCTGTTATAATCAGGAATATACAATTGCAGCTTCTGATTAGGTCACGCTGCAAAACGGCATGCATGGCATGTTTATTTCCTGTTAGTTTCCTTAAAGGTAGTATCTAGAGTTTGACATAATCTTCTGGAGAAGATTCTGCAGAACCCAGTGTTTGGTCAGATGGGGATATTTTGGTCCCATTGTGAAACCTATCCTCTTAGAACACTGCAGACTTCTATAATTACAAAAAAACAAAAACAAAAACAACCCACCCACCCCGCCAAAACTGAAAACAGCCTAGGGACCAGGTGGGGAGGTCTTTGTGGATGGTCTCTCTGCACTGAGCTGGACTTTGCCATCAAACTTAACCTCTTGCGCTGAAATTTTAAGTGAGCATTTTATGCTTAGATATGTGGGAGGCCCAATTCATGAACCCTGTTCCTCTTCCGGTCCTGAACACAGAAGCTCCTTTGCAGTCATTCAACACACTGTCCCACACCAGGATGCACGTGTCTTACATAACAAAATTATCAAGCTGGCTGCTAATCAAAAGTCATTCCTTTTACATTTTAGACATATTTCCTGCACCCCAATAATGTAAAAAAGGCTAGGGGGCTGGGATGGGAGGAAGAGCTGCTGGTCAGGCTTAGAATTCTGTTGACATCTCTGTCCTTCCTTGGGAGTCACTAGCACCAAGGATGTCTGAAGGTTGAGCCAGTTAAATTTTCATATTATGGACTTGATTCCTAGGGGTTATTTATTTTGTGGTACACTGGCGAATCTCATACTCAATTTGGGTCTGACATAATCAGTTCTCTGCGTGGTATGGCCCATTCTTTTATTTACTCCCATGCACTTTGGGGAATGTCTTTAGAATGAAAATCCTAATTATCTCCCCAACCTCAGTCATTAGGAGGATGGAGCAGGCAGGTTTCCTGATGCTGGAATTTCTATTGTTTTGAGCCACAAAGCTGTGGACCAAGCAGATGTGAGGAGCTGCAAGGGCTTAGCAAGGGGGAAGGGAAGGGATGGGAAGGGAAGGGAAGGGAAGGGAAGGGAAGGGAAGGGAAGGGAAGGGAAGGCTGAGGGGTTGGGGATGCTCCCTCAGATGCCTTAGGTTGGATTCACAAGCCCTAGAGTAAGAGACAGGCCCCAGATGGAGGCAGTGCTGAGCCTACTAAGTGGGTGTGTCATGGCTCCACCTTTATACCACATGCCTTTCCCCCGAGAAACAGACAGGTGCATGCATCAAGCTCCACGGGGCTCCAAGTCAGCGCCCATCGTTTGCCCAGAGTGTGAGGTTGACTCCCAGACCACGAGCCCCCACACCCCGCCCCAAGCTCCAAGCTGCTCCCTTACACTTCGACAACCCAGATCATGTCTCTGCTCATATGTAGATGGCGCCATGCCCTTTGGCACTCGATGTCCCGTGGCAAACCTCTCAGCTGCCTTCACCACCCAGCCGGGAAGCCCAAGCTGCCAGGAGGCCTCTGTCTCCCACGGCTGAGCCCCACGGGCCGTCTCCGGGCTGCCAAGGCCCTCCGTCACCACTGCATGCGTGCCCCACTCCACTCATGATTTTTGCTTCTCCATTTACCCCACTAGACCATGACCTTCTTCGTCACGAGGTCTGTGTCTTTGTCCCCGGCACCGGGACCATGGCCCGACTGAGCACAGAGTGGGCACTGAATCCCTTTTATGCGGACAATTTTAAACAAATCACATTTCTAGGCACTGTATGTGCCTGAGAAAATTTAAGCATTGGGGTAGGACATCGTCATGTATTTCTTATGCAGGTTTTGCTATTTAGAAATAAAATTTGCAAATGGACTATGAAGGGCTGAAGGCTTATCAAGTGGCATGAAGACTACAACAAATAGGGCTGACCCTCCACACGTGTGTGCCGCGTGGCCTGAAGGTCAAGGCAGTCTTATCTCAGGCTCCGGGGGCTTTGTCCTGGATCTCCTGTCACCTCCACAAGCGGAGCAGAACTCATGCCCCTGGAGAGGCCCCTCAGACAGCACAAAGCCCTGAGGCTGTCCTGCCAGTGTCTTGCAAAGACAACTTCTGAACTGCCTGGGGACTTTCCTGGGGGAAATCCAGAGTCTCCTGTTGCTATCGTTGTGACAAAGAGAATACGAAAGCCCTAGGCAGAGGCCCTGGGTGGCTCCTGAGGGGGCGACACCAGCTGGCTGTGTGTAATTTTCCGTGGCTTTGAAGATTCTGAATCCACGCCACTACGTGGGAAGCAAACGTTTTCTTTAGTAGCCAAGGCCCTTCGAGGTTAATGTTTTTTTTTCTTTTCGTTTTGGTTTTTGAGACAGACGGTCTCACTCTGTCAGCCAGGCTGGAGCGCAGTCGTGTGATCATGGCTCACTGCAGCCCCGACCCCCTGGGCTCAAGAAATCCTCCCACTTCAGCCTCCTGAGTAGCTGGCACCACAGGTGCGCGCCACCACACCTGGCTAATTTTTGTATTTTTTGTGGAGAAAGGGGTGTTGTTGTGTTGTCCAGGCTGGTCTCAAACTCCTGGACTCAAGTGATCCTCCCATCTTGGCCTTCCAAAGTGCTGGGATTACAGGTATGAGCCACCGCACCGCTGTTAGTGCATGTCTTGATGTTGCCTTAGGCTCTTAACGCTCACACCAACAGAAGGAAGGGCCCAGCACACAGCTGCCCTGCTGGGGCTTGCGGGGTGCTCGGCCCCACCACTAAGAAGATGCCAGCTCTTTTGAGGCAGATTTCCAGTTTAAATTCACCTCTCTTCTCCCGCAGGCATCTCCGAGGCCAGGAGCTGTGGCTGGGCTCGGGTCCCAGCTTCACCCAATAGCGGGCGCTGGACACTTGGGCAGGTGGCTTCACCTGCTGTGGCCGAGCTGTCCTTTTGCTGGACGGGACAACAAGGGGCGCGTGCTGAAGGAGGTGTGTCCGCACCTGGTGGATTACAGTGCGTTGAAGTGCGTTGTGCCGCACTGTGCTTTGTGTGTGTTGGTCACTACCGTCTGCACTACAATTCCCAGCACAAAGGCAAATCAACAAGAACAGCAACAATTACAAAGCACCATCCCTCCCTTCCCCTGGGCCCTGAGGGAGCGTGCATTCCACAAAGCAGGAGCCTGCGCCCCTGCTGAGCCAGTCTCCAGAAGATGCAGCCTGGAGAAGTCTGTCTCTTGATGCTGGAAGCCAGGACGAGCGACAGACACCTGTGCAGGCCCCAAGGTGGTGGGCTGCAGCTGCTGCGTGCCGCTTCGGTAGTCACAGGCGAGCACCCACTCTGCCTACACCATTCTCAGTGCTTGGCTCAGCAAGTGCATTTCTTGTTTCTGAACAATGATCACTGTTTACACAGATGGCTGTCAGGCAGGAATCACCCAGCTGAGGAGGCCTGAAGGAAAGATGGCCAGGTGAAAGGTGATCTTTACTTAGATAGGTGCAGACCAAAAGCTCGAAGGTTCTAAAAGCAGCCCAGGTGAAAATCGTGGGCCCTGAATCGCCTAGATTAGAATGCTGCTTTGCCACATTCTAGGTGTGGGACTGGCCAAGTGGCTCGGTCACTGTGTGTGACCTTCCTCATCTAGAAACTAGGGCAGATACGAGGGCCTAAGGAATGGTTTTGCTTTTTAATGATTATAGAAGAAAAATGCACATGAAATGCTTAGAAAGTCACTGACATAAAGTACAGGCTGAGTAAATGATTTGCTGAAATATACTCATGCTTTGCTTAATGACAGGGATATGTTCTGAGAAATATGTCACTGGGTGATTTTGTCGTCGTGTGAACGCTGCTGAGTGAACTTACACAAACTGAGATACTACAGCCTACTACACACATCGGCCATACGGTATAGCCTACTGTTACTAGTCTACAAACCCGTACAACATGTTTGTAATGTACCATGTGACTACAATAAATACCACAGGCAAATGTAACACAATGGTGAGTATTTGTGTATCTAAACAAAGAAAAGTTACAGTAAAAATACAGCATGTAGTCTGTGGTTATGCAGTACGTGACTATAATTCTTTCTTTCTTCTCTTTTTTTTTGAAAGGGGGTCTTGCCATGTTGCCCAGGCTGGAGTGCATGGCAATTCACAGGTATGATCGTGGTGCACTGCAGCCTTGACCTCCTGGGCTCAAGTGATCTTCCTGCCTCAGCCTCCTAAGTAGCTGGTATTACCACTACTGGCTGAGCACCAGAGCCCAGCTTATGACTATAATTCTTACTCTCCAGAGATGATGTGCTTTGGATTTGCCTTGAAAGTGAGATACAGACTCACAGGATATAAGAGCAGCTGCCACCTTCTGAAACTCTTTCTGGAATCTCTAACCTCAGCTAGCAGCATGGAGTTGGCCAAGCCTTAGAACAGTCGAGATATTGCAGAGGTATTTATAAAATGACAAACAGAGACTGATGACGTGGCAACACCAATGCAATTTCAGAACTCTTCTCAAAAGGACTTATGAAAGGAACACCGACAGCAGTGAGAAATTAGTGAAACGGAGGCAGAAAGAGACGAAGCAAGACCCTCCGGGTGTCCAAACAGGGGAAGGAAACCCATGCAACAATGGTGCTTCTTGATACTGAGTCATGAGCGGTGCATGATGCAAACTGGGGTTACAGAGCTGGAGGGGCCGGCAAGGATCTCGGCTTTCATGGAGCTTTGGAGAGGTTTATTTACAATGATAGAAGGTGCCGCTTCAGTCCATTCAAAGCTCCTGCCCGGAAGAAGACAGGGGTTATCTGCTGCCAAGAAGGAACCCCGATAGCTCTAACTCCCCAGTGAGCTGTTCAACAATCCCAATAGAGCCAAGAGCTTTCATCAGAAGCTCCTTTCGAATTGAAGAATTAAGCAATAAAGTCAACCACATGTGAAATGACATCAGAATAGTGCATAGCAAAAGGAATTATCTCCGGAAGCTGAAATTCTGTGTTGCACTAATAGTCTTGGATTACACTGACCTGGAACCTTCCAGGATGAGTCCTGCAATTTTAGATCTTGATTCATGGGTTAGAAAAGGCAATACCTGATTGGTGATTTAAAACCACCCTTTCATTACACCGTGATTACATCTCAATTTGTATCAAGTTGGCTTAGAAATGACATGAAAATTATGCGATTAGAGTTGGAGGCTCCTGCCTGCAGTTTCAGAGCTAGATGAGAACTTACTTGTTAAGGATTTTGGCTCTCTTGGCACTTGAAAAATTCTCCAGTTGCAGGGACTCTTGAGTAAGGAAAGCAACAGCCAGGTGAAAGTAGTTGTTCCACAGCTGAAAACCAAAAAGGAGGAGATGCTAAGTTGTTGAACAGCTTGATATAGGATCTCAACAATGCTCTCAGACATTTATCATTTGCTCAGCACACACTTCTGAAAAGTTAAAAAAAAAACCCACACTCACTCTATACATGTTGCTAACCAGCCACCCACGGTGTAATTCAGGCCTTAGCGTGTGGGCTCAGAGGTCACGGTGCACATATTCAAATCCCGGGTCTGCCATTTACTCAGACTCTAACCTCTCTCTGCCTCAGTTTCCTCATGGATAAAATGTGAATTTCAAGAGTATCTATCTTATAGGAGTGCTCAGAAGATCAAAGAAGTAAATATATGCACAGAATTTAAGGCGGTACAGAGCATGTGTAAGCACTTCATCAATGTTAGCTCTTTTTTATTGAGATGGAGTCTCCCTCTGTTGCCCAGGCTGGAATGCAGTGGCATGATCTTGGCTCACTGCAACCTCTGCCTTCTGGGTTCAAGCAATTCTCCTGCCTCAGCCTCCTGAGTAGCTGGGACTACAGGTGTGCACCACCATGCCTGGATAATTTTTGTATTTTTAGTAGAGATGGGGTTTCACCATGTTGGCCAGGCTGGTCTTGAACTCCTGACCTCAAGTGATCCACCTCCCTCAGCCTCCCAAAGTGCTGGGATTACAAGTGTGAGCCACCATGCCTGGCCAATGTTAACTTTTATTAATGTAATTATGAAGCTCCTCACTTAAGAATAGTATAGATTTCCATAATTTAGGACTCTTTACCCCCAAATCACACATACACTAGACAAGGAAAACAAATGTAAAGAGATCAAACATTTCTTCTTTCAATAAACCCATATTTCAAGGGTTTATGGACTACATATATGCGGTTTAAAAGACAACGGCCTTTAGAAGAAGAAAGTTGTAGGTCTCAGTTTTCTCATTTACAAACCAGGGATAATATGTATTATATCAAAGGAGATAGCTGCAAAGAGTTCTATAAAAATAAAGTGTGAACATTATATTGACTCTATTTTTAATTACCTGAGAAGTAAGGGGAAATTTAAGAGCATTTGTAGGATTTGAGAAAAGTCTGTTGGGCTTGCATTTATCCAACACTTCCCATGAACAGCACACTTTCTATAGTAATACACCAGCTCATTTGATCACCACAGAATAACCAAGTAGGTGCTGTTATCCCCATTGCAGAGCTGAGATTTAGAGACCAGCCCAAAGCTACAGGTAACACATGAAGCAGAATGGGGGTCTGAGCCAGGCACCCCCAACCTCAGAGCCCACAATGGGGCTCTCTTTTTTTTAGCCCCCTTTATAAAGAAAGGGGAGTGCCAGTCAATAAAATACAAGTCGTTCCTTTTGTTTTTGGGACTGACACCTCCCACCGATTTCAGCCTTGCCACAGCACCGGCAGGAATCACTGGCTGCAGCCACCTGTATTCTGAGAATCATGGTCAGGGGCTCAGCCAGAATAGGACCCATGCCTGCGAGGACTCACAATAGATCTTCATTTCTACCTGCTCCCTTTAACAACAACAGCAGCAGCAGCAGCAGCAACAACAACAGCAACAGCAACAGCAGCAGCAACAACAACAAAACACGAATGCTTCTTTTTAAATGACAGCTTCACCAACTCCTAATTCTTTCTTTTCCTACATAGGACCAGGGCTGCCTTTGAGCCAGAGCACTCATGGTGGTGACGGTGGTGTTTAAATTAAGATCTGTGCTGGGTACATGCAGACATGGGTCGTATGCTAGATGGGCCCCTGACTGTGACTCTCAGAATGCAGCCGACAGCAGGCAGCGATTCCTGCTAAACCCTCCTCAAACAACAATAAATATGTGTGTCACACCTGCCAAGGGGCGACGCTCGATGTGGGCCCTGAAGCACGTGGCTTGTAAGGTGTGCGGGCTCACGGTGAGAGTCCAAGGGGCCATCCTCATGAAACAGGACGAAAGCCAGGGAGAACCAACATGTTGAGAAACAGGCTCCCCCACCAGAGCAGCCACAACTAAAACACACGGGAATCTACCCAGCAAGTCATGTGTGAGACCTGACCTAGAAAAAAACCAGAAAAATGGCAAAACAAATACTTAAATAGTCTAGTATGAGATGGGGAAAAAAATACTGCAAAGTATTCCCTCAAATACCATAAACTTACTCCAAATTTATTTATCAATTCAATGGGATTCCAGCTAAAATCCAAGCAGTATGTTTTTAAAAGAGAAACTCAGCTATCTGATTTTAAACTCCAAATGGAACAGGAAATGCACAAAAACAGCCAAGATAATTCTGCAGTAGAAAACGAGTGGAAAAGTAGCGACTCTGCTAGCTGGGTACAAAGGTATAAGGATTAAGCCTCTAGGATAATAACACAGAAAATGGAATTTATACACACATACATTTATAATTATGTTAATTGTAGCATTTCCAATCATTGGGGAAAGAGTCATCTATTCATGAAATGACGTGGGAAAAAGTGAAGTTAGATCCTTACCCCTATACTAACTACAGAAATCCCAAATGGATTAAACACCTGAAAGATAAAAACAAAAACACAAAACCACACAGGTATTAGCAGATCCTAACTAACACAAAACAGTAAAATTTAGAAGTATATAATATTAAGGCAAGGAGAGATTTGCCAAGTAAAACATGAAACCAGATAGCTGTAAAAGAAATAACAGATTTCACTACAGAAAAATGAAATATTTCTATATGATAAGCCTAAACCCATGCCTAGCCTATATCAAGAATTCCAACTTATAAAAAAGACAGCCAAATACGAATGTTAGGAGAAGAAATGATCAGAGAATTCACAGCAGAAACCCACATGGCCACTAAGTATTCTTAGCCTAAATAATCATCAGAAAAATGACAATAAAAACAAAAATCAATCATTTTAAATCAGTGTTGAAGAAGATTCTAGATAGAAAGTGGCTGCTCTCAAGGTTGGTGGGGTGGCAAATTGCTAAAATCATGTTAGGAAGGAAATTGATCATTTTCCATCAAACTTAAAATGTCATATCATTTGGCCTAGAGATCAACCTTTTCCATAGCAATGCGTGTACTAAGAGACACATGTATCACAGCCCTCACGGTAGCACAGCCTGTGATTGTAAACACCTGGAAACAGCCTCTAGGTTATCAGTGCAGAAATGGCTGAATAAATGTTGGTACATTCATATCGTGGAATATGACAGAGCTGAAAAACACAGGGTATGATCCAGTTCATGTTAAAGGCTGAAAAAAAACACACACAGGCCCATATAAATGCTGAAAGCGTGACAAAGAATTCAGAACAATGAGTTAAAAGTTATCCCTGCAGAGGGGCAGTGAGAGGCAGCAAAGGGTTAGGAAGGAATGTTTCCTATTTTACCTGCTAAACTGATATTCAGCACATATATATTGTATAAAGAGAAAGTATGTTATTATGACATATGAAAACAGGCATTCAGCAGAGAAAATGATAAAAAATTTTATAAACAAGTAACATGTTTAGATATATGGCACCTGATATATTATTATCTAATTATATCCTGTAATGCCAATACAACAAACACTTAAAATTAAAAAATTATAAAAATAAGGGCAATGCAAATGAAAGAGCATTGGGTAAACTTATTATTTGCTATTGGGTAACTTATTTTGGGGTTGGATCACCCAATGGGTGAACAAAAATCCTTCGGGTTCCTTTTGAGAGAGTGAATCATCTTGCCCAGGAAATAAACATGCCATTTGTATCTGCATGCTTTTCAAAAATTTGTATACTTTACTAAAATAAACTAAGTAATAATAATGACAGATAAAATCATTATTAGCAGAAACACATCCAGAGTACAATGGAAGTGAGAGCCACACATTTTGGATGCACAGTAAGAAATCAGGCCAGGCAAAATCAATCCTTACAGCATGCACACACACACACACACACACACACACACACACACACACAAATCAGGCCAGGCAAAATCAATCCTTACAGCATGCATGCGCGCGCGCACACACACACACACACACACACAAACACACACACTCTCTCTCTCTCTCACACACTGCATTCACCAAAGGAGCATTTCTGAGGACCATGGGGTCTGGGGGGCAGGGTCTCTGGCCTGGTAAAAGCCACTGCTAGTAGCACAAGGCCGAGAGAGGATATGGAGGGAACACAGAGTTATAAAAGCAAGCTGAGCTCGAGGTGCAGACCTGGGTCTCCTCCTCTGCTGATCCTCCCTCCACAGTAAGATGGGCTGAGACAATCTTGGCAGATACACACACCGGGACTTGGTGGCCTCCCTGCTTGAAGAGTCCCTTCTTGTCACTCTGATTCAATAGCTTCTCTCTGAAACAACTCTATCTCTTTCCTTGCTAAATTAAGCGAATACTCCAAAAGTATAATTTTCACTCCTCAGGTTCCAATAGTACATACTACAAATTCCGTTTCCGCATCTTGGATGGGAGACCAATTAAGTTCAAGGATTAGAAATACTGTAAGATACTGGCTCGGACCAGCAATTTGTTTTAACATGATTTCTCCACAAAGGTCGTGTCTACCTCTTCTCTTACCTGTAGCTCAAAGTTGGCTTGATCCAGAAATTTTTTGTTCAGCATATCTGCATACTGATTAATTGCTCGCAGGAAGACTCTGAAAGATCAAGAGAAAATTACATAATTACACACTTACGCTCTGGCACTTCGGTAGGTTTGGCATTTCAATTAGATACAATCCCAGACTGTCTGGAATGTGAACTCTCCAAGTCTTGCGCAAAGCTGTGAGGTTTTGCCAACGAAAAGATCACGGAATTATATGCAGATGTTCTCCAAATTAATCAAGGAAATTAGCACATGCAGGATGAAAGAAACAGACCAAAATAACAGCTTCTGAAAGTAACATTTGAAAAGTATGACTTAAAACAAAATCTAATTAAAAAAAAGAAAAAAAAAGGTGCAAATTAAATCGTTTTCTCAAGTTGCCATGTCTTAATGTTCTATGATTCCACTGATCTTTGCTTAGCTGGCTTTTTCAAGCTACCCAGTTGAAAGCACTCTTCGCAAGGAGCTGTCAGGCTTGGAAGAGGTTGCTGCAATATCTCCAGGCTTGGAAGCATGGCTTACGACTTCAGTATCATTGGCCTACTTTCCACATGCTAATTTTGACCACTATTTTACTAGAGAAGAAGTTAAAAGCTTTAGTAGACATGAAAGTGATTTGACAAGAATTTTCTCAGAAATTTTAATTTCTTGATTCATTGATAAAGTATAATTTTAACACTCTATAATACCATGACTTTATATACTTTTTGTAATGAAATATACAATTTGGGCGATCACACGTGACTCTAGAATACCAACTCTCACATGCTTGTTCATTCAACAGATTTGTTTTATAACGCTTGAAAGTGCTTACAATACTAAAGCTTCGTCCACTACTTTTTAAATGGCCCTTTTCCCTTTGCACAAAGGCAGGATGTAAGAGGAATTAGTATTAGGTCACAGATGATAAACCTAATTCCACTTTCTCTATTTAGACAGCAAGGAGCAGCCAGAGTAGAAGGGAAATGTAGGTTACTTACTAGTAACTGCTGTCCTCTGACAGCATTATCTCTTCAGCCAAGCGTGCCTGGAGAAGCTCCCCACGCCCTGGCCATGTCACAGCCGCTAAAAGGCAGTGAGCCAGGGAGGAGGGAAGAAGAAATTCACCACCTGGGGTTTTAAGGAGGTCTCCATCGCCACCTGCCACCACCACCTCCCGCCCATCACCCGCTGTCACTGCAGATTCTCTCACGCTCACACTGCGTGCCGCTCTGAGAAAGGGATTCGCAGACATTATTTCATCAAGAAACCTATCGGCTAGCTCTGGGACCAAAACAGCTGTGACAAAGGGCCTGTGACAGAGTTTGCAATTTTGGTCACTAAAGAAAACTGCAGGTGGAGTTATTTGACTTCTTCCCCGGGGACATTAAAATATAACCAGAAAGGAGGAATTAGTGTTTCTAAGTGACTATTAATGGAGGGACGCAGGCATTGCTGCCTTGTCCATTAACCAAGAACACAGGCTGGGCAGCAACATTCCTCAGCCGCAGGGTTGCCAGATTTTGCAAATATAGGATGCCCAGTTAAATTTGAATAAAGCTCTTATTGCTGAATTCTGTAATTGATTAGAAAAAAAAAGCGGAATACAGGACATTTAGAGCATCCTGACAAATTAATAAAGGATCCAGGACAAAAGTTGCAAAATTCAGGACATGCTTTGCATATACGGGATGCCTGGCAACTCTAATCAGCCCCCCAGTCTTGGGATGGGGTCTGTCCTGTCACCTTCAGCCCCCAGAAGTACAAAGTATGAGCTAGAGAGATGGTCTAAGTAACCCACCTGACCCTTGGTAACTGTGTTGAGAGAGCCTCTGAGGATGTACATGCAGCAACCCCAGAGATCACAGAAAAGCCCCCAAGTGTCAGTGGAATACAACACCTTCTTGTCATTACAGGGTGGGCTGTGCCGTGATGCATAAGGACACGGGGCTTCTGACCACTAACACAATTTTTTTTCCCCTTAATTTTTTCCTTCAGGTTTAGAACTCTGCTATTTGCAGAGTACCCTAGGGTCCTTATGAGCTTTAAGAAGACACTCTTTCCAGCCCTCTATGACAATAATGACCAGTTTACTAAAACACACATTATTATTATAGGGTAATTATTGTGCCTCAAGATAGCACCCAAACAGTTGCAATATGCTGCTTCGAATTAAGCTCTGGGACAACTGCAGCTAGTTAAATAAAGACAGTTCTCAAAATGACTTAAAGAAATATGTCAGCTGGGCGCGGTGGCTCACGCCTGTAATCCCAGCACTTTGGGAGGCCAAGGTGGGTGAATCACGAGGTCAGGAGATTGAGACCATCCTGGCTAACACAGTGAAACCCCGTTTCTACTAAAAATACAAAAAATTAGCTGGGTGTGGTGGCGGGCACCTGCAGTCCCAGCTACTTGGGAGGCTGAGGCAGGAGAATGGTGCGAACCTGGGAGGCGGAGCTTGCAGTGAGCCAGGATTGCGCCACTGCACTCCAGCCTGGGTGACAGAGTGAGACTTGTCTCAAATTAAAAAAAAAAAAAAAAAACTATGTATGTCATGCTAAAATAATGTGAAGGCTGAACAAAAACCTTTTAAGAAACTGACGACTGAGAAAGTGCAGGGCTGAGAGGTAGATTCTGTAATTCAGATTCCCTATAAATTTTTTTAAATGCCGGGACAAAAACAACGTGGAAATTCAAGTAGCATGAGGAAAGCTGAAGGAAAGATCAAATAAAACCATAATCAGTGCAGTAAACAAAGATCAGATGATGCTTGGGCTCAATGCATCAAGGGCTGCGTCACTTGCACAGAAACTTCCAGGACATGCATAAATGATATCCTACAGCCCACACCTGACGGGACGGAAACACAGCTATGCCCCGGGCCAATCACCCAATGAGGCAAGGAGAAACATAACCAGAGACTAACTTTTAGGTAAGAAAATCTATTAGTCGGCCGAGTGTGGTGTGGGAGGCTGAGGCGGGCAGATCACCTGAGGTCAGGAGTTCAAGACCAGCCTGGCCAACATGGTGAAACCCCGTCTGTACTAAAAAAAAAAAATTACAGGCTGGGCATGGTGGCTCACACCTGTAATCCCAGCACTTTGGGAGGCCAAGGCAGGCGGATCACAAGGTCAGGAGATCGAAACCATCCTGGCTAACATGGTGAAACCCCGTCTCTACTAAAAAATACAAAAAAATTAGCCGGGCATGGTGGTAGGTGCCCGTAGTCCCAGCTACTCGGGAGGCTGAGGCAGGAGAATGGCATGAACCTGGGAGGTGGAGCTTGCAATGAGCCGAGATTGCACCACTGCACTCCAGCCTAGGCGACAGAGTGAGACTCCATCTCAAGAAAAAAAAAAAAAAATTAGCTGGGCCTGGTGGTGTGCACCTGTAATCCCAGCTACTCAGGAGGCTGAGGCAGGAGAATCACTGGAACCCGGGAGGCAGAGGTTGCAGTGAGCCGAGACTGCACCACTGCACTCCAGCCTGGGTGACAGAGCAAGACTCCATCTCAAAAAAAAAAAAAATCTATTAGTTACTGTAATTCATAAGTTATTTCTAATAAATGTGAAAGTAGGGAAAATAAGAAAATCATATTAGAAGCTTTTGCATACCAATCCGCTTTCTGTTACAGAGGAATATGAGAAGGATTGCAAGCTAAGCCAAGTGTTTGGATGGGAGGATGCCTTGCCAAATGAAATGAGGGGCTCCACACAGTGCAGGATCATAGTCCTTTGCCCAGCAGGCAATTCGAGGGCGTGTGGGGTATGAATGCGCCTGACTCTGCATCCTGACAACTCTATCTGTGCTGGACACTGCTGGAGTTGGGTTTAGGTAAGAGAAGCCCTCCAGATTGTGAGTAAAGCATAGGTATCTCGAAGGCAGTGGCAACACCTGCTTGTTCACCTAAGTGTCCTCAGTGCCAAGTCAGCATTTGGTACACAGTATATGCTCACTAGGTAACTGACACAGGAATGAATGAATAAGTGGATGGAAGAGTAAGTGAATGAATGAATGGATGAAAGAGCTGGCTCAGAAGGTCAGGCTCTGGCCCAAATGAGAGGCCTCAGGGAGGCTAGAGTATTTGGTTGCCCCTGGCTCTCCCTGAGTCCTTGCAGAAAACCGTGTAGGTTTTCTGCGGTGGGATTCAGCTCTCTTCAGGTTCTTCTTATGCAAACTTCTCATTAGGGATTCCACCAGAAATGCCAGAAACTCAGGGGGAAGGGATCAACCACCTTGTGAACCACACAAATTATGTCTTATTCTGAGCCAGGAGAATTAATTAATTAATTTCTAAAAAACAATAACAAATGCTGTGAGAATTAAATGCTTTCAGGAATGCTGTCCTAAAAATGGTCAAAATCTAAGGAAGGATTATTTGTAATCTAAAATTCAGGAGATAAAACCAAACATACAAATAAATAATCCAGAAAGAATCACAGGCAAATTATGTCAACCTAAAAAGATTCAAAAAGCCGTAAGGTCTAGAAGCCTGTGAATTTTATTTTTAATGGCTCAATGGAGAGAAATGTTATCTCTTCTTGGTAATTGATTCCTGTCTCCAGAAAGTCAGAAGCATCATTTTTATCAAACTTGTCATAACATTATCCACTTAAAAAAATGTGAGGTCAATAAGAAAGGGAGATGGGTTCACTCCCAAGCCAATGCAATTAAAGCAACAACAAACCAGTAAGCTTTCCTATCCTGGACATTTAACCCCATTAGCAACAAAAACTACTAATTCTTGACAGTGTCAAATATGAGTTTAATTGTAGCCTACACATACACACATTTGTACAATTAAAGTCTTAATTCAAGTATGTCTATCTATCTATCAATGGCTTCATGTCCATTTAAACGTGGAGCTACCTGACCTTCGGAACGTTGTTCAACACCACCAAGAAATGAGAAGTATGTGAGGGAACAGACATGTTAATTCATTTGATTTAATCATTCCACAATGAATGCATGTATCACAACATCGACTGCATACCATACACATACACAATTATTATTTGTCAATTTACAATAGAATTTTAAAAATGTTAAAACAAAAAAAATGTTGCTCAAGTTTTCGAGACCCTCATCTTCTCCACTGACAAATGAAAGCACTCAACCCCAGTGCCTCTAAGCTCCCTGGAACTTTGAACCTACAGGTTTTGTTTTTTTATTTTTGAGATTAAAGGTAAGGAAGAGGCATCACCACATGATACAAAGTTATCTGAACACTGATATGATCTCCACTGACACCTTACAAAATGTAAAGTCGCATTTGGTAAAAGAGAAAGACAAGCCCTGTGAATTCTGCAGTTCTGCGCGTCTTTGGGAGACAGGCTGGTGTGGCCGGCGAGGCTCTGCCTGCAGGAGGCACCTGCCAAGGTCCAAGCCTCTCTGCAGCATGAAGGTTCTGGAGGAGGTCCCGCCAGCCTTGCTTTTGTTCTTGAACAAAAAGGGCGGGTGGATGGATGCAGTGCGTGGGCTCCAGAGGGAGATCATCCCCCAAAGCTGCCTATTTGGAAAGCCATGTGCCAGTAACAAAAGTAGCATAGTCCTAAATAATTATATGTTAATTGAGCTGAGGGGAACTTAGCGAGTGAAAAGTAATCAGGAACCAATTTAACTATTCCAGGCTCCTGGCACAATTATAGGCCCTTGCTTATGACAGACCCTCAGGCCCTTCTAGCACCCCTGTTACCCAGTGTTTGCTGCCAATAAAACAGAAAGATGAGGAGCCTCATTACTACAGAGGGAGAATGTGGAGAAAGGCAGGGAACTTCCAGGGGCTTGCACAGCCCCATTTCTCACATTGTGAAGCTGTGGGGGTATTTAAATTCCTTCCCTAAACTTACTTTAAGTTACATAATTAGCTTGTACACTTCAATATGAGGGCATTTAAATCCCTTGGGCATGAAGACAGGCTGCTTTGGGGGTGGAGACGATGTATCTTTTAACACAATGTTTTACCCAAAATGGGTGGGAAAAAAGGAAACAAATTAAAAGTGACACATTCCTCCATCCCTGCAGAAAAATGAGTCTAGCAACACATTCCTCCATCCCTGCAGAAAAATGAGTCTAGCAACAGTAGCTGGGAATTTGCCTTCAAATGATTTCTGCATAATTCAGGGATGCTGGGAAGAGGCAAGTTGAGGTGAAGTGATAATAGAGATGCAGAGAATGTCACTTCAGTTCCATGGGAAGGAGAGATAATGAATGCTTCATCTCAGCCGCTCCGTCTCCTGGCACCTCCCCACACTTGGCAGGGTGGCTCCTTCATCCAGGTGGTGACTCACATGGCCAGAAACTTCCTACCTTGGGACCTTGACTGGGAAACAAAAACCATATATGTGGAAAGAAGTGACTTCTAAGAACGTCCCCCAGTATCACAAGGGCAAAGTAATGCAAAGCTGGGGGACTGGGTGGGATCTGCCTCGTGTCTTTGGGATTTGGGAAACGGTGGGAAGACCAATGTCACTAGAAAGTTTTCGGAATGAGGTGAGAGAGATCAACTGGGCCAGACCGTGAGAGACGGGGATGTGGGGCTCTGGAGTCTGCATATTTGCTTGTGGGCAACAGGGGTGGAGGGGGTGCCTGAGGATTTTAAAGCGAGGAAGGGACCTCTGGGGTCAGGAGCAGGGAAGCCAAAAGATTTCATTGCTATTATTTCCTGTCTGCACTACAGCGAGTTACTTTTTTCCAAGATTCCCTTTCTTTTCTTTTTCAAATCAATAAAAGCTTAAGCCTCCATCAAACTCTTAACTAAAACCTAAAATGCCCCAGACCTTTCTTCTGGTCAGCCCTGCTGGACACAGGCTTGGGCTGTGATGCCAACAAGAATACAGAGGATTCCCAGGGTGCGTCTGCTCTAGCCTGAGGCCGTGTCATCCCCACTTGGGTCTCCATGAGCCGAGATTACTGGGCCCTTGTCTACCAGTCTGATGCCTAATAAACAGAGTGACGTGCTGGATGCATACCATCCCAGTTTCCACCAAAACAGCATTCCTGGCCAAGGAATTGTCGTGGGCCAAAGGTAAGAAATCCTGAAAGTAGGCAGTTCCCAGCCACCGGTTCCTCCATCCTCTCCCACACGACCACCTCTAGTTTCTGCTGCTTTGCTGCTAGGCATTTGGTGAGCACCCCCTAAGTTCCAGACACTGTCATTGCTTTCACACAGATCATGTTATTTCATGCTCACAAGTCTTGCGGGGTATGAATCACACAATATTTTACAAATGAGGAAATGGAGGCTTTGGGATGCATATGCCACATCGTGTATACCACCCATTTATCTGTTGATGGACACTTGAGTACTTCTACCTTTTCGCAACTGTGAAAAATGTTGCTATGAACATCAGTGTACAGATCTCTCTTCAAGTCCTTATGTTCAATTATTTTGGATAAATATTGAGAAATAAAAATAAAATCCTAAGTTTCCCAATGGACTGAACAGACTCCTTCTTGGCCAAAGGGACCCCAGAGAAGACTTAAAAACTGAATCCGGGCCGGGCGCCGTGGCTCACGCCTGTAATCCCAGCACTTTGGGAGGCCAAGGTGGGTGGATCACCAGAGGCCAGGAGTTCAAGACCAATCTGGCCAACATGGTGAAACCCCATCTCTACTAAAAATACAAAAATTACCCGGGCATGGTGGCAGGCGTCTGTAATCCCAACTACTCGGGAGGCTGAAGCAGGAGAATCGCTTGAACCTGGGAGGCAGAAGTTGCAGAGAGCTGGATCGCGCCGCTGCACTCCAGCCTGGGTAACAAGAGCAAGACTCTGTCTAAAAACAACAACAAAAAAAAACAAAAACAACAACAACAACAAAAACTGAGTCAGCCCATGACCATGAAGAGATGGGAGGTTGGACCCGCTTCAGTATACCCTTTCCTTAATAGCCTTTAACCAGAATTCTCTCCTAAGGAGGAAGCAGAAACTGGCTCTAGAAAACAAGAAGCAGACAACTCATTCCTATATCACCTTTAGCCACTTGTCTGAGCCATAAGTGGACTCCCCCTCCCTCTTTGCAGTTTCCACGTGACAGCTTGCCAGTTTGACACTGCATGCCCTCCTGCTGAGAGGCTACCAACTGCAGGGTGGCTCTGGCCAGTCGAAGGAGGATGTGCAGTGAGGGTTTTCGTGGCCTCTGTTTGAACTTTTGACATCAGAGGGCCAAAACCTCCACCCTTGGGTCATCCTAATGCTGGTATTTTTTTGAACACGGGACCCACGAAGAGGCATGGCTCAATCACACATGTGTGTGTTTCTCCTTCATTAATATTCATGACTTCTTCTATAGCTTATTGATTATGTATACTTAGCCAACCCACTCAGCATAAATTCCTGTCTCATTCCTCCTCCCTGGAAGTGCTTGCTCTTGGCAGAAGCTGGAGGCTACGCTTCCTGGTCTGCGGAATGGCTGGCCTGCAGGCTGCAACCCTTTATGAGAAATAAAGCTCTGCTTTCCAAATTTATGTACCTTATGATTCTTCAGTTGATGATACCCAGAAGTGGAATTGCCAGATCATCTGGTAATTCTATTTTAAAGTTTTAGAGGAACCATCCTACTATTTTCCATAGTGGCTGTGCCATTTTACATTCCCAGCAACAGTACACAAGGGTTCCAATTTCTCCACACCCTCATCAACACTTGTTATTTCCCTGTTTTTTTTTTTTTCTGATGTAGCCATCCTAATCGGTGTGAGGTGGTTTAAATAAAGTTTTATTAGAACACAGCAAAACTCTTTTAGTAGGGATTAGCCAGCCATTTCCCCACTACACTAGCAGTGCTGAGTAGGTGTGCCTGTGTTGGTTCTTTAAAGAAAATTTTGCCAAGGCCTGAAAAGTTGTGATTCAATTCTGATATGTCCTCTCTACAAATTTTGAAGAGTTCTTCATCTACTTTCTTTTGGTGGGGAGTCGGAGAGTTCACACCTGTTTCTAGGTCATCAGAAAATAAAATGTGTTGATTGAAAAGACCTTAAAATGCTCCCTCCAAAGCTTGGAGCCGATTAGCCACTAGGAGCCCCAACGCGGAGTTAGCAAGTGTTAGGATAAACCAGTCTGGAAATCAAGCTTAGAGACAATTAGCCACTAAGAGCCCTAACGTGGAGTTAGCAAGTGTTGGGATAAACCAGTCTGGAAATCAAGGTAGGCAGGTACCCTCAGCTTCACCTCCAGAGCACCAAGCCTGTCATCACTAACAGTCTAATTTCAGGATTGTGTTTTCAATATCATAAGGCCACCCACTCTCCCTCTACTCTCCACTACTTGGTCCTTCTTATTCGCCTCTACCTCCTCCCAATCCTGCCTCGTCCACCTATTTCAACTTCACAAAATAAATGTTGACGGATTTAGCAGCAGCTTGGGTAATGAAAAAACCATCTCCAAGACAAACACATCAGAAATGTCCAGCAGCGAACATCAGGAAGTGAGAAGTCTCTACTGCTGGGGGAGGCCGCGAGAGAGGGCAAAGCCTGACTGTAAGACTCCATCCCGGCAAATAAAGAAGGGTCTTGGGTCGCCCCAGAGTCCCCGCCCCAGCACCCCAGTGTCTGCTCGCCCCAGCACCCCAGTGTCTGCTCACCCCAGAGACCTCTGCCCCAGCACCCCAGTGTCCGTTCACCCCAGGGATCCCCACCACAGCACCCCAGAGACCCTGCCCTAGCACCCCAGTGTCTGCTCACCCCAGAGACCTCCGCCTCAGCACCCCAGTGTCCATCCCTCAGGCCTCCTCCTTCCTCTCCCAGGCTCCTCCTGTTGTCCTATGATCACTAATTGGGTGAGTGAAGGACAGCCATGGATGGGCAGGGGAAGCAGGGGAGGTCAGGGTGACCGTGCCCCACCCCTCGGGCACAGGACAGGTTGTCCTGGATGCTCTGCTTGCCGGGGTGTAGGAATGTGTGTCATCAGCTGCCACTGGAGTCTTTTCCTAGTTCCATATACATGGGGGATGGGAACAGGGAGTTGAGAGTTTCTGCTTGGGGTGAACAAACATTCTGGAAATCAACAGTAGTGATAACTGAGCAACACTGTGGATGTAATTATGCCATTGAATGATACACTTATAAACGGTTAAATGGCAAACTTTGTAATGTATGTATTTTTTCTTTTCTATTGTGGTTACATATATATAATATTTATTTATATATATAAAATCACAATAAAAAAGAAAAAACACAAGAAGGAAAGAGGGCATGTTTCAGAAACTGCAGGCATGGGACTCATAATTTTTCTGTTCATATCTGTACCATTGGTGTGACTCAGTTTCATGATTAAAAAATAAATCAAAACAACCCGGGAATAAGAATCTCTAACCTTCACTTCCCAGAGAACCAGATCTCTCTGGAAGTAGGTGGGGCATTAATAAACAAGCATAAACAAACACACACCCAGACGCCCAATCACGACAACCAGAGACCTCGCCTCCCTGCCATCCCTGCCATCCCTCTCGTCCCTGCCGTCCCTCGCATCCCTGCCGTCCCTGGCGTCCCTGCCGTCCTTGCTGTCCCTGGCGTCCCTGCCATCCCTGGCAAGCCTCTGATCACCAAACACCACCCAGGACAGAGGTCCCTGCAGGCAATGGCCCCTGGTCTACAACAATACAGTGAGGGTCCATCTGTGCAGAATCTTTATTCCCCACAGCATCCAGCAACGCATCCTTACAAAAACAGTGTAAATGAATCCTAGTCAGCCCAGAAAAAAAGGAAGTAGTCAGAGGCCTTGAGCAAACCATACGGTTCAAGGCAGAAATGCTTAAGAGAAAATAGGATCCTTACAAAAGAGAATGCTGCTTTCAAGGTATTTCACGCTCAGCATACACCAGTGATGCTTAAAATTTATCCGGGTTCATTTTCAAGACCTGCTATGGACACTGCAATCATTTAGCATGCTCATGTCATTTGCTGAAGGCTCATTTGCCATAGGCTGAAAACTGAGACCGATTTTTTTTTTTTTTTTTTTTTTTGCCCATTTGTAGGAGCCTAGGTGCTTGCTACCTGGCAGGTGGTGACGTTGTCCACATTTTCCCATTCTCACTGGTGCTTGGCAACTTCTACTCACTACGCATTTAGTTTCACTCAAGCCAGGCCTGGTGGGTCTCTCTATGTGGGGTGTGCCCTTGGAGAAGAGCTACAGGAAACACACAAAGAAATGAAGAACTAGAAAGAGCAGGAGCCTCAAGGTCATAAGTGATCTATAAGTGACAGGTCATATTGATTCATGTCCTGTCACTTATAGGCTGTGCAACCTTCCTCAAGTTAATAACAGCTCTGAACTCATTTTCCTTATTGAGGTCTTGAGAAGAAGGAGATTAGAAGCCTCAGTGTCTATAGAGAGGCTGGGTCCTACCAGCTGTTCAATAATTGGTAGCTACTGTTGAAAGCATGGTAAAGATACAAGAGATGGCGGCTTCTGTCATTTTCTTTGCTATGTGTTTCCAAAGAGGTCTCCGAAGGATCTTCTCAGCTTGCAGTGGGCAAAGTTTAGTGGTGAAACTTTTTTACGGAGAAAGTTTCAGTGGTGTGAATAGAAGATCCAACCAGCCACAACATTCCCTCAAGCCAAAGCCTAACTGAGAGCAAGGCCCTAAACTCTGTTCAATTCTGGGAAGGCTGAGAGAGGTGAGGAAGCTGCAGGGGAAAAGTTTGAAGCTACCAGAGGTTGATT
This sequence comes from Homo sapiens, assembly GCF_000001405.40. Classification (NCBI taxonomy): domain Eukaryota; kingdom Metazoa; phylum Chordata; class Mammalia; order Primates; family Hominidae; genus Homo; species Homo sapiens. The sequence continues at coordinate 127,327,418 of NC_000010.11, read as the reverse complement.
CTTAAGGAAAGAAGCCATCTCCATAACATAAAAGTGCAAGGTGAACAGAAAGTGCTGATGGAGAAGCTGCAGCAAGTTCTCCAGAAGACCTAGGATAGACCATTGATGAGGGTGGCTACACTAAAAAGCAGACTTTCAATGTAAATGAAACCACCTTATATTGGAATATGTCATCTAGGACTTTCATATTTAGGGAGAAGAAGTCAATTCCTGGCTTCAAAACTTCAAAGGACAGGCTGACTCTATAGCCGGGGGCTAAGGCAGCTGGCGACTTTAAGTTGAAGCCAATGCTTATTTGTTATTCTGAACATCCTAGCGCCCTTAAGAATTATGCTAAATCTACTCTGCATATGCTCTATAAATGCAAGAAGAGAGCCTGGATGACAGCACATCTGTTTGGAGCATGGTTTACTGAATGTTTTAAGCCCACTGTTAAGACCTGATACTCAGAAACAAGATGCCTTTCAAAAATATTACTGCTCATTGACAATGCACCTGGTCAACCCAGAGCTCTGATGGAGATGTACAAGGAGGTGAATGTTGTTTTCATGCCTGCTAACACAACATCCATTCCACAGTCCATTAATCACGAGCAATTTTGACTTTCAAGTCTTATTATTTAAGAAATATATTTTATAAGGCTATAGCTGCCAGAGATAGTGATTTCTCTAATGGATCTGACCAAAGTAAATTGAAAACTTTCTGGAAAAAATTCAGCATTCTAAAAGCCATTTAGAAGAGTCATGATTCATGGGAGGAGGTCAAAATATCAACATTAACTGGAGTTTGGAAGAAGTGGATTCTGATCTTCATGGTTGACTTTGACCGGTTCAAGACTTCAGAGGAAGAAGTAAATTCAGATGTAGTGGAAATAGCAGAGAACTAGAATTAGAAGTGGACTCTGAAGATGTGACTGAATTGCTGCAATCTCATGATACAACTTGGATGGATAAGGAGTTCCCACTCATGCTTGTGAGCAAAGAAAGTGGTTTCTTGAGATGAATCTACTCCTGGTGAAGATTCTGATAACATTGTTGAAATGACAAAGGATTTAGAATATTACATAAAGTTAGTTGCCAAAGCAGTTGGCCGAGTTTGAGAAGATTGACTCCCATGTGAAAAGAAGTTTTAGTGTGTGTAAAATGCTACCAAACAGCATCACAGGCTACAGAGAAATCTTGAGTGAAAGGAAGCATCAAATGATGTGGCAAATTTCACTGTTGCCTTATTTTAAAAAACTGTCATAGCCACCTCAGCCCTCAGCAACCACCATCCTGATCAGTCAGCAGCCATCAACATTGACGCAAGACTCTCTATCAGCAGAAAGATTTAGATTTGCTGAAGCCTCAGATAATTGTTAGCATTGTTTAACAATAAAGTATTTCTATTAAGGTATATACACTGTTTTTTTAAGACATACTTTTCACACTTAATAAAATACTTTATAGTGTAAACATAACATATATGCACTGGGAAACCAAAAAATCTGTGTGACTTGCTTTATTGCAAACTTCACTTTTTCGTGGTGGTCTGGTAGGGAACCCACAATATCTTGAATATATAGCTTTGACTGAACATTCAAAGAGTTAAGATATAATCACCTACCCTAAGCCTAAGAACAGTTTTCACTACTTTGTCCTCGTAAACGAATTACTCATTTCCCATTTTGTAGTTAAAATCTGCTGCCTTTTCATATCAAGACCATCTGGTCTTTATTCTTTCCTGGACATACAGGAGTTCGGCTATCAAGAAACCCTGAGCGTCCTCCTTAACAAAAGCCCAGGCTTGAGATTTGGAAGGCTGGATTCAAGCTTTGGTTGGTGTTCAGAAGCAGGTTAATATGGTGGTTAAAGCAGGGACTCCAGGAATAAACACCCAGAGATGAAATCCAGGCTGTACCACTGACCAGTTGGCTGTGTAAACACTGAGCAGATTTCCTTAGATTCTGCATCTGTGAAATGGGTGTCAAGAGCACATCAGCCTCCTAGGTGGTAACCATTAAATAAGCTCACATTGCATAGAGTGCCCAGAACAGTTCCTGACACACAGTTAGCAAAACGAAAGACTTAGGAAGTCTGCAAATAACTCTCAAGTACTCAAACAGCGAGTGCCAGCTTAAAGGATGTGCTACAAGCTTGTCAGTTGCTTGCCAATCTTTAATCAGAAAACCCCATTCCATGAGAGTGACCTGGGTGGGTGCTTCGGCTATTCTTATCTTGATCAAAAGCAGAAACCACAGAATAATAATAGTTAGAAATTATTTTCTGTTGTGAGCTTCGTGTTTTCTTAATGAGTGTAATGATTAAGAGAAATGGGTTCTCCTTGTTGAATTCCACACCATGCAAGGTATGTGGATGAGCTAAAATGTTTCAGGGACTCTCCCGGGCTGTGCGTGGATTGGATGTGTGTGTGTAGGAAGCCCAGTGTTGAAGGACAGTGCCCAACGCTGGACCCTGTGTTCTAGTGGCAAGAAGCTGTGGGTCTGGAGGATGCTGGTTCCCTAAGATGACTATCCATGCAAATTGAATCTTGCCTCCAGAATACTTTCTCATTTGCTTCTGATGAATCATTTATCAAGGCTCAGGCAGAGCACCTCAAATGACAGGGAAGGGGGTTTTATGAAGCCTAAGAACAGACAGTATGCACTGATTGTGCAAAACTATTTTTCATAAATGTCTGTGTGTGTGGCTGACTTTGATCTAAGACTTTCTTTGATTATAACCTGGTAGCAAAGTGGTGAGATAACAGTTAACTTACACCCAAGTCTAGTGATGACCAACTCACAGTATCTTTTAAAAAAAAAACCGAAATATTGCCTTTGCTCAGCTCCCAACGGTGGGGCTCTCCCCCAAGAGAGGCGTGACTGGGTGCTGGATGAGACCTCAGCCGCCACATCTGCAAAATGGGTTTAGAAAGAAAGCTGCCCTGAGATGACATGTACATGGGTCCCCAGTCCTGCCCAGAAGCCCCAGTGAGAGCCAAAGGGGTTTGGAGACCCAGAGGCTGTCTTCTCCATCTGCCCTGCAAGAAATCTACTTTCCAGGCATTTCTGATTTCTATTATTGACAGAATTCTTTAACGAATGCCTGACTAATGGCAAGCCTGAGATGACAGGCAGGTGACGGTTAAGGCCACTTCATGTTTCCCAGGAGACGTGGCTGGTGCTGATTGTCAACTGAATTTGAGACGGGTGATCTTTGCTCAGCCCATCTCTTGCTGTTTGACACTTGAGGTCCAGGGTGGAAGACATCAGAAGCGGATTCTCCCCCACCGTGGGCTCCTGCGCCAGCATCTACCTCACACTTCTTCTCCATGGCCTTGAGAGTATCTTTGTTTCCTGCTGTTCCTTCATCCTGGGACCACTCACAGCTGAGCTGGCAGAGCCACCGCTCCCCCTCCTCAAGAACCAAGAACCAGCTCTGTATGCAGCATCCTGCTCCACTGCCTGCTCTCCCAGGAGGATGAAGCAGTGCAGGGCCTTACTCCACAGGAGGCTTTGGCAACCACACAGCAGTGAGGGAAGCACTGAACACCAGCTCAGATGCCAAATGCAGCACAGGGGAGGAGCAGGCTTCCTGTTCTTCCCATGAAGGAGAAGGGGGCTCGCATTGATCAAGCAGCTCTAACATGCTACCTGCTGAGCCAGGAGCTCAGAAATGCCCTCTCAATTACTCTCCCCAATTTGCTGGTGGCAACAAAGAATCCATGAGGTTCACCACTTGCCCAGGTTACTCAGCTCGTAGGTGGCAGAACTCAAAGAAGCAGGCATGTGACTGCCTGTCCTTCTGTGCACCCCACGGATCAGTGGCCATGTGGTCTGGGGAAGCGGGATGCTGAAACCCAGACTCATCACCCACAGAGGGAAGACCCCACAGATCTACTCGAGTGCCTGGTGTTACACAAAAGTACCCTTTGTGGATAACGACCTTTGGCTTTTAGAAGATACATCAGAGAAACTGCAATTTAAGTGGCCCGCCTTTGCCTCAGCACAATTGGCTGAAAGGAACCACAAGCACTTTGCTCAGCCACCAAAAATATACACAGGAGAGACGTCCCCACCGGACAGGACATATCTGAGAGGCTGGAGGGAGGCATGGTGCAAGACACACACCAGCACCACCCTTAGGCAAATCAGTAAACTCACCAGGCAGGGCGGCCACGGGGAAGATAATGTCTCCTGTGACTCTGGTCTGATGTTTGCGCCTTACCCCTCATTTTTATGTGGAAGTCCTCACCCACGAGGTCCTCACCCAGCAGAGAGGGAAGCGATGAACACCAGCTCGGATGCCAGATGCACCACAGGGGAGGGGCAGGCTTCCCATTCTTCCCATGATGGAGAAGGGAGCTCGCATTGATCGAGCATTGATCAATCATCCAGAACTTGTGAAACAGACTGGGGAGCACAAGGGGAAGCACACGCTATCCTCTACAGCATGCTTTCTACACAGTATGTTCTCAGGTTACATCAGAGTGATTGATTATTGATTATTGATTGCAGTCTGTGAATAAGATGTGCCCATTCTTAACAGTGCACTTTCCATTCTTGACAGTCTAGTCAAGGGATCAGTACACTTCTTCTGTAAATGATCAGACAGTAAAGAAGTCAGGCCTTGCAGGCCATATGGTCTCTTCTGCATTCACTAATAGACTCTGCTATTATAACAGCGCAAAAGCAGCCACTGACAATACAAAAAGTGAATGGGTATGACTATGTGCCAATAAAACTTTATGTATAGACAGCAAAATTTAAATTCATATAATTTTCATCTGTTATAAAATAGTATTCTTGCCTTTTTTCAATCCTTTAAAAACATAAAATCTATTCCTAGCTTGTGGGACACACACATGCATACACACTACAGATGGAGGGCTGGATTGGGTCATCAGTTACAGCTTGTCAACCCCTGGTTTAGAAAATTATGTGTGTGCCAGCTGGGTGCAGTGGCTCATTCCTGTAATCCAGCACTTTGGGAGGCTGAGATGGGTGGTTCACTTGAGGTCAGGAGTTTGAGATCAGCCTGGCTAACATGGGGAAACCCCATCACTACTAAAAATACAAAAATTATCCAGGCATGGTGGCACATGCTTGTAATCCCAGCTACTTAGGAGGCTAAGGCGGGAGGATCACTTGAACCCTGGAAACAGAGGTTGCAGTGAGCCGAGATCACACCACTGCACTCTAGCCTGGGCAGCAGAGTAAGACTCTGTCTCCAGGAAAAAAAAAAAAAAAAGGGAAATTATAAAATTATGTGTGTGCCAATCTGCCATGGCCTATCATTCTTGCTCATTATTCATTCTCTTTTTTTTTCTTTTTCTGAGACAGAGTCTCGCTCTGTCTCCCATACTAGAGTGCAGTGGCATGATCTCGGCTCACTGCAACTTCCACCTCCTGAGTTCAAGTGATCCTCGTGCCTCAGCCTCCCAAGTAACTGGGATTACAAGTGTGTGCCACCACATCTGGCTGATTTTTGTATTTTTTGTAGGGACAGGGTTTCACCATGTTGACCAGGATGGTCTTGTACCCCTGACCTCAGGTGATTGGCCCGCCTTGGCCTCCCAAAGTGCTGGGATTACAGGTGTGAGCCACTGCGCCCAGCCTCTTGCTCATTCACTCTTTAAGGAGAAGGAGCATCCAGGTCATGTCTGGAACTGACCTGGTCTAGAAAGGGTGACAAAGTAAATTTAGCAGGGGCGGCGGGGGGAGGGGTTTGGCTGAAGGGAAGGACGCTGCAGAGGTAACTGGGTGTCTACCTCATGCAGAAGGTTGGGGAGCCATCCACAGCCATGGGGAGTGGGTTCAGAGCACCTCCTTGGGGATAGGAGGGACCTGTGCTCAGCCTTGGGGACCCAGGTGAAAGTGGGGTCTGGGATCAGGTGAAGGTCAAGAGTTGAAGGTACATTTTGTACTCAATCTCAGTCCACTTATAAAGAAATCCTTGGAAATCAATGAGAGAGCACTGAAGAGAGATTTTAGAATAAGAACCTAAAAAAGAAGGCTGAGAAAAGAGCCTTGGAGAATGCCAGTATTTCTTCCGGGCAGAAGAAAAAAAAAATGAGCTAGAGAGAGAGCGAGAGAAGGGAGGATAGAGGAAGGAAAGAAGGGAGGAAGGGAGGGAAGAGAGGAGAGGGGAGGGGAGGATAGGGCCGAGGGGAGGAGAGGGGAGGAGAGAGAGGGGGAGGACGGGGAGGGGAGGGGAGGAGAGGAGAGGGAGAGAGATAGAGCGAGAGGGAGAGAAGGAATGAGACATGCCAGAGGGAAACAGCGCAAGACGCGGGGTCATGGAAGCTACTGGACAAGAGCACTTAACAGCAAGGGCGCCATCAACAGTGTCTGAGACTGGGGAGGGCGGTAATGTGGGCTTATTGATGAGGACACCATTGATAACTGCAGTAGAACAGATTTCATTAGCCTCATGGGGAGATGAAGAGTGAGTGAAGGCTGGGGACCTAGGGGACCACTCTGTGTGGTCTGGCTGTGAAGGACAAAACAGAGGTGTCCACAGTGAGGGTGAGGGTGAGGTCAAGGGAGCTTCCCTGCAGTAGAAGAATCTGGAGGTGAAGGGACAATCGACAAGGAAGGCTCCAGAGGACGTAGACAGATGACTCGGAGCCCCAGATCCAGGGTTTCCTGGGGGCAAATCCATTCTACACCTGCCACACCTAGTGCTTAATAAATATTTCTAGAACAAGCAAGTGCCTAAGTGAATGGCATCGTGGCCAGATTTTAAACTGAGGATCTGCCACCTTACTACCATTGTTATTCTTGTCTCTGTCTCTTCTCTCCCCATGTCTAGTTTCAGGCTCGCCACTGTCCCTGGGACACCTCTGCTCACTCCATCCGCCTTGAGCCCATTCCTCACACTGCTGTTGGGTTTACAGCCCCCACCTGCCTTCCCCAGCTCTGACCTCTTTCCGGGCTCTCCATCCTGGTGCACGGTGTCTGATTGGATGCTATAAAACCTGACAGGTTCCCAGCCACGTGGCCGCGCTCAAGGGAGCCCTGGGCATCTCATTCTACTTACGCAAGGACTTACGCAACTGCTCCTTGGCTGCATTGGCCCCTGCGTGTTGGCGGCCCCTGCCTACCCAGCCAGCCACTGGAAAGACTTGAAATAGATTTTTAAACCAGCTCCACATCTGCCTCTGCTTTTCCTGCCAGATTCCTTTTCTTTTTTTTTAATGACCCCTTTATTTCTTCCATGCTCTTGTCTTAATCATAAAGAGGTGAGTCAAAGGTCAGTGTCTGCAAGGCCAGGCCCCAGAAGCTTCTGCTCTTAGACGGCTACTGGGACTGAGAGGAAGAAAAGGAAAAAACCTAATGAGTTATTGTGGGCACCGATGAGTGCACAAGGGCTCTGGCTTCTAACTTGTTGACTGCTCTGCTACGACAGCCCACGAGGCAGATTCCATGGCCTATATAATATGATGATCATGGTTCCTCCACCTCATGGGTTGCTTTAAGATGAAATGCGATCCCAGACAAGTGGACCACTGGACAAAGGCTAGCCAGCGTCTTGCCCTCGCCCTCTGCCCATCACTGGCAAGCAACTCCTAGGTCATGCCAGAAGCACGCATGGAGCAAAGACCAAAGTCTGTCTGTAGCAGAGCTCAGGTTAAACACAATTAGTAAGGCAGAGCCGAGCAGACACGTGGCCACATGATGCTCTGCTTTCAGACAGGGCACGGGTGGCCCAAAAGCCACTTTCACACTTGACTGTGAATATGGGCTTTCCATGGCCCACAGGGGATGGAATTCAGGTTTTCCTTGTTCCGTCTAGTAAATCGTATTCACCAATATAACAGTTCCACTTTCCATGTAACTCCACATTTTACCACCCGAATATGGCCACAGTGATGGTGTGCATTGACTTTGCTATTAACAGGAGGCAACTGAGTGATCATGGGCTAATGATCGTCTACCTTCTTAATGCTAAGTGATTTATTACCCATAAACACATGCGGGAAGTGCTCTGGGAAGCTCCCGCCCGCCGAACACATGCAAGTTAAGCTTCTTAATTGAAAATATAATCTGTATTGCAGAGATTAAAATATATTGGATTCATTTTGGCTCAATTCTTCCCCATTGTCCCACATACATTTTCTTTATGCTACACAATCCAATTAGTTCCCCTGCTACGGAAATTATTTCAACACAATAAATCAATTTTATAGTGAAGCTATGACTGAATATCCTATTTAAAAGAAAAGCAAATCAGGGATGGAAACAGTTTTCTTACTGATGTGATCAGTATTTGCACCACGCGCCTTTGGTGATCTCTCTTGGTTTTATCCTTTCTGATTTCTTCGTTTTCTTTTCTTCTCCTTTGTTGTCCTTGGGGAAGGCAATCAGTTTTGTGTGGTAGAGAGGAGGCAAGGAGGCAGATCCCTGCCATTAGGGTGTCAGAGCAAGTCACAGAGGGGACCCTTTGGCAAGGCTGGCTTCATCATTCCAGTCTCTGGTCAAGGGACAGCCCCAGCACCCACACTCCAAAGCCTTTCCCAGACCTCCCTGCCCACAGCAATGCAGCCTTTCAGGCCCCTCTGGCCCCTTGTTAAACTGTATCTATTTCTATTCATAACACTCATAGTCTCTGACATTGCAGGGCCCAGTTATAGGTTTGCTGGATTACTATCTGAGCCCCTGCCTAAGTAGAAGGCAAACTCCACGAAGGCAGAGGCTTGGTCAGGCTTATTCAGCACGACATCCCCAGCATTTAAAATAGTCCTGGCGCAAAAGTCCACACATAATCAAAACACCTTACACAATGAGACCACACTGCCATGCCACACCCAAAGCATTCGTGAGCTTCACTCTCACTGCAGGAGGCTCAGGGAGGGAAAGCAGTCATCAGAGTGGCCTTGAGGCCCGGACACATGCTTGTAGGATGAACCCAGTGCTGGGCCCCCATCCTTGCACATGCTGCTGCCTCTCCCCAGGAGGCTACTGCCTCCTGCACACATGGTTAAGTCCTTCCAATGTCACAGCTCCCAGCCATCCCAGCCCTACTCGTCTCCTCACACACTCTTAGAGAACCGTGTGCCTCTCCTTCAGTGTGCTGGGATCACACCTGTCATCTCATTTGGCTGCTCAAGCAATGTCCAGTGTGCCTCCTCTCCACCCCCAACTTCTCAGCTCCCAGAAAACAGGCTCCACACCTGTGCTGGCTCACACAGTTCCCGTCTTCTAGCACTCTGCCCAGCCCTTAGCAGGCACTCAATGCACACCGAATAGGGAAAGAATGAACAAATTTTGCAACGAAAATAATCCAGAAGTATATGTATCATTTTCACTTTGAATATCACTGAACTTAGCAAATCAATATCTAGTTGTGTCCTTATGTACATTTCTACTTAAAGGTGAGAAAAAAGAAGGGAAATAAGTCCTGAGCAAGGACCATGCCCCAGACAGGCTGCCAGCTGCATTAAAGATGCCACCCACCTTCAGTAGAATGGCCTGATGACTCCCCTAAGGCCACTATCTTCTTTAACCTTCAACAGAGTGAAGTCAGAGCCTCTGGGTACAAACTGCACTGTTGTCAATGAATGCGAACCAAACACCTTGAGGAGTCAAAGTAAGAGCTCAGGTATCTTCCAAGAACACCAAGAACAGGCAAGGCACTGCTAGCAGCATGAGAGTGGCACACACAGAACATGCAGGCACACCGGCAAGTTTCAAAAACTTCCTGTTTCAAAGCTGGCCAAGTTCATTATCTCAACTAACCCAACTATATGAGGCGGCTCCCGGACATGTATTAAGTTGCTATTCAAGAGGGTGCAGCACAAGGTGGTTTTGGTGAATTGCCTGCTCAGTATTATCAATGGGTGAATGTGCACTCGAATCCAGAGCTCCTGACTCCGGACACTGTGTCTTCTCTCCACCTCGCTGTGAGTTCTGTAATATAAATTGTGCTGGGCGAGCAGAGAACAAACAGTGCCCAGCATGAAGAGCAAGACAGCTGGACTCCAGGTTGCACACCTGCAAATCACCTGCATGAATATGGCAAACAAACGAACACAGAAAAATCTGTAGGATTTCAGCAAATCCAAGAATTCTGTGTTATGCCATATTTTGGAAAAAACATTGCTTCAATATCTTTTGGTAAAATGTTGTAGTGAACTAAGTCACTCTCCTAGTCCAAACTCAGATGTACGGACGTGACTCGAAAAGGCCAGGGCTGTTTTTAACTTGGGATTTTTAAATAAGAATACAAGGTGTGTCCTCACACCAATACCCACAGGATCATACAAAAATACGCATATAATGAGGTCACAGAGTTATTACTGAAATGTCTGAAATACATACTGTGGGTCCAGAAAAACTGTCAGCAAAGTCTCAAAAATAGCTTTCCTAAGGTCTGTCAAGTTTTGGGAAATAATCCAGGAAAATGATATGGCGTGTATACAGAAAAGTCAGCTCGCTTTAGCCAGTGACGGCACAGTGGACAGTTTGGGGTGAATTATTTGATTATCTGAGGGGAACGTTTATGTTCCATGCTGATATTTTTCTTAGTGTTGGAGAGGGGGTGTTTGTTCTTGGAGGGGGAGTGGCAATGTTCAAGCCCACCCACACACATGGCCACGAGTGTACCTGGGATCCAGTGGGGCAGAGCAGGTGTTTGCAGCAAGGGGAGGCTGACAGGTTGCTGCTTCAGGCCCCACTCTGTGGTCCGCCTTGTCTGTACAGTTCTGTGTTCCTGCAGAATAATGCTGCTCATAAACCCACCCTCAGTTAGCCTGTAAACCGCGCCCTTTTGAGTTAAGGGTCATACATCTTTGCCAAAATCACCCACAGTCCCAGAAAATAAAATAAAGGCATCACAAAAATCACAACCCAAACAGTGCTTTCAAATATAAAAAGGAAAGAAGAAATGAAGCAAAGCCTTTTGTTTTTAGTAGTCGATTCAGAATGAATCCAATACAAGGCCAAACAAAACACAGATGGCTTTTTCTAACTTTGTCTCAATATGATTTCTGATTTCCAGAAATAAAAAAGCAACGTTACTCTCCTCCCTTCTAACTAATATGATGGAGTTTTATCGTCACATAGATACAGTGCATCAGTCTCTGTTTCCCCCACATTCTAAATAAAGGCGGGGTGAGTGGGGAAAATGGGCAGATATAAGTTAAACGGTAGAAAGTTGCAGTCTGTCCATGAACAAGTCAAGAGCTCTTAGGTACAGCACGGGACCAGAGTTAATAATATTGTATCATATGCTGGAAATTTGCTACGTGAGTAAATTTTAGGTGCTCTGACCACAAAAAATAAAAACTGAAAGGTAACTATGTGAGATGATGGATACGTGAATTTACTGGAAGGTAGCCATCACTTCACTACGTGTATCAACACATCCCATTGTAGGCCTTAAATATACACCTTTTTTTTTTCTTTTTAAAGAGTAAGGATTCAAAAGCCTGTCCCCAGCGGGGTGCAGTGGCTCACACCTGTAATCCCAGTACTTTGGGAGGCTGAGGTGGGTGGATCACTTGAGGTCAGGAGTTTGAGACCAGCCTGGGCAACATGGTGAAACCCCGTCTCTACTAAAAATATAAAAATTGGCCCGGCATGGGGGCAGGCACCTGTAATCCCAGCTACTCGGTAGGCTGAGGCAGGAGAATCACTTCAACCCAGGAGGGCGGAGGTTGCAGTGAGCCGAGATTGCGCCACTGCAGCCTGGGCGACAGAGAGAGACCCCAACCCAGCTATGTGGAAAAGGTATTTGGAATCCGGAAATGCAACTGATGTGACTTCAGGGGCAGCTCTCATAACAAAGATTGGTAATAGGACTCCGTATTAGTTCGTTGGGGCTGCCCTAACAAAAGGCCACAGGTAGTGGGGCTTAAACAACAGAAACTTCTTTTCACACAGTTCTGGAGGCTGAAGTTCAAGATCAAGGTGTGAGATGTGTTGGTTTCATTCTGAGGCCTCTCTCCTTGGCTGGTAGAGGGTCATCTTCCCCCCGTGTCCTCAAATGGCCTCTCCTCTGTGTGTGTCTGTGTCCTAGTCTCTTCTTGCTATAAAGACACCAGTCAGATGGGATGAGGCCATATCTTAATGATCTTCTTTAACCTTAATTACCTTTTTAAGGGTCCTATCTGCAAATACAGTCACATTCTAAGGTACTGAGAGGTAGGACCTCAACATGAATTTTGGATTTTTAATAGTCCACAGAACAGGTTCCCGTGGATATAGCTCTGTGTACATTAGGTGTTATTTTTCCTTGTTAACACCACCACCATCTTCTAACCCACTCTCACGGAGGAGGGGGCAGCTCTCCGCCATGCCAAGTGCATAACCTCACTGACATTAGGAAGAAAGAGCTGGCTTAGCCCACCCTATGACGAGGAGCCTCCCAGGTTTCAGGCCCTGGGCCAGGAGGAGCGGATTTGCTTTTCCCAGGGGCTGCTCCTTCCCCTGCAGGCACTCCCCTGCTCCGTGGTGACCAGCTGCTGTTATTACAGTCATGGTTGTTTCTAGATATCTGTCTGCCCATGTGAGTGGCAGAAACCTTGATCTTGGAGTCCAAGTGCTTTCTGAACACACCACTGCTACTGTGTGTTACAATGCTGGTGGCTTCAGATGGTCTCAGCCCCCTGCCTCCCCTAGGAGGGTGCGAGGTCAGCACACACATGGCAATGAGCTTCCAGACACTGACAGACAGGGTTCTTTCCAACAGCTACTTTCTGAAGAAGTCTGGGAAGACTATGAAAACTGGCTTCCCATGAATATGCTTCTGGGATTGGGTGGCTCTTCTTACTTTAAGAACAGAGGGATTTTGTCACATTGTGACCTCTAATTTTCAACAAAAACCTAGTGTTTCAACAAAAACAAAACAGGATCTATGAGGTTTTGCCTCTATGTACATGCATACATTACCGTCTGCAACTCCCTACAGGGCCAAGAGGGCATTCAAAATAACTCACAGTGAATGAAGCCCATTTACACTGGAAGTTGCTCAAGCTGTCCCGGCTTCTCCCCAGCATGAATGGGATGCTCATCTGGAGGCCGGCAGGCACTGCGCAGCCACAGCTTGCCCAGAACCCACTGCTGGAGCCACTACTGGTCTCCAGGTAGTCCTTTATGATTCATTTTCCCCTTCTTCAGTGTGTAGTTGAGAAAAATGATCTATCAAATCATACTTATAAACACACACACACTCCTGCCCAGTGCTAAACTTGAAGCTAAATACTCCCACAAAGGAAACATTTCCATGGTCTGCCCTTTCCTGTTTTCAGGAGGCACTAAAAATAGGCATTATTCGGATCCCCAGGTCTTTGGAGGAAAGTCATGCCATGAGCAGGCTCATCAACTCAAGTGTGAAAACAAGTGCGTGCAGATGCTTCTGAGTTAAGAGAAATATTTCCAGCCTCATTATTCACGGGCATGAAAGGTCATTTTCTCTAGAGGGTGCAACACTCCAAAAACCACCACATAAAATACGTTCCACACAAAGCATCTGAACAGAACAAATCGATGTGCACATCGGAGGGAGATCCTATAAAAATGTAACACACACAGGCCCGGATCAAACAAATACGAGCAAGCTGGGAGCCAGATGGGAGCCAAAGAGCCAAGAGTTCTTGGAGTCCCCTCGAGGGGCTGTAGTTCTAGATGAAATCCCTCAGCCCTCAGGCGAACCTGTCTAACAGGAACCAGCATTAGGCAGCATATCCTGAAAGCACCTCCAAAGGGAAACCAGGGAGGCGGGGGGAAAAGAGGAGACCTGGGGGTGTCTGCTGCGGGTCGAGAGGGGTGGAGGATGGGTGAGGACCAGGAACGAGGGCCTTCTCTCAGGACTCCATCCTTCTGAAAATGTGCACCTGCAGTAAGCCCCCTGAAGGGTACGGTTAGGTCTAAAGCAAGCCCACAACAATATCAGAGAATAAGAAATCAGCTCATTGATTGACCCAAGGAGGAAACATTTTACTTGACATTTCATTGTGGATTTCAGAAATCCCATTAGCTATTTTCTCGCTATGGCTTAAATGCTGTTCCCTAAAAGTCCAGTGCTTGTAGTGGAAGGTACCAAGCAGTGATATCTATTGTCCATTTACCCACTCTTCCATTCCGTCATTGCATGCCTACTCGTGAGCTTGTCCTGGGATGTAAAGATGCTTAGGACATTGTCCCTGCTTGTGTGTGTCAGGGCTATTGAGAGTGATTGCATCGCATATGGGTGGCACTCTGAGGGGAGGTGAGGGGTGCCCATGGTGCCTCATGGAAATAGAGGAAGACGAGGGTCTGGTGCTTGCATCCAGGTGGGAAGACTTCATAGAGTAGCTGGTGTTTGGAGTGGGTCACACAGCTGAGGTCTGGCTGAGTCATGATGTCTAGCAGAGAGGATGGCACGGGCAATGGCTGAGGGTCAAGGGAGCCCAGAGCTTCAGTTTGTTTGCAGCCCAGGACTGGGAGGGGCCAGGGAGCCAAGGCCTCAATGGCCAGGCTAGGGGAGTGGACTTAACATCTCTCCTAAATGGCAATCCTTGAAAGGTTTCCAGCAGGAGAGAGAAGTGGTCTCAGTGTGGAAAATGGTTTATGTGGCAGGAGGTCCAGAGACCAGCAGGTGAGTTGTTCAGTGGAAGGGAGGGAGAGAAGGAGGGAAGGAGGGAGGGAGTGATGGCTGTGAGGGGGAAGACCATCTGGCTGCCAGGAGGATGGGGGTGGAGGCACAGGGAGAATGGGAAACCCTAGCAAGTGAAGAGAGAAAACATTGCTTTTGGTAAATAGAGGAGGGACAGGCATTGCAAACTCAGCAGCCCACTCAACAAGCCCACTGGGATGAGCCCGTAAGACATTTGGCAGGGGCTAGTCCTCAAGCCCGGGGGTAAGGACAGAGACAGAGTGGACCCTTGGCCCAGTGCACACCAGTCACCAACCTAAAATGCTGCATGTTATAAAGGAAGTGTGAAGCCCTCACTGGAGACCATCCCAATTCATTGGGCTTTCCTATCCATGGGGACTTAAGAATGCAAGAAGCAGCCTGTGCCCTGCAGAAGTGCATAGGGCCTGGGAGCCCAGATCTCTTGTGTTTGCAGCCCCCAGAGGGGCATTGAGGGCCCCAGTACCAGCCAGTGCACTGGGGAGTGCATGGCTCTGCTGCCCCGTCCTAGGAATCCGTACTGGAGAGCCTGGTGATCATCACCGCTATTTCTATGGACACTGCCTCTCAAGAGTGCTGGCTGGGATACCTGCAAACCTGCAAGTTTAATAGCCCCAATTCTCTTCTTCTTAGGCAGTAATGGGTCTGCCTTAGGCAGCTCTTAGGCATCAAGAGCTCTGGGTTCATGACAGAATGCCATGAAAACAAAAGCCACCATTTGAACCACGAGAATATATGTTGTCAGCCTGGCCAACATGGTGAAACCCCGTCTCCACTAAAAATACAAAAATTGGCCAGGTGTGGTAGCGTGGGCCTGTAATCCCAGCTACTCAGGAGGCTGAGGCAGGAGAATCACTTGAACTCAGGAGACGGAGGTTGCAATGAGATGAGATCGCCCCACTGCACTCCAGCCTGGGTGACAGAGTGAGACTCCATCTCAAAAAAAATAAAAATAAAAAAAATAAAAAACAGGTACATGCAGGATATATACTGAGCATGTAGGAGTCAATTTAAGCAGCCCAGAGCAACCTTCTTTGTCCTCACTGAGGATGAGGCAAGAGGGGAATGGGTTAGATAGAGGGTGTAGGGAGTTCAAATCCGATCACTCACAATCAGCTGTGCAGAGACAGGGACAACAGTTATGTAAAGGACGAAAGGACGACTGTGAAATAAAGAACAACAGGCTGAGTATCCCTGATCTGAAATGCTTAAAACCAGAAGTGTTTCAGATTTCATTCTTTTGCGGGGATTTTGGAATGCTTATAGGCTGAACATCCCTAATCTGAACATCCAAAATTCCAAAATACTCCAAAACCTGAAACTTTTTGAGCACTGACATAACATTCACAGGAAATGCTCACTGGAACAGTTTGGATTTCGGATGTTTGGAATAGGGATGCCCTAAGTGTACTGCATAAAGGAAGACAATGAGCTGTTTTTGGTTCTGCCTGGAGGATGTTCCTTCTGCAGGATGAGTAAGAATTTCTGCAGGTCCCTTCTACAGGATGAATGAGAATTTCTGCAGGTTCCTTCTATAGGATGAATGAGAATTTCTGCAGGTTCCTTCTGCAGGATGAATGAGAACTTTGCTCCTTCAAAGCATGGCCCCAGGAACAGCTGCCTTGGAAGCATGGAGGAGCTTGGTAGAAATGCAGTTGCAGGCTCCTTCCCAGACCTTCTGGATTGGAATCTACATTTTAAAAGAGCCCCAGGCGATTCGTGTGCTCAATGAAGTCTGGGAAGCACTGGGGCAGACAGCCTTTTGGCCTATTCTTATGCCCAATCTGTCATCTTCAAATATCTCTGTACTAACAAATAAAACACACTGAAAAAGTGTTGAGTTCAAGTTTGGGTTCTTGAACTTAAGAACGATACAAGCCTGCCTGCATCACACTCATTTCAGGGTAATTTTCAGCCATCAGCTTTGGCTGTCCTTTTTTTTCTTTTCTTCTTCTGAATGTCACTTAATAAGACATAACAGGAGATAAATCAGTCTCCTAGTTTGGGGCATTAAGAGATTGTAGTAATGTGTTCTAGCAGCCCACTGGAGTTTATTTCCTTCTATTTCACGACAACTGGGGCATTAAATAATCTTAAATCATTGGGCTGTCCGTTGCCTGCTCTGTGGCCACTCCTGCGGCTTTGAAAATCCAATATGAGAAATCATTCTTTATGGCAACCTCCACAGCTGCAAGCAAAGCAATTTAGAGAACGCTTTTACGAGAACAGTTTCTACATACTCTGCTTCTGTTACAAATTACTCCCTCCCTTTGACAACACTTACAAAATGCACAGTTTAAGTAATACAAACGGGTTATCACATTTCCATAATGTAAACAGTCAAAAAAGTTGTTTCTTATCAAATCCATAATAAGGCAGCGACAAAGCCCGGCCATGCCCTTGGCCTCCCGTGATTCTCCCTAATTTAGCACTCAGCTGCCGGGGCAGAGCTTTCATCCAATTTCCTTCATTTTCAGAGGTGATCTGCTTAATGATGGCTCGGCTGCTTCATTTCTTCCTTATATTAGGAAGGCTGTAGGGGTGGGGGTAAGGGGGTGGGGTGGGGGTATGGCATACAACAGGCTCTCATTCATAGAAAAATCCCAGGTCCGATTCTCACCAGGATCTATGTAAAAAGTGTAAAGCAGGCCGGGCGCAGTGGCTCACGCTTATAATCCCAACACTTTGGGAGGCTAAGGCAGGCGGATCACTTGAGGTTGGGAGTTCGAGACCAGCCTGGCTAACATGGTGAAACCCTGTCTCTACTAAAAGTACAAAAATTGCTGGGTGTGGTGGCACGTGCTTGTAGTCCCAGCTACTTGGGAGGCTGAGGCACAAGAATTGCTTGAACCTGGGAGGTGGAGGCTGCAGTGAGCTGAGGTCGTGCCACTGCACTCCAGCCTGGGTAGTAGAGTGAGACTGTGTCTCAAAAAAAAAAAAAAAGAACATGGTATTCCCTTAACCTAACACACAAGATATATGGGGAATTGTTTAGTGTTGTGAGTCATCTCACTGATTAAAAACATTGCCACTGAAAATTAAGGAAGTCCTCCACAGGGCTGGTCTCAACCAGCCTTAAAAATGATCAGAGGGATCTTCAACAAGCCAAGCAATGGGGAAAGCATTCCCTATTTAATAAATGGTGCTGAGAGAACTGGCTAGCCATATGCAGAAAACGGAAACTGGATCCCTTCCTTACACCTTATACAAAAATTAACTCAAGATGGATTAAAGACTTACATGTAAAACCCAAAATGATAAAAACCCTAGAAGAAAACCTAGGCTATACCACTCAGGACACAGGCATGGGCAAAGACTTCATGATCAAAATGCCAAAAGCAACTGCAACAAAAGCAAAAAATTGACAACCGGGATTTAATTAAACTAAAGAGCTTCTGCACAGCAAAAGAAACTATCATCAGAGTGAACAGGCAACCTACAGAATGGGAGAAAATTTTTGCAATCTACCCATCTGACAAAGGTCTGATATCCAGAATCTGCAAGGAAGTTAAGCAAATTTACAAGAAAAAAATGAACAACCCCATCAAAAAGTGGGCAAAGGATATGAACAGACATTTCTCAAAAGAAGGCATTCATGGTGCCAACAAATGTGAAAAAAAAAAGCTCAACATCACTGATCATTAGAGAAATGCAAATCAAAACCACAACGAGACAGCATCTCACGCCAGTCAGAAGGGCGATTATTAAAAAGTCAAGAAACAACAGATACTGGCGAGGCTGTGGAGAAATAGGAAGACTTTTACACTGTTGGTGGGAATATAAATTTGTTCAACCATCATGGAAGACACTGTGGTGATTCCTCAAGGATCTAGAACCAGAAATACCATTTGACCCAGCCATCCCATTACTGGGTATATACCTAAAGGAATATAAATGATTCTACTGCAAAGACACATGCACACGTATGTTTATTGCGACACTATTTACAATAGCAAAGACATGGAACCAACCCAAAAGCCCATCAATGATAGACTGAATAAAGAAAATGTGGCACATATACACCACGGAATACTATGTAGCCATAAAAAAAGAATGAGTTCATGTCCTTTGCAGGGACATGGATGAAGCTGGAAGCCATCATCCTCAGCAAACTCATACAGGAACAAAAAACCAAACACTCCATGTTCTCACTCATAAGTGGGAGTTGAACAATGAGAACACATGGGCACAGGGAGGAGAACAACGCGTACCAGGGCCTGTCAGGGGGTTGGCAGCAAGGGGAGGGAGAGCATTAGGACAAATAGCTAATGCATGTGGGGCTTAAAACCTAGATGATGGGTTGATAGGTACAGCAAACCTCCATGGCAAATGTATACCTATGTAACAAACCTGCACCTTCTGAACTTGTATCCAGGAACTTAAAGTAAAAACAAACAAACAAAAAAGATCAGAGGAATAAAGAAGCTTGGTCAAGGCTGTGTAACTGGGAGAAAGAGGTAGAGAATCCTACACTGAGTCCAAACAAGAGTGGGTCCAGCATCCCAGGTCACCTCCACCAACGAGGTGGCAAGGAGGAGGCCAGGCCCCACACTGAAGGGACTGGTTAGCTGCCCAACACATGCCATGACGGCACCACCTGGCATGAAGACACTCGTAAGGACTGACAGGAGGATGGAGGCCAACAATGCTGTCACCCCTAGAGAGAAAGGCATGTGGTTTCCGAATTTCCACAAACTGAGACATCAACAGAATTGAAGGAAGGGACACAGTCTGAGATGCAGCCAATGGTGCTGCCAGAAACAGCAACGTCATCCAGCAGAAAGAAGCCTGACAGCTCCAGCCCCTCCCCAGGAGACCCCATGGTTCAAGGCAGTCTCAAATGGAGCCAGCCACCAGCCCACAGGGGCCACTTGCTGGGACAGCCACAGGGCTACATTCCCCACCCTCCCCACAGAACTCATTCTCTGCATTGTGACAATTCCAGGAAAACTCACGGACAGGAGAGACGGGGAGCCTTCTGAGGGGTGGGGCTCCCATGAGAAAGACTGTAGGTGGCAAGAGACCAAGGAGACAGAGAGGAGCTTTGCAGCAGGATGTCCCTGAGATGGTGGCGTTCACACCAGGATGTGCGCTGAACTCAGAGTGGGGTTGGGGCAGGCACTCAGCTATGGCAGGGAGTCAAACAGTACTCGGGGTTTCATGAGGCGAAGCCAGGCCCACCCAGGGCAGGACTGGAAACCCAGAGGTTGCAGAGGTGTTTGCCATCCTGTTCTGCCCCAGGCCAGGCCCGGGAAGGATCATGACTATGTGACACCTCCTCGGATCGGGGAGAAATGAGGCAGCCTGCAGCCAGCAGAGCACGTTTGTTTCTTGATTGGGCACTGTTTGCCAAGACAGCGGACTGAACGACAGAACTCCACTGAGGACTTGTGTGTCCAGTGTTAGAGGCTGGGTTAAAATCTAAAACACCCCAGAGAGAAGAGGGCAGGCGGGGAAGAGGGGATGGTCCCACAGAAAAAGTGCAGAACCTGAAAAGGTAAAATGTCGAAACATGGCAGCATGATGTTTCACTTGATGAGGCCAGCCCAGGCCGGGGACAATGCTGCCCAACTGTGGGCCAAAGCAGGAAGGAGCTTCACCTGTCTCACATCAAATGACAGCTGTCAACACAGAAGACTTAAATACAAAAACAAAATGAAAGGCCAGGAAAATAAGAGGTACCATAAATCTGATTAGCATAGTTCCAGTAGGCTCTGGAAAACTCTTTTTACCTGCTCTCAAAGTAATATATTGAGAAGTAATATAATGAAGTTATCAAATTAACATTACTAAAATGAAAACATTTTCTTACAAATGGATCTCACTTTTAATCCTAAAACAATTCCCAAACTATTGACAGAGTATTGCATCTTTCAATTATGGTGAATTTAACGGGTACACTTTGCACATAATACATGTAAGTATTTTTCTTAATTCTTATCGAGAGAGAGATTATGGTAAAATTCCTTTTAAGAAATCAAGACTTTCAGATTCTCAAACTTCCTTTATAATGGCCCCCACTGCCTTCGTTTGGTTTAGTTTCATAATAGCTGAAAAACTATCACAGAGAGATAAATTTTAAAGTCCCCCATACAGTTATCCAAGCTTCCCGTAATGTAGTCAGTATAAACAGAACGTATTTCCCTGATAAATTCCTAACACCATGCCAAAGTCAGAGAAAGCTGATGTAATGCTGAATAGGGGATAAACCCCTGTGTGAAAGAAGGAAGTTCTCATAATCCTCAATCTCCCAGCGACCCGAGAGCTCCTGTACCAAAAGCTGTGCTTGTAACGTATGATGCTGAGCCACGTCTGCAGATGGACGCCACATTCACTGCTCCTAAATGCAGGAGCCAAGGGCATGGCCACAGCACCAAGCATCAACAGTCCATTCAGATGAAATCGGTGAACGTGGAAACCTATCCCTAAAAAGCCCAGTGTTCTCACAGCCCCCTTTTGAGGTTTTCGAGTTGATTCACCAACTCCAAATCAAATATGCATAAAATGGGCCGGTCACGGTGGCTCACACCTGTAATCCCAGCACTCTGGAAGGCCAAGGCAGGCGGATCACCTGAAGTCAGGAGTTTGAGACCAGCCTGACAAACATGGTGAAACCCCATCTCTACTAAAAATACAAAAAATAGCTGGGCATGGTGTTGGGCACCCGTAATCCCAGCTACTTGAGAGGCTGAGGCAAAAGAATTGCTTGAACCTGGGAGGCGGAGGTTGCAGTAAGCTGAGATCGCACCACTGCACTGCAGCTTGGGTGACAGAGCGAGACTCCGTCTCAAAAAAAAAAAAAAAAAACCAGGAAAAAAAATGCATAAAACGTACTTGAGCTAACCATATAAAACCCTCAGCCTCTAATAATAATATTTAAATGCATAGATGCCACAGTGCTGGGTGCCAGCCATCTGGTCAACCCAGCAGACTAAGGGGCATGGAGGAGCAGGGGTCGCTGGTCTATGACATGAACAGAAACTGAAAAAACAAAACGAAAAACTACTTCTGAAATCAGAGGAAACAAATCAATAAACTTCTACCTCTGTGCGGAGATGCCACAGCAAATTGCTGTCTCAATTCTCTTAGCTGTGCTTCCTCTGGATTCTTTTCTGACTGTATACAGAGTCCAATGAACCCAACACGATGTTCCTGAGGATCTGTGTTGAGGCTTGAGTACAGTCACTGTTCCTCCCTGCTGGTCTCCAGCAGCTCCTTGTCTGAGCTCCCTGAGGGCACATCTCATTTCTTTACTGTTCCCAGAATGGCCCCTTGTCTCCCACACTGTGTGCCCTTATGGCTGGACCAGATCATGTATATCCAAGTGTCCCCTTAAGGTCCAGCAATGTGTGTTGGGCACTCGAGGAACACAAAAATCCTCAGACAAGATTTCCAGGGAAGCAAGTCCTTCAGATAAGCGAGGATTTGCAATGCCTCGGGATACACTGACCACTGACCAGTGACAGGCTCCCCTAGAACACCTGGACTCTTCTGCCCGACTCATCAGAGTGCACAATCCCAAAGTCGATGGGTTTCACCTAAAACTTACTTAATACCAATTCTCCTTGCTACTATAATTACGTAATTCAAATAAATGTGACATGAGAAAATGAATTATTAGTGCCATGAAAAAGAACCAGTTTTGGAAAACTAAATGGAATGCTTTACAAAGGCTATAATAAAGGTAAAGAGCTAAAAAAAATATGCAAAATTAGACTGGGGTGAGACAACTGGAAAACCTGAAAAATGTGACTAACTCCACTTTAAAAAATTGTAGGCAGAACTGTTGATGAGGCATTATAGAAGCTCATCAGTGGAACCACGTTCAAAAAGAAGCATTGGACTTACATAAAAGGTAAGCAAAACAAACAAACAAAAAACAAAAAAAGCCTAAGGTACACTTATGTGAGTTTTTTTGTTGTTGTTGTTTTGTTTTTTTTCAGACAAAGTCTCACTCTGTCACCCAGGTTGGAGTGCAGTGGTATGATCATGGCTCTCTGCAATCTTGAACTCTTGGGCTCAAGTGACTCTCCCACTTCAGCCTCCTGAGTAGCTGGGACCACAGGCATGCACCACCACACCAAGCTAATTTTATTTTTTGTAGAGATGAGGTCTCCCTATGTTGCCCAGGCTGGTCTCAAACACCTGGGCTCAAGCAAGCCTCTCACCTCACCTCCCAAAATGCTAAGATTACAGGCATGAGCCAACACACCTGACCTCACTTATGTGTTTTCAGTAAAAATAAAATACAAGGTATGTGGTAATCATAAAAATAGCTTCCACGTTTTCAATTAATCAGCTAACTTATTGTCTCTGTGGGGGATTCCTCCTACTCTGGAGGTTTTAAAATTTAATTGAAAGTCACAAGTGGACAAAAGAAACTTCAGGAAAAGGGCTGACATTTTTCTCTTTGGTAAGGTTAGTGAAAATACAAATATATATTAGAATTTCGCTCACCATAAAAAAGGAATTTATTTTCTGAAGTGCGTGGAAGGCCACTCAGATCATCCCAAGTAACAGAGGGCTTCATAACAAGCGGCTAGGGTAACACTCCTGGAATGGCATGGTTTGGGCTCACTTGTCAATGATGGAAGAGGTTCCCCGACTGCTCCGCAGCCTCAGCTCCGGCCCCCACCCCCATCCTGTGTGCCTTGTAGGCCTGGCTGGAGCTCTGCCCCCTGAGCAGCCACAGAACCCGGCTCTTGTGTTCCCCATCGCTTGGCACGTGCTGTTCCCTCAGCCCAGTGCTCTTTCCACTCTCAAATACTCTCATCCCAGCAAATTGTTAAAATCTAAGAACAATCCCCAAGGTAGCTTCTTTGCTGAATGTTCCCTGGGGCCCAGAGGGAATTCTTCGGGTTGATAAGCCCGCACTGGGTTTTCTGCACAATTCCATTCTTGCACGTTTTTACACATCGCGATTACATGATGCTCTCTCACCTGCCACTAAACTATTTCTTTCTGAGACAGGATCTCACTCTGTTGCCCAGGCTGGAGTACAGTGGTGGGATCACAGCTCACTGCAGCCTCAACCTCTCAAGCTCAAGCTATCCTCCCACCTCAGCCTTCCAAGTAGCTGGGACTACGGGCACACACCATGATCCGGCTAATTTTTAAAAATTTTTTGTAGAGATAGGGTCTCACTATGCTGCCCAAGCTGGCCTTGCACTCCAGAGCTCAAATGATGCTCTTACTGTGGCCTCCCAAAGTGTTGGGATTACAGGTGTGGGCCTCCCAAAGTGTTGGGATTACAGGTGTGAGCCACCCATGCCTGGCCAACCTTTTTTTTTCTTTTTTTTAAGTGTTTAACCCAGTGCCTAGCTCAGAAAGTATCAGTGTTGAGTAATAAAACTAAATCGAGCACTGACAGAGACTCTTTTTGACTAAATGTTAGCCAGGCTCCTCTGAGCTCTCTTCTCAACTAGGCATTGACTTTGGCTCTATCCTGCTAAGAGAGTTTGGAGTGAATCCACACCCTTGACATGAGATCAAATTACTCATCCTCCACCTTTGCTGTCTAAGTCATTGGCCTGTTTTCAGGAAGAATCCTATTAGGTTCATTTAGCAAGACACCTCCTATCCTTGAGGTGTCCTCTTAGTAATTTTCCATCCACTGACTGTCACCTGCCCCACCCAGGTTGTTGGCTATAAATCCCAAGTTTTGTACTGTATTTCGAGTTGAGACTGATCTCTCTCCTCTTCTGTGGAATCTTGACACCTATTGCAATACTCCTGAGTAAAATCTTCTTTATCCTGCTAACCGTTGTCAGAATAACTCTTTCCTTAACAGGACATGGTGTTTTTGTTTCTGATTATAAACTTAAACGCAAGACTTAATAATACCACATTTCAGTAAAAAATTTAATGTCACACAGGTGTTTCAAAGAGCCAAAAATTCAAAGAATGAGGCATCTTTTCTAGTGACCATGCACCTGCATTTTCATTGCATACAGGGCTGTCTGCTGTCCATATTTCATGCTGTTCTCTGTTCTCACCCATTTTGAAGTGTTTCTCTTCCATTGGTTTTTGACAATACACACACACACACACACACACACACACACACACACACACACACACCCCCTCTTTTCCAGAGTTAGGAAAAGCTGTCCCTATGCATAGAATAGTGATTGTGCCTACAAACTATCAACATTAACCACAAAGACTTCAACTGAAGAATACATTTAGGAAACAAAATTGTTTGAATTGTTCCTCTCAGCACTCTACTTCCTGAGCTACGATTTCTAGGCTACGGTTTGGACTGACAGCCCATCACCAGACAATGACGGATTGTGTGGGGGAAAATATGTTTGCTGTCCTCAAATTGCCTTTACCTATGGAAAGCAACCATAGCTTTCACTGGGATGCAGGTGGCTGTGACACAGAATCACAAACCAGCTTCAGAATTCCCTCAGGGAGCAGCTCCTGGCCCCAGGAGTGGCCCCCCAGGGCTCTCCTGTAGTCTAGTCCCACCTGGTCTCTCCTGTAGTCCAGTCCCACCTGGTCTGCACACGACTCTGCTCTCCTCAGCATCTCCCTCCCAGACCTTCCTACCTCCCCAACAGGTGGCTAGAGTTAGGGGACAGACACCCTTGGGACTCAGGTACATGGCAAGCTCGGGTTGGCCAAGCCAGGCCAAACCTGACTTGAATTTCTCTAGAGCAGACCAGAAGCAGGAAACACAGGCTGTGGAAAAGCTCCGGGCCACAGCATTCAAAGCTTATACTACAAGCAGAGAGGACCCTAGATCCTGAGGCTGGCCACAGAGGGCCATGCAAACCCACAGGGCCACTGCAAGAAAAAGGGAAGGCACACACAAAGCAGGCAGGCAGGCTTTGTCGAAAGCTTGCATTTTTTTTTCTTTTTTTTTTTTTTTGAGATGGAGTCTCGTTCTCTCACCCAGGCTGGAGTGCAGTGGTGCGATCTCAGCTCACTGCAACCTCCACCTCCTGGGTTCAAGTGATTCTCCTGCCTCAGCCTCCCGAGTAGCTGGGACTACAGGCACCCGCCACCATGCCCAGCTAATTTTTCTACTTTTAGTAGAGGTGGGGTTTTGCCATATTGGCTAGGCTGGTCTCGAACTCCTGACCTCAAGTGATCTGCCCTCCTCGGCCTCTCAAAGTGCTGGGATTACAGGCATGAGCCACAGCGCGCAGCCAAAAGCTTGCATTTTATGTCCAGGGATCTTTAAATGGCTGGTTCATTACATACCCTTGCCCATAATACATTTGATTTCCAAATAAATACTAAAACCTAGATGCATATATTCACCGGTGACCACACAGCCTGGAGAAATTCCTGTTCTCCTCATGACAATAGCAAAGCGAAGCCGTTTTGTAAACACCCTTCTTTCCTCCCTCCACCAAAAGAAGCGGTTAGCACAGTACTCACTGAAGTGTGTTTTACACATTCATTTGTATATTATCCTAATATCGGAGTTATTTAGCTAGGCTCAATACACAGGGTTAGCAGCTCAAACAAAGGAAGCAGCCTGACTTGTAAAAGTGCTTATTGCACAGCACTGATGTGAAAAGCAGCCCGGGAGAAACCTAATCATT
Source organism: Homo sapiens (assembly GCF_000001405.40). Lineage (NCBI taxonomy): Eukaryota > Metazoa > Chordata > Mammalia > Primates > Hominidae > Homo > Homo sapiens. The sequence goes on along the minus strand of NC_000010.11, from coordinate 127,301,263 downwards.
AACCCTCCGATCCAGGCCTAACCTGCACTTCCGCCTAGCACTCAAGTGACACTGACACCCTGTATTCAAGCGGCACTGAAACTGAGACTCGATGCCTGCCCAGTTCTCACTGTAACTGGAAAAAGCTTCACAAATCCTCCCCTTGGTGGATCCTGGCTTTTACAGAGCTCTGATTGCACTGATGCGTGCTGCTAGGACAGAAACACTGACTCCTCTTCCCCAGAGAGTTATGATTTTGACATCTCTCAAGCAGTTCAAGGGTTAGAACAGGCTAGGGGGTTAGGAAAAGCTGGTATCTGTTCTGGAGATTACAGTGAGCGGATGCGCCCAGCCCTCCCGGCTGCCGGCCTCGTGGTGGGGTTGCAAGCACTGATAGGGTTCTCCAGTGCTGGCACTGCCTTCAAAATGGCAAGGAGGAACGGATGAAACAAGCTGAGCCACAGAGGCAAAGCAAAGCAAAGAAAGTCAGGTGGGGCTCTCGGGAGGACAGGCAGGCCAGGCTCCAGAATTAGGGAGAGAAAACGGCTGGGGAGGCCATTCTGTGGTGGCCCCTAAGAGGGAAAAAGGCCCAAGAAAAACTAGCTCCCTGAAAGTATTCGAAGATGGATCAACCAGGCATCTCAGGCCTGAAAGGGAAGCAGAAAGTAAACTGGAATATAATTTTTGATACTAGCATGACTGGTAACATTTGTGCTATAAAAGGGAGGGCGATATCTCTTTTCTATTTTTGTGGCCTGATGCCATCTTCCTGAAGGGTGATCCCCACGGACCTTAGACTTTGTCCTTCGACAGGTCCTGGAAAGGGGCAGCTGTCTCCTCTGCAGTCCCCAATGCTAGAACATAGAATCTTTTCTACTTGGCCATCATTGTCTAAGCCCAGTCTCTTGGTGGCTCATTTCCTGTTTGGCTTTTCCCAAGAAGCTTTAGAAGAGATCCAGAAAGCACAAGAGAGGAGACAGACAACGGAGAGAAGCCGCACAGGAGAGGCAGCGCGAAAGAAGCCTTCTAATCTGTCTTCAACATCCTGCTTTGCATGGTGGTCTCTAGGCGGCAATTCCCAAGAGTTCAGGTGAGGACTCCAGGAAATGCCATCGGGGAGGATGCCAGCTGGCCTGCGGAACTTCCCAGAAAGGAAAAGCCAGGTCAGTGTTTGCTGAGCAGGTGGAGTCCACTGGTCACCTTCCCTTTGCTGGGTCTGCTTGGCTTCCAATCCCCAATCACATCTCAGGACAGAACTCACATGGGAAGGCTGAATTTGGAGAAACGGAGTCAGTTCTCAATGGCCGGATGCTCTGAGAAATGCCATGGAGCCTGAGATAAGGAACTTTGCAGGAATACTTTTCTTTTTTTCAAATCCACATCTTCAGAAAGGCAAGAGAAAAGGATGCAAGGTTTGATTTCACTAGGTTGAGGCAAGAATGGGCTCCAACAGCTTGGTTGAACTAACCAAGTCCTAAGCCTCTCGCTGATCATACCCTGGCTAGCTCCAAAGTACGTAGGTCTAGGAGATCACATCAAGACTTAACCAGTCACACGGAGAGATGACATGTCAGTTTCCTGGGGCTGGCATGACAAGTGACCACAAGCTGGGGGGCTTAAAGCAATATAAAGTTATTCTTGCAGTTCAAGAGGCCAGAAGTCCCAAATCCAGGTGCTGGCAAGGCGATGCTCCCTCTGAAGCCCGTCTGGAAGACTCTGTCCCATGCCTTCCTCTTAGTTTCTGGTGTTGCTGGCAATCTCCTTGACTTGCAGATGTTTCACTCTGATCCACCTCCACGGTCACACAGCATTTTTCCTGTGTGTCTGTGTCTTCTCTTCTTTATAAGAGACCAGCCATTGGATTAAGAGCCCACCCTTCTTGGCCGGGCGCGGCGGCTCACGCCTGTAATCCCAGCACTTTGGAGGGCCGAGGCAGGTGGATCATCTGAGGTCAGGAGTTCAATACCAGCCTGGCCAACATGGTGAAACCCTGTATCTACCAAAATACATGCAAAAAAATTAGCCAGGTGTGGTGGCGCATGCCTGTAATCCCAGCTACTCGGGAGGCTGAGGCACGAGAATCACTTGAACCTGGGAGGTGGAGGTTGCAGCGAGCTGAGATCATGCTATTGTACTCCAGCCTGAGTGACAGAGCAAGACATGGTCTCAAACAAAAAATAAAGAGCCCATCCTTCTCCAACATGCACCCACCTCAACCTGATTATATCTGCAAAGACCCTATTTCCAAATAAGGTTACAATCACAGGTGACAGGAATAAGGACTTCAGCCTATCTTTGAGGGGTTCACAATCTATCTTACAATAGACACCTTGGCTGACTCTATCCCATCTCCCTGGACCACCTCGAGATCATCCGAATTACTTTATGAATAAAACAATCCCCAGGACACCTGGGTGGGTTCTCTCCTTTCTCACAACCATGGCCCTCAGGTATCCTCCTACGTCAAAATGCAGAAAAGCTCTGACAAAGGTACCCAAATGCTTTTCAAAAAAGATGATCTGCTAACTGCAGGCCCTGGGCTTTGTAATATAAACCCCGACAAGTTTGCTAGGTGTTTCCTGCGAAATCAACTGCTAACAATTTTTATGTGTCTTCCTAGGATTTAATAAAGCCCAGCTCTGAGCTCATCATTGCTTCCAGCTTGCTCAGGAGCAGACAGCAACCTCAGTCACGAGACAATTTATGGCCCAGCTGGGAAAGAGAGAAATGCTGTGGGGAAATTCTTTCTGGTTGACAATGGTCAAAGCGATTGCTTCTCACTCAAGGAGAACTGAAGGATACTCCAGTACATTTAAAAATGAAGGGAAAACTCCCTCCTAACTGAACCAGGAGCAGTAATTTAACAAAAAGATTTCATTTCAGTTAATGGATGATTTACTGAAAATGCAAATAAATTCAGCCCTCTGCTACAATTATCACTAGAATTTCAAAATAGGGGACTCACTTTCTAATTAATCACAGATTCGAGCTAACCCCCAAAAAAGGGGCTCATCTGTGAAACACCTGATTGGCTGACCTGTGATTTTTGACACTAATTAGCATATAGATATTATTTGTTTGGACATTAAGGATTTAAGGTTACAGAACATGGCATAACACAGTATGCATGAACAAATACTAAAATTATGGTGCTCATAACGAGGAACCAATCTGATCTTAATAATAGTTTTAAAATTCACACTGATTCACACTTAATGGATTATTTTCCCTACAGATGGTTTATTACACGTGGTGGGAATAATTGCTTTTCCAATATTATGTTTGGTGGGATTAATTAGGTACTGTTTGTTTCCCCTCAAGATAATATAAACAAAACCTTGAAATGAGTAATATTCAGATTAGCAAGCAGAGAAGAAGGCATCCCAATAGGTAATGGGTGGTGAAATCGGGCACTCTCGCTCCGACACGTCTGAATAATGCATAGCTTTGGGATGCTCCAAGCTGTCATCACTTTCTGCTAAAAATGCTTCCCGCATTTCCCCTCTCATTGAGCTGATTTTCATCACAAGGGCTTCCCATGCTCGTGCCATGAGGGTTTGGTTTATGTTTTCAATATTCTAAGGTGCTAAAACATAACTAGAAAGTTAAGAAATGTATTACTGTAAAGTTGGGAAGAAGGTATAGCATGATTGAGAGGTGCTTTGTATTTCTGAGGAATATTAATCTGTTGGTTAATTATGAAAACGTGATGAAAACACATCACAGCAAACGCACCCTTCCTTGGTGTCACTGGCATAGCTCCTGCCTGGTTCTCCTCTCCTCCTTCTGTGCTCACTGCCTATCTCTCCTCTCTTTTCTCCCTCCCTCCATCAAGATGGTCCCCATGACGATGCGTCCCCACTTCTCTCATCACACATCCTACTCTCTACAATTAGGGCTCATTCTCATGACTCACTGACCCCCTATGATCCAGCCAGTATAATCCATTCCTGCAGATACCGCTTGCTTCTGAGCTATGGATTCGTCCCTCCACATTCCCACAGGTTAGCTTATCCTACTGCCCTGGAGGCATCTCAGACTAAGCATGTGCAAAAAGTCAATGACCGTGTTCCTCCATTCCAACACCTCCTTCCATCTCCATTAATGGTGTCCACCCACATTTCTTGGCCTGTGCTTGTCTTCCACAACTAGCTTGCGGGCAAATCAACAGGTTCTCCCTCTCGACCATCCCTCACTCCCACCCCTCCTCTGCACACCGTGGCTGATGCTGATGAACTGGGAATAGCTGCCCCACGCTCTGTGCTGGCCTCCCTGATTCCACAGCCAAGCTCACATGAGGCCACAGCAAGTTGTTCAGAACACTTGACACAGGCTCTATCTCAGTGAAAAGCTCAAATGGTCCCACCTCCAGCCACTGATGGGCCACAGCTCACAGCTGCCGTGGCTGAGCGGCTCTTTAGGACGCATTTCCAGGCTGCTCTCCTTCTTCAGCTGTGCCCTGAGATTCAGGCTAAGCCTCCCCCACAACTGTGAAGAGCACCCCCTACCGCTTTCCCATGCATGCCACAAAAAGCCACCTCTGCCAGCCTCTATCTTCCCCTTCCCTCATCCCATTGTCCTGGAATCAGCTGTGCAACCCACTAGACCAGGTATGTTTAGAAGCTCAGCCCTGAGGCAGACAGAGAAGCAAACACACTCTGCAGCAACTACTTTCATCTGAGTTAGAGAGCAGGAATCTGGAAGATTCTTTGCCTGGTGTAGACAGAGCCTCGACGGCATCTTGCAAGGTTCCTGACCGTCACTCCACACGGCAGGTTTCTTGTTGGCTTGCTATGGCAGCCATGTAAAAAGAGAAGAGCAAACCCCACTGCTGGATAATCTTCTTTTATGCAAAACAGACCACAGCCAGGCTTGCAAAGAACAGGCCTGCAGGTGGAGGCGCTGAAAGGGGCTTGAAGGACTTTCTGGGAGATGGGCAGGTGCAGCTCCACTACGTGAGGATGGGTCTGGCTTCTGACACCACATTCCCCCTCCTCCCCTGCCTTCCCTTGTGAGTAACTGTGATGCTTTGTTGCATTGTAAGAATCTATGTGAAAAACAACGGGCTGACCTGCTTCGATAACAAAATCGAATGGCATGCGGCACAGTCAGGTATAGAGAGGTAATGCTCCATCTTTTAAAAACAGTCAGAAGTTCTGAGTAAGAAGAGGCCTCAGAAATTATACGGCAAGTACAACAACTGCTCATTTCAGACCAGAGGAAAGGAAATCCCAGAGAGGTTAAGAAACGTGACCCAAACCACACAGCAACAGCATGCTGTAAGAAAGCCAGAGCCTGTCTCCCCTAATAGGCCCCTGCTATATTTATTTTTACTTAAGAGCATCATTATCAGTATCCAATAGAGGAGATTTAAATATTTATCTCCAACCTGATTTTAGGTTTTTCATGTTGTCAACACTCTAGTTACACCCATCACCTTCTCTTAAGAACAAAAGGAACTTAATGTATCATAGCTACTTTATTGGTTATCTAGGGGTGAGGCAGGAATCCCAAACCTCAATTGGCACAGAGCTGTGGGCTGTGTTTGTTTAAGCAACCTTGGCCCCAAACCCTCCCAATCACAGTTCTTTTTTTTTTTTTATCGGGGTGGGGTGGGCAGTGTCTCACTGGACTGCAGTGGTATAATCACAGCTCACTGTAACCTCAAATTCCTGGGCTCAAACAATCTTCTCGCCTCAGCCCCTCAAGTAGCTAAGAGTACAGGTGCACACAACCACACCTAGGTATTTCTAAATTTTTTTTGTAGGGAGGGGGCGATATGGTTTGGACGTTTTGTCCCCTCCAAATCTCATGTTGAAATGTGACCCCCAATGCTGGAGATGGGGCATAGTGGGAGGTGTTTGGGTCATGGGAGTGGATACCTTATGAATAACTTGGTGCCTTCCCTGTGGCAATGAGTGAGGTCTGGTTTGATAGTTCACACGAAAGCTGGTTGTTCAAAGGAAGCTGGCACCTCCTCCTCTCCCTCTCTTGCTCCTGCTCGTGCCATGTGTCATACCTGCTCTCCTTCTGCCTTCTGCCAGGAGTAAAAGTTTCCTAAGGCCTCTGAGAGCTGAGCAGATGCTGGTACCACGCTTGTACAGCCTGCAGAACTATGGGCCAAATAAACCTCTTGTTTATCAAGTTACCCAGCCTCAGGTATTCCTCTAGAGCAACACAAAATGGACTCACAGAAGGGGTTTCACTTTGTTGCCCAGGCTGAAAACTTAAATTCCTGGCATCAAGTGATCCTCCCACCTAGGCCTCCCAAAGCCCTGGGGTTACACCTGAATCCCCATAATAATTCTATATGTGCTATCCTTATTTAAGAATAGGACAACTTGGCCAGGTGTGGTGGCTCACGCCTGTAATCCTGACACTTTGGGAGACTGAGGCGGGCGGATCAACTGAGGTCAGGAGTTCGAAACCAGCCTGGCCAATGTGGCGAAAACTCGTCTCTACTAAAAAATACAAAAATTAGCTGGGCATGCATCTTTAGTCCCAGCTACTTGGGAGGCTGAGGCAGGACAATCACTTGAACCAGGGAGGCGGAGGTTGCAGTGATCCGAGATCACGCCGTTGCACTCCAGCCTGGGTGATAGAGCCAGACTCCATCTTAAAAAAAAAAAAAAAATAGGACAACTCACATGAAACACTACATTTGACTGGGTGTGGTGGCTCACGCCTGTAGTCTCAGCACTTTGGGAGGCCAGGGTGGGTGGATCACCTGAGGTCAGGAGTTCAAGACCAGCCTGGTCATCATGGTGAAACCCCATCTCTACTAAAAGTACAAAAATCAGCCTGGCGTGGTGACGAGTGCCTGTAATCCCAGCTAGTGGGGAGGCTGAGGCAGAAGAATTGCTTGAACCTGGGAGGCGGAGGTTGCAGTGAGCCAAGATGGTACCATTGCACTCCAGGCTGGGCAACAAGAGTGAGAATTCATCTAAAACAAAAAACAAAAAACAAAACAAAACAAAACAAAAAACGACAACAAAAAGCAAAACAAAACCACATTTAGTGCAAATAATGGTCTCTGGGAGAAAAGGAAGTTCAACTGGTAAATAAAATCTGTTCTATTGCATTATAAGTATATCTGAGACAGGCCTTAAACTGGACACCCCAAGTACCATGAGGATGGAAGAGAGAGGGTCAGTAACACAAAATGAGTTGAGGGGCCAGGTGGGCTGAGACAAGTGGTCACCTGCACCTGCCCTGGAGGGTAACGTGGGCGAGCACACACTGGCTTTCTCAAGCTGCATATCCGCGGTGTGCTCCGGGTGGCTTCACCTGAGGAGTGAAGGAGCTCAGTACGCCTGCATGATGGAGGCAGATCAGATGACTAGGCGGGTTCTCAGGGCATACTGGAGGCAGAGAGTTGGGTGGGGAAGTGGATGGTGGTTTTGGCAGAGGCCACATCCTGTCTGTTCTCATCAGGCTTTTTACAATGAAGAGTCTTTTCTTTTGTGTTGGTTTCTTTTTGATTTCCTCAAGCATCCCACAAATACACAGTGGGTGCCACCAACACGTTAGGCCCTGTGCTGTATCTAAGGGTGATCTAGCCGCAGAATCTGCTGCCTGGCTTCAGAGGGGTTGATCTTCTGGTTCATAGGGCAGGCAAGTCGCCCTCATCCCATGTCCCCAGACCCAGCCCTTTCACAGCAGGTGGAAGAGGATGAGCTGCCAACCTGCGGGTGGGATGGGGTCAGGGGGAAGCATGCTTTGGTCAAGGACCTCCATCCACCTCAATGGCAAAGCCATCACAGTGCTCGCTGGGAAGGGACCAGGAAACCAGTCTGGGCTCTGTGTACCAAGGGAGAATGCAAGTGACACACAAAACCCGGTGCTGGCCCCACAGTGTCCAATGACAGCAGCACTCCTTCATGGCACCAGCCACAGGTAAGGAGAGGCAGCTACACTCAGCCCACTTGTGTTCTCTCCATGGTCGGGCAGTTTTTCCTTTCCCACTTGTGCTAAGGTCTCCTTTGAGATAACAGATTGCACATCAGTTACAGCATCCCATGCCCTATGAAAAGGCCATTCCTGCCACTTCTGTGCTTCTTCAGATGACACAAGGCTACAGGAGCATGCACAGGAGCTCAACGTCCTTGACGCTTTGTGGCCCTGGGCTAGCAGCAGCGCTCTTCCCAGGATCATGTATGAGTCCTCCACGGCACCCTACAACAGCCCCCTCCTCTCCCACACTCATGCTACTAGCAGATAGATCCCCTTTCTCTTTGCCTTGCTGAGTGTGGGGCCAGCAGCCTTGGCAGAAAGCTGCCTGGGTCCTTGCTTTGTTTCTCAGCACCTTTCACATTACAAATTGAACCTGTCAAGTGGGGACTTCCCACCCCTGTTTTTAATATCCCTAACAACTTGGAGGCAGCAAACTGGTGATCAGGAGACAGGACATGAAATTTGTCTGCCAGTATCAGCTCTCGGCGGGTTGAATGTCACTTCACATCATCGGCAGGTTTTCCTCGGGAAGCACAAAACATTAAAGCCCATCACTGCAGGTGGAGCTGCGGGAACGACTTTATTTCTTCTTAAATAATGTGATCAACAGCATACCTGACAAGCAGGCACGTTGCACCTTGAATCAATCAGCAGGAATGCAAAAGCATACAAAGATGTAAGCAACAGTGCATCTGAGAAACAGGGAGTCACAGAGAGTAATGATCACACCTGCAATTTGTCAGTTACCAACTGTCTTTTCTTCATCTTCCCAGCATGACTCCACAGCCCCAAGGCCCCTGTTTGCTCCTCTCCTAGGCATGCTACCCTGAAGCTCCGGTGACAAACACTGGTGGCCCATCTCCCTTGTAAACAGCCAGAAAGGCCTCCGTGTACTGTTTCACACTCTTCCACTTCTCATGAAGCAAGAGAAAAGAGCTTTGCAGCAGAGGTGGCCAGTGGAGAGCGCTCCCAACCAGTAGCAGGGCTGCCTGAGTCACTAAGGTCTTAGGGCCCAGGGCAGAACCCTGAGCTTCCTTCCCTGGCATTGGCACAGAACCCACAGTGTCTGGATGGGCATTTTCAGATAGAAGTGGGCCCCCCCTCCCCCGAAAACATTAAAACAGAGGATTTAAAAAGAAAAATTAATGCAGAGACCTGGAGTGGTCATACTGGAAGTGCAAATGGTAAAAACTGTCCAACAACAGAGTGGTCTATTAGAAATATTGTCAGAGGCTAACTGTGACTCAGCTCAGGCAGGTCCTTGAAATATAACCAGAGGCACTTTGGACACACAGACTTTCCAAGGATCGGCTGCCCTGTGCATCCTTGTCAAGCCACAGATACCTGCTCTGGAGTGGTGCCTGGCACAGAACCTGGCTTGCGACCCTGGGTCAGGAGGCACTCTGTGAAGGACGGAGGGAGCCCAGAGAGGGCCTATTTCCTCACACAGGCCTTCCTACCGCAAACCCACCCTTGTTTAAAAGATGATTTATGTCTGCATTTCACTGGATATGCCCTGTCACCAGAAATGCTGTCTGTCCCTCTATTCTCTCTACGTAGGCTATAATAAACAGTACACAGCCAGCGCAACAGGAGAGCAGAAAGGCCGAGCTCTGTCTCCCCACAAGGAAGCGAAATCAGCAAAACCAAAGGAAGGAGGCAAACGCCTGGGGATGCAGGCTCAGCTGCTGATGAGAGCTCCTGTCTGACCGTGAGCAACTCTCCTTCCCTCTCAGGTTCTCACACGGAACTGACCCGACAGGGCGCTACTGTCTATGACAATTACCCCAAAGCTGGCGCTCCCAACACATGGGGCTGTGCTGTAAGACTCTGGCACTGGCCACCAGGGACAGAACTAGACATAGGACCCAAAGGGACATTCAGAGTTCTGCCTTAGGACATCTGGAACTCAAATGAAGGGGCTAGTGTACATCTCTGTCTGGGGGTGGGGTTGTGGGGGCTGAGACTGAGAATGCCAAGTGGCCATATTCTCTGCCTGCTTTGAGGATAAAGGGGACAGGGCATGCAGGAAGGAAGCTGGCACCTGCTACCAGGTAAAATTCGATACCACTTGCCTCACATGTGTGCAAATGGTCTGTCCAGTAAATCCACGTGACACTTAAGCACGGTGAGCCTCTGTGCTGCCCTTTGTAAGCAAAAGTCTTGACTGAAGTGAGAGGGCTGGAAGTGAGAACAAGGGATGTCTTCCCAATCTCAACCTAAGCCAGAGTACACAGACTCTAGACTGTGTCTTCAGCTGAAGCAGTCGAGGATGCAAAGCCCCAGCTGTCCTATGCATCCCTGAGGCCCCAGCAACCTTAAAGTCCTGCCTCCCAGACGTTTACAAAACTAAACATGCAATTACCATGGGATCTAGCAACTGCACTCCTGGGCATTTAACTCAGAGAAATAAAAACTTTTGTGCACACACAAAAAACTGCACACAAATGTTCAAAGCAGCTTTATGCAAAATAACCCAAAACTAGAAACAACCCAAATGGCCTTGTATGGTTGAAAATAATTATGCTATATCCATATTATGGGATACTACTCAGTAATAAAAGGAACAAACTATTGCTATATACAACAACCTGGATGGACCTCAAGGGAATTATGCTGAGTGGAAAAGAAGCCAGTCTCAAAAGGTTACCTACTGTATGAGCCCATTTATGTAACATTCATACGGTGAAAAAGTTACGCAGATAAAGAAGGCATTAGTGGTTGTCAGAAACGGGGTAGGGCGAGGAGGAGAAAAGAGGCTTGACCTATAAAAGAGTGACACAAGTTCTTGGTTGTGATATATTACAGTTATGCCAGATATTACCACTAGAGGAAACTGAGAGAAGGCGCTACAGGATCTCTTTGTATTATTTCTCATAACTGTGGACATCTTTAATTGCTGGAAAATAAAGTTTTAAAAACACAATACAAAACTGCCTTCCACTCAAAACTACCACGACCTTCATTTTGAATATCACAGAAAAGGAGTTTCATGGTATTAAACAAATATACACAACATAAAAACACAGGAAATTATGGAAAAAAATAAACACTATCTGGAGTAAGATAACATCATCGTACCTTCAATTAAGTCTGTATATCTTTTACATATGATCTACAGCATTCATTTCAGGAAAATCCAGGCATACCAGAAACCAGGACGTGATCATAAAACAAGACTGACTTCTTCCCAAAAAACTCAACAGAAACACATCCACGGAAACAGAACCACCAAGAGTCTTTAAGGGACCAAAAGACTGAATAGGAAATTTTAGTTTCCAATTAGCAAAAATAACCAAATGAAAACTCCATAACAGAAACAGAGAACAAAAATGCATGAATTTACCAGCAGATTATAGGACAGAAGAAAGAAATACAAAAGTAAAAAATATATCAGAAATATATAGCTAGAATAAAATACAGAGAGAAAATGAATGAAAAATAAAGTAAAAAAAAAAAAAGCATAAGACATGTATGTGATGTGGGCCTAAGGTCTAACAAATCTGTAATTGAGTTCCAAAAGAAGAAGAGAAAGGGAATGAGGTAGAAGTAATGATAACGGAGATACTGTCTGAGAATTTTCCAAAATATTATAAACTCTAAGCAGTATAGAAACAAACCAAAAAACATACATTGAGATCTATAAAACTGCACTCAGATGCCATTTCTCATGTGATAAATTTTCAAAGGTACAAAAGTCTGGCAACATAATAGGTTGGAAAGGTTGTGGAGAAATAAGCAGGCTCGTTTATTTCTGGTGAGATGTTACAATTCAATAACCTTATGGCATTCAATTGAGTATTATTTACCAAAATTGTCATATGCATTTGCCTTCCAATTACATCAACCCACTGCAAAGAATCTATCATGAAGACACACTGGCAAAACCATGTAAAGTTGTGTGCATGAGGCTATAGATGAAGCACCATCTATAACAGTAAAAGATGAAAAACCATCACACGCCCATTATTAGAGGACAGGTGCAAGAAAATATGAATATGCATGCAATGGAATCTGCACAGTGGTAAAAAGTGATGAGAAATATCTCTATATACTACAACACGCCAGTCTCCAGAATACAAAGTTAGATTTAAAAAGCAGTATTGATGTTCCCATTTAATAAGAAAGGGATGGGAATACAAGTATGTGTTTGCACGCATCTGTGTGTGCGTGTTTGTGTGGTGTGTATTTACTGATATTAAAAGTTAAGTTACAATATATAAACAACAAATGAATAAAAGTGGTTTCCTGTAGGGAAAGGTAGGGGCAGAAGTGAAAATACTATGAAAACACTTGCTTAGTATATCTGAGACACATTATTCTAAATAAAAAAGTGCAATCACTAAAAATCAAAAACAAAATAAAATTATCCTAAATATCAAATTGATGAGTTTAGCTACATGCAAGGATTCATCTCAAGTGCCTGAGAAACATGACTTGATTGTGTATGTCTGCAGGATATATCCTAAGGAGAAAACAAACTTTTAAAGTAACAATTGGTATTGTTATTCTGAAACTATTTTATGTGTGTGTGTGTGTGTGTGTGTGTGTGTGTGTGAAATATATACATAGTATAGTATATACTATGTATTCTATATTATGCTGTATATTACAAATTATTATATATTTTATATATACATACAAAGCAACAAGACATCATGTTTGTGTCATTAGGGACCCAAATTTTCAGTGTAAGAGACAAATTACACATATAAAATCAAAGAAGGTAACTAAAATCTCCATAATCCTAAATTGGAAATGCAAATATAGTATGAATTCATGTTGATTTTTTTTCCTATGGAAAATGTATTTCCTTACTTTACATCCTGGTGCAGGGAAAAGAGAATTAAAAAAAAGAAAATGTATTTCCTAGCTCTGCCCACTAAAAGGCTTGGAAAGAATGAGTAACTCAGTTGCAGTGAGCACCCTCGTTGTCCAGATTATGATTTCTAAATACCACTTCCCACTAAAAGCAACTATATATTCTTGGCTTATTCCAGGTTTGGGATGGAAAATGTAAAAGATCAACCTGAGATATTTTGTCACATCAAAAAGAAAGCCATTATCAAAGACTACTTAAGCAGGGTGGTAAGGACCCAGGAATCCACCTGAAAAGACTCCTAGTGGAACAAGATGGAAGAATTTGTTCAGCAAAAAGAATCATAACTACAACGGACTTAGACACATGAAAATTCATGAAGGTATTAAAGAAAAAAATTTACTGGTCATCCTTGGAGGATGCCAGGGAACCAATTCACTATTTAGCAAATAGATAATTAAAATGAAAGAGACAAGCATTTATCCTTCCTTTCCTTTAATAAACACTCTCAGGGTACCATCTATTTTATGAAAAAAGTTTCCATCTTATGAAAGAATTCTGGCTAATGAAAGCAGACAGAATAACATAATTAGAGTAAGGATTTTTTTAACTCCAAAGGAATAATGGGTCTAGTCAATGATCATCATTGGCTGCCATAACAATTAGGTGAAAAACTACTGTATATTGAAGGAATCTGGATAAATGCTGGCAGCACCTGATGCCACTAATCAATCTTCACGTTATAAGAGACAGAAAAACATGATGTGCTTGCTGGTGTGATGCAATGGGAAGAACACCACACCACTTATCAGGTATTCTTGCTAAAAAACAACAACAAACATACAAACAAACAAAACCTGAATCTCACTGAGTCTGTAGATCTATCAGTTTACAAAAGTATAGCAGACAGAGGAACACGTTAAATAACACCATGTGGATTCAATCTGCAAAATCCAGAATGTGGAATTTCCTACAGAACTTGAACAAACATTGCAATATAAATTATAAGGAAAAAAAATGGGGAGCCTGGTGCAGTGGCTCATTCCTGTAATCCTAGCATTTTGGGAGGCTGAGGTGGGAGGATCGCTTGAAGCCAGGAGTTCAAGAGCAGCCTGGCCAACATGGTGAGATTGCAGCTATACAAAAAAACTAAAAATTAGCTGGGCATGGTGGTGCACACCTATAGTCCTAGCTATTCAGGAGGATTGCTTGAGCCCAAGAGTTCGAGGCTGCAGTGAGCTATGATCACATCACTGCACTCCAGCTTGGACAACAGAGTGAGATCATGTACTTCAAAAAAAAAAAAGGCCAGGCGCAGTGGCTCATGCCTGTAATCCCAGCACTTTGGGAGGCTAAGGCAGGCAGATCACGAGGTCAGGAGATCAAGACCATCCTGGCTAACACAGTGAAAACCAGCCTCTACTAAAAATACAAAAAATTAGCTGGGCTTGGTGGCAGGTGCTTGTAGTCCCAGCCACTCAGGAGGCTGAGGCAGGAGAACGGCATGAACCCAGGAGGCTGAGGCAGGAGAACGGCATGAACCCAGGAGGTGGAACTTGCAGTGAGCCGAGATTGTGCCACTGCACTCCAGCCTGGGCGACAGAGCAAGACTCTCTCTCAAAAAAAAACAAAAAGAAAAAAAAAAAGAAAAAAAGTAGGGGTGTCAACCTAAAGATTATCGGAAACTTACTAGATATAACAACCAAAGGCAATATTTTTACCTTGTTTAGATACTAAGTTGGGCAAACTATAGGAACTATGTATAAAACAACATTTTCTAAGGAGTAATAATATAGAGGTGTTAAAAAATTCTTATTTTTAAGAGATATTTTTGAATGACAACTGAAATATTTATGAACGACATGATATAATGCCTAAGATTTGCTTCAACATAATGGTGAGAAAGACAAAGCTGGGATGATAAATCTAAGAAACTTAGCTATGGTTGACAGTGGTAAAGGTGAACGATGGTTAAAACAGAGCTGTAGTATATACTACATAATATAATAGTAATAGTATAACTACTATTCTACTTCTGTACATGTATGAAAGTTTTGATAATAAAAAGTTTAAAAACAAAGACGAAAAAGCACTGAGATTATATCTCCACTGGAGAAAAAGATATGTTACCTTCAACAGAAACAATGAAAGCTAAAAGATGGTGCAATAATTATCTTTGAAGTGCTGAAAGAAATCAACTGCTAGCCTCAAATTCTAAATCTGAATTATCCTTCAATATTGAATTTTTGAAATAAAATAGATTTCTTTTTCAGACAAACAAAAAGAGAATTCAAAAACAAGCAGACCCAGGTGTTTCTCAAGCAGAAAAAAAATGACCACAGATGGAAAGTAAGATATGCATCATTTACTTTTCCTGGAAATGAACACGATTCAGGCCTACACATGGAGTTATCCGAGGGCAACACAGGAAAGGGGGATTGCAGTAGACGCATCGGGCTGAGCCCAGTGGGAAGCCAGCTGGAAAAAGGGCATGCTAGGACACCATCACCAACCAGAGGAAAACACTTGCCCTGCCTTTTGAGGATGATTTGAAAGTGGGGAGCCAGCCTCAGGCTCGTGATAGCCCAATGATATCAGATCAGTTCACTGAAAGACTGACCTGCTTAGGTAGTTTCACGGAGCCCAGATAGAGGTCTTTCAGGTGATTCCTGTGACAAAGCCACCATCTCACACATAACAGGTCGTCAAGCAGGAGGGTTAGACTGTGGAAGCACACTCTGAAGAGTATCCTCAAATCCTCCAAATCTTCCCACTGGCCAGCAGCAGCTCCATAGGGACTACCAGTGCCCAGAAGATGGCATGACCTTGGCGGTCTGACCGCACCTTCCACATGACCACTCCCTGCATGCCTCACTCTCTGGACATGGCTCCCTGCTAAGGGAACAGATGTGCATCTAGGGTCCTCAGCACGGAGTCCCACTCCCACCTCCAGAGTGAAGGTGCAGTGGTACTGGAACAGCCTGTGAAGTATCAGCCCCACTGCCAAAGCCTGAAGAGAGAAGATATGGGCACAGGCCAGAAAGTTCTACATGAAACAGTCAGCGATGGCCATTTATGGAGGATGAGCCATTTACTTCTCATCTTTCACTGTTTTCCATAATAAACATAATTTCCTTCGCACAAAAGGAACAAAGTATGTTGAGTATGAAATCTGGCACCAAAAGGTGTGCATGTTTTAATACTGAGCTCTAATGCAAATCTAATCAAAATTAAAATAAAAAGCTATTTTTGCTGGATTTCACAGAATGATTTTAAATTACATTTGGTAGAACAATAGGTTAAACTACAGAAGAAAAATCAGAAAATGAATAGTAAAACAGAGAAGGGCTGCCAGATATTGATTTATTATTTATGTTGACAGGTTCTCACTCTGTCGCCCAGGCTGGAGTGCAGTGGCACGATCACGACTCACTGCAGCCTCGACCTCCTGGGCTCAAGCAATCCTCCTGCCTCACCCTCCAGAGTAGCTGGGATTACAGGGGGCACACCACCTCACCCAGCTAATTTTTAAATTTTTTTTTTGTAGAGACAAGGTCTGACTATATTGCCCAGTCTAGTTTTGAACTTTTGGGCTCAAGCAATCCACCTGTCTCAGCTTCCTAAAGTGCTGGGATTACAAGCGTGAGCCACCGCACCTGGCCGATGCCAAATATCTAAAACACACCATAAAGAAATGGTAATTAAAACAATGTGGTACTAACCCAAGAATAAAAGGTGATGATGATGATTACTGTTATTTAGAGACAGGGTCTGACTTTTTCACCCTGGCTGGAGTGCAGTGACATGATAATACCTCACCATAACTTCGAAATCCTGCCCTCAAGTGATCTTCCCACTCTGGCTTTCCAAAGTGTTGGGATTACAGGCATGAGCCACTGTGCTTGGCCAAACATGTTATTATTGAAGCAACAAATTGCCCAGAAATTATCCCTAACATTATGTTAAAACCTTAACTGGAAGAACCACTTTTAAACTATGAAGAATTATTTAATAAATGGTGCTGTAATAACTAGTTGCAATTTAAAAAATCAACTTACATGCATTTAATACAAAGCATTAAATTCTAGACAAACAAAAAGTTTAATATAAAATAATAAAACCTAAAATGGTCTATCAAATTTATAGAGGGAGGGTGCTATTACAGAGAAATCATTAAAAAAGATGGAAAGATATAAATTAAATATTTGTATGTAAAATAATAAAAACAAATTTTTAAAAACCTAACCGAATGAGATGGGCAAACACCACCACAGAAAAAATAACTGGAAATATGAAATAGGTTACTATGAGCATAGTATAACAATGTTAAGACAGTTCTCAAGAAAAAACACTAAAACCAATAGATTAATGAGCAAAGGATGTAAATAGTTTACAAAAACAGAAACTACATTTGGAAAGAAAATGGCTGGGAACTGTTTTATCTTGCAAATCACTGAAGACATGAAAATTCAGTAAAAATAAAACAACATTTTGCCATTACATTAACAATTTTTTTAAAAGACAATATTGAATTCTGGCGAGAGTGCAATAAAATCAGTAAAATCCTTTTGGAAAGCAATTTGACAATGTGTATCGAGCCCCAGTAATCCGACTTCTGGGAATGTGTCCTAGGAAATAATGCAAAATATAGAAACCATATGCATGAAGACACTCACTACAATGTTATCTGCAACAGATACAACTTGAGAGCAACCTAAATTTATGAAAATGATACAATGTACTGACAAGTTATGGTATACCCACTGGATAGACTCTCATGCAGCCAATAAGAAAGTTGGCAATGAAAATGCTGGAGTAACATGGAAAAATGCTTGTGATAGAATGGTAAGTAAAATAATGCAGTACACAGATGATATTACACCATGATTATGAAAGAATAAAGTATGCATGTAAATAGATCTGCAGAAAACCAAACTGGGAAGAGTTGCAACCATAATAGGATTACATTGTGCTCTTTTCACTCCTTCATTTTTCAGAGAAGATATAGGATGGCTTTATTCCTTCTATAACTAATGAATGTAATGCATCGGAAGGAAACTATTCAGTGTTCCTCTGGCATGTGAGTTGGATCAGACAGTGTGCCTTCTGGAGGCTTCAGTAACCTCCTTGGTGACAAGACTACAAAGGTGGGCCCAGCCCCTGTTCAAGGGTTTGCTCCAACCTCACTGGCTTGCCTGGCTATGCAGTCCAGGCCTCCTTTCCCATTTCTGACCTGCTACTTCCAGCAATTGCTGCTTGTGGCAGACAAGGAACCCAGCAGTCCCATCCAAGAGTGAGGGTGTGGAAGCACAGCTGGGAAACAGAATTGATGGTTCATTATTCAAGGCAGCCGAGCAGAACTTCCAACTGGCCTTCAAGGCCTCCTTCCAGAGCAAAGCAGGAGGTGCAGCAGCTGGTCACAGACCACGTAACGCTCCTTGTTGGCGCCAAACAGGCCCCAAAGAATGCTCTGCTCTCCCAGCACATTCTAAACTCTCAGGACAGACAGCCCTGGTGGGGAGACCTTTCCCTGTCAGCTCTACGCTTACTTGTTCTTCTGTGGTGGGAGAAAAGAGAATGGAAACACAGTTGGTAGGATACACGCAGGACCCTGCTGCCCCTCTGGCAGCTCCCCACTATCACTCTGCAGAGACTGCCTATCCTTCTTCATTTTTTGAAAAATAAAGGCTGCCACTAAGAAATGACAACTGGTTGTCGCCAAGGCAGAGCTTGCTCTCAGGTCTCACGAAGATGTCAGAAGAAACTGAGGGAGGAGAATATGCAGTCAACTGAATGCTTGTTACCCAACCAAGAGGAAAAGCAGGTAAGAGCAGGCAGAGCACCTGGACTAGTGTGAGTTAAACGGAGAGGCGGGTGTGTGCTGTGGTTTTGCCCTGGTGACCCCCTTGTGGGTGTTCACTGGCCTTTTAAAATTAACCTTTGCAACAGAATTCTAACCACTTTTCATTCCTGCAGATCACCCTGATGGGCAGAAGTGTCAATGAATCTGAGAACAAGCCTGCTCCAAGCAGGCTGCTCAATTTCTAAAGCGAGAGGAAATCCTGCCTGTGTCTCTCAGGTGAGCTGCAGGCCACCTGGCCACATCACAGGACCTCGGAGATGCAAGTCAACAAGTCTATGCCTTTGTCCTCTTTTCCATCCAGCACACGTTTCTCCCCCAGGCCAATGGTTTAGCTTTTGGGACTCCCCCAACAGGACTTCTTTCAGAGTGAGAGATGAGAGACAGAGAGAGAGAGAGAGAGAAAAGAGACAGACAGAGAGAGAGAGAGAGAAAGAGAGAGAGAGAACACAAGAGTGCACCCTTACCCAAGCAACCAACCAAGCTGAAAGCTGCAAGTTCTTCTGTCCTCTAATCCAAGCTTGTCCAACCCGCAACCCACAGGTCACATGTGGCCCAGGATGGCTTTGAATGCAGCCCAACACAAATTCGTAAACTCTTAAAACATGAGATTTATGCACAGATCTTTTTATTAGTTTACCAGCTATTGTAGTATTAGTGTATTTATTTATTGTGTGGCCCAAGACAATACTTCCAACATGAAGCCAAAAGATTGGACACCCCAGCCTAATCCCAGTACTGATGCAACATCACTGACCTACAGGGAGGCCAGCATTCTCCTAATCCCTGCCTCCCTGTACCATGGGTGGTGCCAGGGAGCTGTACAGAGCTAAGTCAGCATCTACTCATCTGAATTGATAACTGCCCTGCTCCCACCATTTCTCAAATCATCCCGGTCAAAAGGAACCTGGCTCTTGATGTGAGATCAGAGTCCATGAGCACAGATCAACCCTGCGTGTCTTCTGCTGACCTCTGACTGCCACAAGCCCCTGGGGTCTCCCTGCAGCAATGCCAATGAGGCATGGGGTCCTGAGGCAAGGAGGAACCTCATCTCTAATATGTGGTGAGGCTCCTTCAGAGACACCAAGTGTGTGTGCAGCACTTGTGACCCACTCCCAGGGACAACAGATTCCTTGAAAACAATGAAAGACTTCCCTCCTGATGCCTCCTGGAGTGAAACGTCCTTCTGAGTTCTTCCAGGAAGGTCAAGAATGGTCCCATTCCCAATTCTCCTGGCAAAGGCAGTGTTTGTTGTTTGTGAGGCTCTCCTGTGTCATTGCTGTGTCCTTCTGCTTCCTAAACTCTGTATCATTTTCTCAACAAGCCACAAAACTACTTGAGCCCATTACAATTTGCTAGGCCACGGCTCGATGAGCTAATCCTTCTTTCTTGCTAACTTTCTACCAATTATGATTTTGGCAATGCATTTTAGGAAAGCCCGAGCTTTATGAGTTTGCTTCTTGGAGGATGTTAAACAAATCCACTTTTCAATTTAAAAATAAAACTGTATGAGTGAGGCAAAGCCCTGGAGCCTCCACTTCCAGCCACGTTGGAAACACAGAAGCAAAGTCTCCCTCACAAACCAAACAAGGAAGCCAAGGCTGTTATTTAAAACAAATACTTGCTAAATGGAAATATATTAAATATGGCTTTACTGTAAATTCCAAAGGAGTAACTCGCTAAACTAAATAGTGTTGGTGATTTGCTAACTCAAGGAATAAAATATGGACCATGGGCTGACGTGATCTTCACTTCCTTTGCACTATTTTACCAATGGTAAAGTTGAAAATATTCCGATGTTCTTAGCGTGGAGTAAAAAATGAAAAAATGAAAAGGAGAAAAACAACAAAAAAAAGACAGAAAGAGATCTGCAATTCTACACCAGCACAGGTGTCGACAACAGTATGAAACCTCTCAGAACACAGTGAAGAATGGTGGCATTTTGCATTTCTATAGTAAGCCCTTAACTTACCTGCACGTAGCTTGCCTCTGCAGCCACTGATTTCTGATCTATGCCCAGAATTCTCTGATGTTAAAGTGCTCGGCAAGAGGCTAAGTGCTTGCAAGAACAATGAACAAATTGCCAACTTTGTCCCCAGCAGTTGTCAAGGATGACTGAGCTCCCTTCATTCTGGCCTTCAATTTTGCAAGTGCCTGAGAGCTCTCTGAATGCAAGATGAGGTGAATGGGTAAGCATGATGCTGCGTGAAATGTGGGTATGTCTGTCAAAATAAAAAAAACCTTAAAAAATGTTCACTACCAGGGCATTTTACTCAAAGAACAAAGGTTTCCCCTTTTTACAACATAAAAATATATGAAGGCCGGGCGCGGTGGCTCACGCCTGTAATCCCAGCACTTTGGGAGGCCGAGGCGGGCGGATCACGAGGTCAGGAGATGGAGACCATCCCGGCTAAAACGGTGAAACCCCGTCTCTACTAAAAATACAAAAAATTAGCCGGGTGCGGTGGCGGGTGCCTGTAGTCCCAGCTACTCGGGAGGCTGAGGCAGGAGAATGGCGTGAACCCGGGAGGCGGAGCTTGCAGTGAGCCGAGATCGCGCCGCTGCACTCCAGCCTGGGCGACAGAGCGAGACTCCGTCTCAAAAAAAAAAAAAAAAATTATATATATATATATATATATATATGAAATAAAATTTTAAAACCACTAAAATGTCTTTAAAAAAATTAATGCATTCTCAAAGTGTGACACTTGCCTCAATTTTAAGGTCACTTTTCTCGAACTCTATTACATGGCGATACTAAGAAAACGCCACTGCTTTGAAAGAATGAGAGATGATGGAATAAAACAAACATTGCCTTTGCATGTGATAATCCTTTATAAATTACCAGGCTCTCCCATTCTTGCCGAGGGCACCAGCCTCGGGAACTGAACTGCCACCTTTTCCCAACAGAGCTGCAGCCCAGGCAAAGCACTGAGGTCTGAATACACCAGGCTGGGAGGGGCCTTTGTTCTGTGCTGGTTTTCCAAAGTGCGTTGTGAAAAGGTGAGGACCAGCCCTGTAGAGAACAGTAACATGTTTCTTTATTTGAATTTCAGCTTTATATTTAACCCCAAATATTTACTCAACCGGCAGAGGGTTACAATTGGTACAGAAGTTCTACATCAAAACAAGTAGGGAAAAATGTTTCTCCAAGCGATTACCTTATTGGATGACCTCATGCCTTTGTCTATACAGAACACGGACTCTGGAGTCAAGCAAAGCTGATTCTTCTCTGCCTTATTAGCCATGTGACCTTGTGTGAGATACTAAATCAGTATTGCCTTCAGCTTCCTCAACTGAAAAATAAAGATCATATGACCTGCCCTCTTATGGCTATTGAGAGGATTTCTTAAAATGGTACTTGTAAAGTATGGCCTGCCCTAAAGACACAATAAATATGAAATGCTTTGATTTTGATTTTCATTACCTTTAATAATAATTTGTGAGAAATCCACCTACAAGTCTAGTAATTTGGGGCATTTCAAGCTGTTTTAAGGCACCATGAATGCTATTTTATTGTGAAAAAGCCACGTGTGTGGATTCACACCCCCTGATAGGAAACGCTACACTGGAAAATTATTAATTAACTATAAAGGAGGAACAACAGAATTTGTCAATTAACCAAATCAAGTATTTCTGGAAAACCCAGACTGTTCATGGCACTGTGTGTCTCTCATGGGGACATGGTAGGCACCTTAGGGCCTGGACATCATGCTGGCATTTCTGGTGATGAAGACTTCAGGAGTCAGCCTGTGCAGGTATTAATTTTTGCCCCTATCACCTTGTAAGTAACAGATCTAAACACTGTCACTCTGATCCCCTGCTTGTCACACAGAAGGAAGCTCTTTCTATTTGATAAACATTGCTGAGAGCATCTCATGGGTTTGCTAACAATGGTGATTACATTTTGCCAAGAAACAACACATCTTTTTGAAGAAAAACAAAGTTAAGTTCCTCTCTCCTCCTCTCTTTGCCTCCCTGTGCGTGGCCAGCCTCACAGCCTGAGTGGTGCTTTGCTGGGTGATCAGGTACTCTGGCTCAATAGCCTGGGCTTTGGGAAGAATATATGTCTTTTCAGTTAAATCAGCCTTCTTTGGTAACTTCCTGAATTCAGCCAGCTGCAACTCCCTCACCCTTGCTTAATTCTCTCAGATTGGATGAGAGAGATTAGCTGGAAAAGGGAGAACAAAACCTTCTGGTCCAGTGAATTCTAGTTCTGCTTGGTTTATTTTTTTCCCCTCAGATCTTAATAAAACTTAGTCTCATTTTCTGAGGACCTGGGAGCTCACCAACCTGCCCTCTTTGCCAGGTAAACAAACAGTTAATGAGTGGCTGCCTTACTGTACCGCATGCTAACGGTCTCTTGGCTGGGGAAAGATCTACACAATGGAGTTTCCCTCTCTTTCCTTTTAAAAGGTAACTACAGTGACTCAAGGGACAGCCATGTGCAAATTTGCTTACACTGGACACTGGCCAGTGAGAATATACTTTTTTAGTTTAACAGAGTGTTTAAAAATCCACCTAACAAGGACAGCATGGGGTTCCACTGAATAGCTCCCCTAGTGATGTGATCATGTGGTGTCTACAGCTAAGAGGGAAGCGTGTGCGCATGGATTAGTGAGTGGACACAGCTGTGTGCGTGCTCCATACCTGCTTTATACCAAATAAATCTGTTATTATAACTGTTTTAATGAAATATTATATAAAATAGGGCTATGAAAAGAAAGTTGACTTTTACATGAAAACGAATTCTAAAGATTTGAAAAGATTAAAAAGATGACTCACTTGAAAAACTGCTGTCAAGTCAGATGGGTGAGAGACAACTTAAAAGACTCACTAAATCTAAAAAGCGTTCAAATCGTTTCATCGATTGTCTTCAGTTCTTTTTTTGAGATGGAGTCTCGCTCTGTCACCCAGGCTGGAGTACCGTGGTACAGTTCTGGCTTACTGCAACCTCTGCGTCCCAGGTTCAAGCGATTCTCCTGCCTCAGCCTCCCCAGTAGCAGTGATTACAGGTGCCCGCCACCACACCCAGCTAATAATTTTTTGTATTTTTTAGTAGAGACGAGGTTTCACCATATTGGTCAGCCTGGTCTCGAACTCCTGACCTCAGGTGATCCACCTGCCTCGGCCTCCCAAAGTGCTGGGATTACAAGTGTGAGCCACCATGCCCAGCCCTTATTCAACTTTAAAGGTATGAAAACTGGCTCACAGAAAACGAAGGCAAACACTCATCTATAGACCTATCTTAAGTCAAATAAAAAAACAAAACCAAGAAAAAGCAACCTGACAAATGCACATGCTTTGTGAAATGGATCTATTTATCTATTGGAAGTCAAAATGAAGTGTGCAAGGTCTATATGTATTTTCTTAATGATCTGCTGCCTCATCAAAATTTTTTATTAGCTACCAATAATGTTTATAATTGTATAGGATAAAATGCTTCTACATTTTTAAATGGAGAATTTTTTAAAGTCAAAAGGCCATTTGAATCACTGCTGCTCTTGAGAGTAACATTCTTTTCTGAAAGGGAAACTGAGCGTTTACCAGTTCAGCTCAGTTCTCCATATAGAGGCAGCTGAGACAGGAATCCCTTAGTCATGGCCACCCCAGGCAGCAATCACATTTCCAGCTGGACCAGAGAGATGAGGCCCCTCCACATCAACGTGATCAGTAAGATGCATCTAGTCTATTAGTTTTTCCAGCTCTGTGCACACTGACTGGCTGCTCACTGGCACCAGGGACATTCATCTTACATCTCTGAGGAACTAGGAAGGTAAAGTCAGCAATAGGAAATGGCCCATAACGTTTACCATGTGATTTCTAAATTCCCTGCATGCATTCTGCAATAGAGGAATTGGAAAAACAATGGCTTCATGGAGACCAAAGAGTAATTGGGATAATATAGGAAAAATTTCATTTTCAAAATTTTTGCTGCATCCATGATTTCTGGGGCCTGATAAAGGAGCTCGGAGCAGAGGTGTACAATCTATACCTCTAAACAAAATGGAAAAAAGATCAGGCTGCCTGCCTGAAGCGTCCCACAGCTAGAGCCTGAAATGTCCGTGTCACCAGTGTCCGAGTCCCTGCTTTGTGGTCTTAAAGGAACAGAGGGTGAGAAAGACAAAAAGCACGGGTGGCGAGAGAAGGAACAGGAGCCCTTGTCTTCCAGGAATTTCCACAATCAAACAGCCGATAGTTCTGGAAGACATCTGAGTATCACAGAACTGCACTCAAAGACAGAGGACCAGCAAAAGGATGCTTAATGCTGCCTGTCCCCCCTGTCCCCTCCCAAATATCCCTAAGCCAAGTCAAACAGAGAAGATGCATACAGCCACTGACAGCCCATGTATTGGAAAGCTTTAAGAATGGTGCTCAGACACAAGTCATCTCTCTAGGGGCTCTGGTTCCTATGTACACAGCCAGCATCTCCACCCAACCTCTCCAGTGGCCACCCAGCCATGACGCAAGCATGTGGGAGCAAGTCTGATGAGGGCTATTTTGAGAGACTGGAGGATTTTGATGGCTAATAGGGTTTGTTGAAGCTTAAAAGACAAGATCCATCGAGAAATGTTCACAGGAGGATGATTTAGCATGAGTTATTTAAAGCAATCTATCGTTTTAGACTCTTCTACTTGTGAGGCCTCTCCAGGGCATTACGTAATAAGGCAGCATGAGCCGCAGGGATCTCCAACGCGGCCTGTACGCCATGCGTGGGCATTAGCGGGGAAATTGGTGAAAGGTGAAATATTAATATGGCCATCACAGAGATATAGAGATCATAATATTTGACTATTCTCTGCACCCCTTCTCACTAATTACCTGACTTCATTCTGCAGTAGGAAAGCAGAAGTCACATGGGTTTTTTTCCATCATCCAACCACCACCTACATCTACACACAGGTTGACACCTGTACCTCCCTCTGTCCTCTCCTGTTGCAACAAATCACCTGACCTTGCTCCTCTCCAGGCCAGCCCCTCCTGTACCATCCCTTTCATCTAGAACTCATTGCCCTCATGAACCTCCTCCATCCCAGCGTTTCCACCTTCACCCATCATCCGCTCATCTCCACCAGTGTTCCCAACATGCCCTAAATCAACAGCAAATTCCTACAAACTCTCCTGGTATCACAGCTCCCGACACACCATCTGTCTGACCCTGAGCGCCATGAAAACCCAATGAACGCCCACAGCCAGGGTGCCTACCTCCTTCCATGCCTTCCTCCATGCCGCACAGCAGGCTGGCCTCCTCCTCTGCCACTCCACTCCACTGAGGCAGCTCTGGTCCATGGGAGCAGTGACCACTATGTGGCCAAATCCTTTGGTTACTTCTCTGTTAATTTCTATGCTCTCTCTCAGAAATTCAGCACTGTCTTCTCTCTCCTGTGTTTTTTTTTTTCTTCCTATTACTGACTCCTGCTCTTGGTCTCCTTTGCTGACTTATCTTCCACTGCTAAACCCCTAGATATCAAAGAGCCCTGAGGCATTAGCCTGGGTCGGCTTCTCTTCCCTAGAGACACTGCCCCCCAGGTGGCCTGAATATCATCATCTAAATCCCAAATTGTACCTTCTAGCCTTACCTTTCTTCTGAACGTCAGTGTAGAATTTCCAGTTGCTAGCTAAACTTCTCTATTGGGCCACCTCCTGGGCACCTGAGAATTAACCAGGCCACACATCCACACTGGGGGAAACATCTCCACTAAGGGGGTGAAATTGATTCTTGGGAGGAGGGTAAAGAACATTTTAGATATTATTCTGCTTGTGGTCCTCCAAAGCACACCCTACCCCACAAATTCTTATTCCTTAGCATTAAATTTCTCTTCTTAATTAAAGTGAATTTACTTCTCTCCTTAGGAGGGTCATAATGGGAAAAAAAATAAACAGGGTTGAGAAACACTGCGCTAGGCCAAAACAGAGCTCGGGAACACTCCCACCTCGCAAGCCCGCTTCTTTATCTTTAAACTTTCCACCAATCACTTTTGGCTCAAGCCAAAAATATTAAGACTTTTCCTTGATTGTTCATTTTTCTTCACTTCTTACATCTAGTTTGTACAGGTTCATGTGGCCTGCAAAACATGCCCCAAATCTCTCATTGTTTCCCTCTTCCCAATGACTACCTTAGCCAAAGACATGGCCATCGCTGGTGTAGCTTATCCCCAGGGCTCTCGCTGGCCCTCCAGTTTGCACACAAATCTCCTACTCCCTGTGCTCTGCACAGTGGCCCAAACAGTCCCTGAAAAACATCAGGCAGTGACAGCAGTGCTCTGTTTTAAAGTTTCCAGCAACTTTCCATCTCTAAATGAATGCGGGCTATCACCGTAAGCCCAGCCTTTGTTCTGTTCCATGGGTTCCCTCCAGTCCCTCTTCACCCAAAAGTCTCTTTCTCATTGGAGGTATATATGGTTTCTTTAAGCTAAAACACAACCCCAAATCCAAGCTCCAAGCAGAATATCAACGGTAGCCAGGACCAGGACATGCCCTTTCTCTACCGTTTCTGTCAGTATTCGAAACTCACTTCATCATGCACTTTTTTTGGGAGCTCACAGTCCATGGCAGACATGCATTTGAATACTGCTCTGAAATGCCAGGACCTGTGAATTACATGCAGATCATGTTTACCCCCAAGCGTATCTCATAAGAAACACTTTATTCTAAATCCAGCTTAATTCTCAGGCTGAATATCATAAATAAATACATCTATCAATTAATCAGCTTGCTTTTTAGGTCCCATATCCAAATCATCTGCAGGCTAATAGCTATTTTTTTTTTTTTTTGAGACAGTCTCCTCTGTAACCCAGGCTGGAGTGCAGCGGCGCAATCTCCGCTCACTGCAACCTCTGCGACCCAGGTTGAAGCAATTCTCCTGTCTCAGCCTCCCAAGTAGCTGGACTACAGGTGCCTGCCATCGCACCCGGCTAACTTTTTTTACTTTTAGTAGAGATGGGGTTGCGTCGTGTTGCCCAGGCTTGTCTCAAGCTTCTGAGCTCAGGCAATCTGGCCACCTCAGCCTCCCAAAATGCTGGGATTACAGGTGTGAGCCACCGCACCCAGCTGCTAACAGCTAATTCAAAATACCTTTCGCACAGTATGCTACAGCATCAGATGGCAATGAGATGGCCATTTACTTAAATAAAGTAGAAGCAGTAACATTCAGTTTGAAGAATCAAATCAGATGCCTGGCCCCATAGTCCAAGGGACACTGGGGACAGCTGCAAGGAGCCAGCTTGGAGTTAGCAGGGAGCAGGGAACTTCCAGAGTCTGAGCTAAAGCTGCCACCTATCAAATCCTGCACAGCTGCCTAGACTTCCTTAGCTAAGGTAAAGGAAGGCACACAGCAAAAGGGTGAAGGGTGAATGCTGGGAAGCTCCTCAAAGCAATACCAAAGTGGGAGGTATTTATGGTTCAGCCTCGGTCCAAGGAGCCCAGCCCTACATCCACCCACTGCATCTCAGTTGCAGAATTCAATTTGTTAACTTAGGATTTTCTGGCTCTTGCAGGAAACTTCACTTTAGTGTTTTCCCCTGAATAAGAATAAGAAAAGAAGGTGAGGCCGTCTAGCATAACCACAGAACAGAAGAGGAAAGGTGGTTGATATGGTTTGGCTGTGTCCCCACCCAAATCTCATCTTGAATTCCCACGTGTTGTGGGAGGGACCTGTGTCCCCACCCAAATCTCATCTTGAATTCCCACATGTTGTGGGAGGGACCTGGTGGGAAGTAATTGAATCATGGGGGCAGGTCTTTCGTGCTGTTCCTCTTGATAGTGAATGTCTCACAAGATCTGAGGGTTTTAAAAAGAAGAGTTTCCATGCACAAGCTCTCTTCTCTTGTCTGCCACCGTGTGAGACATGCCCTTCACCTTCTGCCATGATGGTGAGGCCTCCCAAGCCACATAGAACTGTAAGTCCAATAAACTCTTTCTTTTGTAAATTGCCCAGTCTCAAGTATGTCTTTATCAGCAGCGTGAACACGGACTAATGCAGGGGTGCTCCTCCAACCTCTTTGCCAAACCTCTGCATCCCAAGCAATATCACTGAGGCAACAGCAGCAAACCAGAAAAGCTAGAAAAAGAGATTTTTTCTGTCTATAAAAAATAGATTGCATGTTGAGAAAAGTGGCAGGTGCTAAAAGCTACCCATTCAGTCAGCCAGCAAAAGAACTCCTTCCCTTTCGGGGTATGGTTAATATTTATATTTACAAACATTAGCATTTAGCAGAATCTATCTCTTCCTAGGACTCTGTGTGTCCATGACATGGAGCCGGTAGCTGCCGAGGTTTGAGCATGAAGAAGAGCTCACAGTGGTGTCTCTGCCAAAGCATGGAGGAAAGAGGCTTCAGTGCAGGTCTTTTGTTTTGAAACATTAGAATCCACTGAACTGAAAAGATCAAGCTGTCAGAGTTCATTTTCTTCCTAAATCAACCAAACTGCAGAATAACGCGAATAACACAAAATATTTCACTTTACAACATAATTTGTATCTTCAATTTACTTGCAGCTCTGGGAATTTGACAGGTACAGTATTAAGTAAAAACCTTCTCTGAAGTCTTATGGGAAAGGTTGACCACAAAACAGCAAGTAATCGTGCACAGCAGCCTTCCTCCATCCTCCTGCAGTTGTGATGGAACTGATGTCATGCAGTTGGCTGAAACGTACAAACACAGATCGCCCTCATGCATTTTGGTGGTAAATTTAGAACAACATTCAATTAAGGAATTAGCTCTGGCTAATAGATCTTAAAGAGAATAAGAGGTATTTGTTCACTGCATATTTATAGCTGCAATTGTTTCTTTGTGGACTCAAATATAAAAAGAGTAACTGCCTTTTATTCTCCAAAATGAACTGCTACAAAAGTATTTCATGTATTTTATTGGTTCACTTTGTTCCTAGAACATTTCCTAGGGATACACCTTCTTTCAGCCCAGCAGTTACACAGTCACTGCCTGTTGAGCACCTACTGTGTGTTGGGTAATGGGACAGTGTACAGTGCAGCCACTGAAATGTTCAGAAGAGATATCCCCCCCAGTGCCAAAGACCCATGCACAAATGCACAAAATCGCACATGACAAATATTAAGTGCCACACAGAAGGGTCTTGCATGAAAAACAATGTATAGAAAATGTCACAATGCTGTTAACATTTCGGTTCCATGGAAAAATTACAATTAAACATTATCATTTTTTTATAGACCTGAAGATGTATTACATAAGTGAATTTTTAAAAATTTAAGTATATCACAGTCAGGCTTTCTTGAAGATGGAGAAAGTATATTATTCAACTTTATTTCCAATTTCGTGTTGAAAAAATAGCAGGAGCTTGACAAAGAATGGTGGAATTGCATGTTTGGTTTTGAAGATAATTTTATTTTTTAAACGGCATTTCGTGAAGCTTCCACATAGCAAGCATGCTGAGCCTTGCTACCCAGACAGTCACCAGCAGGTGAGTCCATTCAGGTTCTTTCTGCAAGTGTCTTCAAAAGACATTTTAAATGTCATCCAACAAAGAACACTATTAAGTGACAAAAAAAAAATCCTGCAGTCACTGAGTGGAGAAAGATATCTACAGCACAGATACCTGACCCAAGGATCTTATCTAGAACACAGATACATTTATATATGTGTGTGTGTGTATATATACATACACACACACACACACATACACACATATATAACTTTTGTTAAGCATAGAAAAAAGGGACAAGAGTCTTGAATACAAGAGAAAATAATGATAATTTCTCAAAAATAAAAATGTGCTCAACCTAATCAGATATTAAGGAAAGGCGAGTTTAACACAATCTCACTACACACCACCAGACTGGATAAAGAAAAATCAGTCTGATGTTACAAAGTATGACTGAGGCTGCATAGCAACATGAACACTGCTTGGGGGACAGGGACGTGTAAAAAGGTAGAATGAACAACTCTGGACAGCAGTGAAGCCTTCTCTGAAGTCTTGTTGGAAAGGAAGTTGGCAGCTCCTACAGAAGCTGAAGACACACAGCTCCCCTGCCTACACACCACTGCACATCCATGAGAATGGCTAAAATGAAAAATAATGACCACGCCACACACAGGCAAGGACACTGGGAAAGAGGAAGGAAGGAAGGAAGAGAGGGAGGGAGGGAGGGAGGAAAGTCAGCCATGTGGCATTTTCTGTGCTGGGTGGCACAGGCTGGCATCAGCTGTGATTCATTCAGTGGAGCACGAAATCAATAGAATGGGAAGAATGTGAAATTGTATTTATTTACTTATTAAGTGAAAAGGGATAGAATGGATGGGATGGAATAGAACAGAACAGAACAGAATAAAAACATCGGAGGGCTCTGCACAGTAAGGAATTCTCGCTGAGTTACACCTTGATGGGGGTGGGAAGTGCATCGAGCAGTGATTGGAAATGTTTTTCTTCATTGGAGTTTTGTTCAAACACGTTTGGAAGTCCCTGCTTAGCTTTTCTTGCCAGACATCGGGAGCCTGTGGAGGTGCGGCCAGGACTGAGATGGACACTGATTTCAGAGGAAGACACCCCTGCCACAGGAGAGAAGGATGGCAGCTCGGAGGAGGCGCTGGGGAGCTGGCTTCCGGAACTCCAGTCCTATCCACTGGGTCCTGTGTATGATTGGCTCTGAGGGTGGGAGAAGGAGAGGAGGCAGGTGGAGTCCCCGGTTCCTGAGAGGCTCTGTAGACAGTGCCACTTACTGTTACCAAAACTGAGCGTGGTCAGGAGCTGGCATTCATTCACTGAGGACCTCCTCGTCAAGCTCTCTATTCTCGTTATGCCAACGGGGCTTCCCAAGGACTGCATGGGTGGTGGGCGTCACTGTCCACATTTTATGTGCCTGGCCTTGGATGTGGCTTAAGAGCAACCAGTTCTGCAGTCTCTCCTGCTACTCACACAGGGGGCCCGGAGCCACTCATTCAACCCCCCTGAATCTCAGAACCTCATCTGCACATGAGGGACAACACAGGATCCTCTCTGGGGACTGCAGCTCTGTCCTTCCAAGATGCCAGGGCAGACAGGACCACCATTTTGGTGACTGGCTTCTGAACAGAGACAACTGCACAAGACCTATGCTTGACAGAGTGTCAGCCATGTCACATAAAGCAATTCACAAATGCTGCTTCTAGGAAAACAGCAAGCAAAATGGGTTGACTTAATTACCTATAAATCAAGGGAAACCGCAATTTGAATATATACAAATATCCTCACAAGAAGAGAGTGAATCTATGAAAGCAAAGAATTGTATTTTTTTATAATGTAATTTCTCAATACATGTACAAAGTGCTCTGAATCTCCAGGGCAATGTCTATGCTTCACACCCTTACCTGTGGGCTCAATTCTCAGATTCAGAGGGACAATGACACAC
Organism: Homo sapiens; assembly: GCF_000001405.40. Lineage (NCBI taxonomy): Eukaryota > Metazoa > Chordata > Mammalia > Primates > Hominidae > Homo > Homo sapiens. The sequence continues at coordinate 127,269,292 of NC_000010.11, read as the reverse complement.
TATCATGTCATCTTCATAAAAATGGAGGGGGTCACAGACATGGCTTGTTGCAAGGTCACTGGAGGTCAGGCTCTGAACAAAGCACCCCACATGCGCTTTCTCATTTATTCCCCCAAAACACTCCAGCGAGGCTTGACTTCTGTCTCTAATTTACGGGTGAAGAAACTACAGCACGGGGTAAATCTGCCCAACACTAAATTTACAAAGCTCATAAGTGGTGGAGCACGGATTTGACCTGACAAACTGACTCCAGGGCTCAGCTTCCAACCCTTGTACTGAAGGTGGCCTCTGGCTGGGAGAGGTAGAGAGGAAAGGCCTGTGGCTACTCTTTCACCCCAGGCTCGGCAGAATTGGGGTGTAGAGGCTGGCAGCCCAAGCACCCTGAGAACAGGCTCTTGCTAATATTTTCAACGTGTGTCCCACATGCCAGGCAGGACTGGAGGCAGCCCTGGCATGTACATTCATGTCACTGTGATTCCAATGCCATCTTGCTCCCAAACACCACCCCAAATCAAAGCCCACAAAAATCTCCTGCAAAGACACTGGAGCCCCTGGCAGAGCGACTTGGGGAAACCACCTCCAATTCTCGGACACCCCCCTAATAAGTGAAGACCAGTCCTATCTTCAGCAGCTAGCTGCTATTATTTGTTCTAGAGGGCGCTGGTTTGGCTGAGGTCACATGGCAGAGAAGGGTGGCTGAGAAATGGGGAAACAAGGAGAAGAGAGTCACTGCAATAAATCACATATATTTCTTTCTTTCTTTCCTCTTCTTTTTTTTTTTTTTTTTTTGAGGTGGAGTCTCGGTCTGTCACCCAGGCTGGATGGAGTGCAGTGGCACGATCTCGGCTCACTGCAACCTCCGCCTCCTGGGTTGAAGGAATTCTCCTGTCTCAGCCTCCTGAGTAGCTGGGGCTACATGCACATGCCACCATGCCTGGCTGATTTTTTTTTGTATTTTTAGTACAGACAGGGTTTCACCATATTGGTCAGGCTGGTCTCGAACTCCCTCGGCCTCCCAAAGTGCTGGGATTACAGGCATGAGCCACTGCACACATATTTCTATGTATTTCTAACAGTTACTGAGCATCACTGAGACTCTGGACTCTGTTTTTTCATCTATCACATGGAGACACTAGTGACATTATGGATGAAATGACTCTTTGCGGCAGGGGGCTGTCTCGTGCATGAAAAGATGTTTAGTAGCATCCCTGGTTTCTACCCACTAAATGCCAGCAGCCCTCTCTTCCCAAGTTGTGACAACAACGTGTCTGGACATTGTCGATTTTCCTCTAGGGGAAACAACTGTCCTTCATTGAGAACTATCAAAAAGACACGGAAGACACAGCCTGGCAAGCCTGCGAGGACTCAGTTCACTTGGCTGCCTCTTCCTCCTGTTCTAGACGTAAAAGCACCACACCAGAGGGTCCTATACTGCACAGACCTTCTTCCAAGTCCCAGTAGCACAGGAGGTTAAAACTTAGCATGAGAGGACCGGGAGGAGGATCATAATAAAGTGTATCTCCTCCATTTTGCTTTGTGCGGAGAGATGTTTCATGCATAAAATAGAGAGGGCACTTGGCTTCGGTCCTCGTAACATGAAGTGCCTCCTCCGGCATTAAGTGCCAGCGGGATGCGGCATCAGTACCAGCCAGGCACTCCCGACGAGGTGCGCGTGATCTCTGAGAATTCTTAAACAGACTTTGCCCTTTTCAAACTTTCCTTTAAAGCAAGCTTCCCTAAATAAGAGTCCTGCTGAGAGCTCTTCATCACTGCCACTCCTTTGAGAGTAGGTTGATTTTTCATCTCTGAATTAAAATTTAAAACAGGCAATCTGAATAAGACGACACAGTTTAAAATATCTAGGCTATGTGCAATACATTGGTTATAAACAACCAGGTAAAACTCTGGAAATTATTTGTTTTAGTTATTAAGCAAAGAGCAAAAGCAGACATGAAATAGAATAACTGTTATGGAAAGTATCTGAAATAATTTATGACTAGGCCTTAAGAATGAACAGAACTCGAACAGGTAGCATTTGGTCGTAGGTCAGTTTCCATCCCAAGGTGCAGTGGGCTCTGATACACCATCTGCAACCATATCTAGGCCCAAAAGCTGCTGAGAGAGAACTGCCAATGTCCCTGTGTCCCCTCTAAAAGCAACCTCTGGAGATAAAACTAAAATGATAGACATAGCAATGTAGCCCCAGTGGGGTCCTTTTCCTGCTGGAGGGTCCAGAGCATCATTACTGGATCCAAGTCAGTATCTGTCTTGAAATCCTGATGCATCACAATGGCCAACACAGCCCCCAGAAAAGTCTCATGTGTTTCTCTGGGTGACTTGCCAGAAATGCACTCAGGTACAGCCCAAGTTAACCAGCCTAGGAAGGAGAACTGTGGCCCTGGTGCCTGCAAACTGGGGACTCTGGGCTGTGAAATGTCTCAGGTTAGGCCAGTTTTCTTGGAGAGGAAGAAGGCTCAAAGAGCAATATTATTAAGTGCATGAGCTGTAGTAAAATGCAGGTATGGAGAACTCTAGGGAAATCTTCATTCCAGAATGTTTTCACTATACTGAGTTTCAATTGCTATTTTTTTCACCCCAAATTCTCAGAGACCATGCACATCTCATCGTGAGCACCTGGCTGGCGTTAATGCCACATTCCACTGGCACTTAATGCCAGAGGAGGCACTTCATGTTATGAGGACCAAAGCCAAGTGCCCTCTCTATTTTATGCATGAAACATCTCTCAGTGCAAAGCAAAATGTATAGTCAGTACAGTCTATATATATGTGTGTGTGTGTGTGTGTGTGTGTGTTTTGGTACTTAGCTAGTTGTGTTTTGCTGTCAACAACTGCTGTATACTGTTTCAAAGGAAAAAAATAATTCTAAAGTGTGCCTAAAATCATCAAGCCATTGGCTGTGCAAAACCTCAATAGTAAGCCAATAAATATTAAAAATAAATTAAATGAGAAGTCACAACATCAACTAAAATCCAGGCTTCAAAGAAAGGAAAAAAGATGTTAAGAAGTAATAATCCAAGAGTTTCTCAAGCCCCAAATGCTTTATAACCATGATTTCAACCTGCACAAAGAATATTCAACTATGCACCCTTAATTGGGATGCAGAGGTGCTTCTCTGGACGGAGGTAGAACAGGAAAGAAAACACGCAGTCCTCCTGACTTGGCCATCCACAGGTTGCCACTGGTGCCATGGTCCTGGGGGCAGGCCCCCTGCACGTGGGCACTAATTTTTCCCTCTCTCCCATCCTAAGGCAAGCGGTGCCTTTCCCCTGATCCAAGCCCTCAGCTCAGTGTGGTCAACGACTCAAATTCCTTCACGGCAACGAAAGCAAATGGCAAAGTACCTACAAACAGCCTACCCTGCAAATTTGCCTTCTGAGCACCAACACGACTTATCCTTAAGGAACTGGCATCTCCAAGGTGGAATCCCTTTCTAGGGCTTAAGGCCCTTTCCTGTCCTGACTATAAGCCAAATTAATTTTGGCAGAAATAGCAGAGAGCTTGCCATCCTGGACTCTGATACATCTGGTAGATAATACTTATAAGTGAGGAAATGCATTCTATTTAAAAAGGGAGAAATTGTTAAGTTACAGAAATAAGCATGGACGATTTTCCTCATGAAAGGAGCTGCATGTGATTATGAGGTGTCCATAGACATCATATATGGCAGGCTGGTGAAAATGTAATATGCTACGTCAATGGATTGAGGAAAACACTTCCTGGTTGAAAGAAGGATGAATCATGGGGAGAGGAGGAGAGGCCACAGAGAAATGAGCCAAGGTGGTTGTCAAAATGAGGTCAAGAGATCAAAATCCTCCATCCTTTGCAGACTGCAAGCATCATCCTGATCTGTTTGGGATGGTCTCCATATGGCCATGATTTTTTTTTTTTAATGTGTAACACACAGACACTGGAAATAAATAGCAACATGATCTCACAAACTCCAAATCGGGATGAAATTTCAAAGTTTGAAAGGACAAGTATAAGATTAATTGATTGCAGATAGAACAAAACCAAACAATAGTTTTTGACTGACAATCTCTGATGTTGAAATGGTCAACGACTAGACAAGACTGAATGGATCAGGTCAGCTAAATCCCCTTCATTTGATGAGCTAGTCTTTCAGACAAGTCCAATTATAACCAACCACTGTTATAACCAACATGCTGACTGGTAACATCTTACGCATTTCCTAACTGAGAGAATAATCTCTTCTGTTTTCTATGGGCAGAATTTTGAATTCTCAACTGATTCCTTCCCTATGATCTTCTCCTGTTCAGTGTCTCCTATATAAAGATCTACATCATGGCCGGGTGTGGTGGCTCATGCCTGTAATCCCAGCACTTTGGGAGGACAAGGCGGGTGGATCACTTGAGCCCAGGAGTTCGAGACCAGCCTGCGCCATATGGCGAAACCCCATCTCTCCAAGAAAATAAACCCACAAAAAATTAGCTGGGCACGGTGGTATGTGTCGGTAGTCCCAGCTACCTGGGAAGCTCAGCTGGGAGGATTGCTTGAACCCAGTAGTTAAAGGCTGCAGTGAGCCATGATCCTGCCACTGCACTCCAGCCTGGACAACAGAGTGAGACCCTGTCTTGGAAAAAAAAAAAATCTACATTGTAAACTGCCAGCTTCCCGTGATAAATGGCAAGGATCATTTTCACCAACCAGTGAGAACCCGGCAACCGTCTTATTTGCCTTTATGTTTTATCCTGCAGTCAGCTTTGAGTATTTCAACTTCTAGAAAGCATCGTTTTCTCTACAATTTTACATATTCTATTTTATATTCATGTTATATGAACCTTTACTTGCAAGACATACCAAGTCCTCTATGAAAGTGTGTGGGCTTCAAAACACTAATCATTATTTCCCGTAGGTCCCAGCCTAGCCTGAAAAAGAACAGGAAGTCTCAAACACAAAACCTATGCCAACAGAGAGGAATGCCTGGAAGCGATTGATAATCACAGTTGCAAACTACACTAGCTCTGAGGAAATGCAAATGCTGGTTTCATGTCTTTATTATCCTGAGAGCAGAGGGTACAGTAGGCAGGGAGGACTAGGGAAGCTGTGAGCTGGAGTAGTTGAATTTTTAAAAATTCCGTTACAAGTCTCAGTAGCTGACAACTGTGGATAAGGTTTTGTTACACGCTATGTAGTCAATACGAACAAGAAAGTCTAATTCCAAAATAGGGAAAATTACATTCAGTACTGGCCTCTCTCTCACCCACCACATGTTGTAGAAATGCCTTTCTCAAGCAAAAGTAAAGCAGTTAATAAGAAACGGTTTCTTCGAGGTGACAAAGGGATTCGGTTTACCTGGCAGACTCACTTCCTACCAGGTCATTCCTATCACTTAAAATTCTAGTAGGGGTTATTAGTACATAAACTCAAGCACCCTACTGGAGCACGAAGGCAAACCCTAAGACTAGAAGAGACACAAAAATTCAAGCAAGTGGTCACATTCTCATTAACAACCAAGGAGAATTCTATGATAGCCATGGTATGATTGCTGGCCATTTAGACTATGCTGCACACACAAAGCGTGAATCCGAGCAAGTCAGCTAATAAGAGTTCCAGGATGGATACCAGCATGTAGGTGCCAACAGGGAAAGGTCTGTGCTTCCAACAGAACCTGAGAGCTTCAGTGAAACCTTAGCAGCTGCTCCCCTCTGGGAAGATTATAAAGCACTTCTGGGTGCTAGCACAAAAGCACACTTCTACTGTTTCTGTGCTGTGCTCATCTTAAATGTCATCTTGCCATCTGGTACTCTCATATCCTAGAGCACAGCTATAATGTCAGGCCATCGCCTATCAGTTCCCATCTTGGACATAACCAAGTGAACACCGTACTTTGGGATAGTCATTAAATCCTGTAATTTTGATTCTTGATTTACAAGTTATATCACCAATCTAGTAAGAGGCAATCTATATATACACATATATGGCAGGTAGATAAAGACATAGAATATGGTATCTGCAATTTCCATAAGAGGATTACTTTATGACAATGCTAGGGAGACGTGATTTTTCTAGACTGCACAGTAAGATTCGCTCTTATAAAACACATTGATAAATGGTGCATACACTTCTAAAGGTGAAGAAAGTAAGTAGCAATGTAATGAATTCCACACTCAAAATTCACTCACGTAAGCAGTAAACCTTGTGGAAAAGTTGTTATGTTTTATGGACACTCGAATAAAGACAAAACAAAAACTCCTAACACTCTCTTGGGAAATAGGAGACCTACTTAAGACCAAGAGGCAGGGTAGCTAGGTGGCTCAGGCACGGCTCTGGGGTGGATGCTCTGGGGTTAAATTTTGGCACTAACACCGCCCAGCTCTCTGTCTTTTGGCACGTGACCCAACCTCCATGCCTCAATTTTCCCATGTGTAAAGTGGGCCTAAACACAGCAGCTGTCCCAGAGGGCTGCTGAGGGTATGAAGGACGTGATGGCACGTGACATCCCCACAGCAGTGCCTGGTGCTGGGAGGCATGCCCAATGTTAGCTCACTCTCAGCTCCAGAACGCAAACGTGCAATGCCTCACAAAGAATGGGAATGTACAGGGAAAGTGATGCAAACCCTTCATTTTGAAGCTGGTATTGAAGCAAAGGTGTCAAAGAATACTTAAGGGTCTCTCAACAAGCTGTCTCCAGACAGTTTCAAGTATCTTACCACATGAAGGCAATAACCTTCTTCAAAAACCCACCTGATCCAGCTTCTAAACATTCATGTTGTTTATTCAACACAAAGGGCAGCATATGGGGGCAGAAGGATGTGGGAATAAAAGTTACAGTTATCAGTGACCAACTCCAATCAGGACCTAAAATGCCTCCTCGGTGGCTGACTCTTGTGCTGTGTGGGCTTGGGAGCTTGTTTCTGCTGAATGTGTCAACTGGGATAGGAATATGGGTTTGTTTGAGCTTCTGAGAGTAAGAATCTCTGCAAATAAAAGTGTCTTTACTTGAAACCAACACCTCAGCACACAGGTACACACACACAGCCACATGCACACACATGCAGGTACACACACAGATGAGCACGGGTACACACACACACACACGCACACACACAGATGAGCACGGGTACACACACACACACACCCACATGCACACACATACAGGTACACACACAGACGAGCACGGGTACACACACACACACCCACATGCACACAGAGGAGCACGGGTACACACACACACCCACATGCACACACACAGAAGAGCACAGGTACACACACACACACACATGCACACACATGCAGGTACACAAACAGATGAGCATGGGTACACACACACACCCACATGCACACAGAGGAGCACGGGTACACACACACACACCCACATGCACACAGATGAGCACGGGTACACACACACATGCACACACACAGATGAGCACGGGTACACACACGCACACCCACATGCAGGTACACACACGCACACCCACATGCACACAATGCAGGTACACACCCACACCCACATGCACACACATGCAGGTACACACACACACACCCACATGCACACACACAGATGAGCACGGGTACACACACGCACACCCACATGCACACACATGCAGGTACACGCACACCCACATGCACACACATGCAGGTACACACACACCCACATGCACACACATGCAGGTACACATGCACACACACAGATGAGCACGGGTACATGCAGGCACACACCCACATGCACACACATGCAGGTACACACACAGATGAGCACGGGTACACACACACCCACATGCACACACATGCAGGTACACACACACCCACATGCACACACACAGATGAGCACGGGTACATGCAGGCACACACACACGCACACACATGCAGGTACACACACAGATGAGCATGGGTACACACACACCCACATGCACACACATGCAGGTACACACACACCCACATGCACACACACAGATGAGCACGGGTACACACACGCACACCCACATGCACACACATGCAGGCACACACACACACACCCACATGCACACACATGCAGGCACACACACACACCCACATGCACACACATGCAGGTACACACACGCACACCCACATGCACACACATGCAGGTACACACACACACCCGCATGCACACACATGCAGGGACACACACAGATGAGCACGGGTACACACGCACACACATGCAGGCACACACACATGCACACACATGCAGGTACACACACAGATGAGCACAGGTACACACACACCCACATGCACACACACATGAGCACGGGTACACACATACAGACACCCACATGCACACACATGCAGGTACACACACATGAGCACGGGTACACACACACACACCCACATGCACACACACAGATGAGCACGGGTACACACACACACCCACATGCACACACGTGCAGGTACACAGATGAGCACGGGTACACACACACACACATGCACACACACAGATGAGCACGGGTACACACACGCACACCCATGCACACACATGCAGGGACACACAGATGAGCACGGGTACACACACACACCCACATGCACACACACAGATGAGCACGGGTACACACATGCACACCCACACGCACACACATGCAAGGACACACAGATGAGCACGAGTACACACACACCCACATGCACACACATGCAGGGACACACACAGATGAGCACGGGTACACACACGCACACCCACATGCACACACATGCAGGTACACACACAGATGAGCATGGGTACACACACAGGCACACATCACTTCTCTGCAGGAAGCTCCCATGGAGGAAACACTGCTCAACGACCTGGCCTCACAGTACTGGAATCCTTGATTAGAAGGTTCAGGATAACATTTTATGTAAAACAGAAAATAAACTGTAGGGATTTTACATTCAGGCTGCTTCCCTTGTCAAGACGTCTTTCCAGCTGCAGTCCGTGTACACGATGAACAAGAGAACAAGGTGGACTTTATTATCACCAAGGTAGACTTTATCCTCAGAAGTCTCATCCAATCAACTGCTGAGAGGACACTGAGCACTGTGGCTTCTCCCCAGAGTTTCCCTGTCCTCAAAACAAAAGACTCTCTTCCCGGTTTCTAAGACGCAAAGGCTTTGGTCCAAAATGCCACTGTACCAACCTGCTGCTGCAGCGCGGGTACCTCTGTCAGGCGCCATACCCTGTGAAGGGGCTCTAGTGAGTAGGGGTGCTGGCCAGGGAAGGTTGCCACTGGTTTGCAGCAAATTCATGATTCCAAGGAATGTGGATCAAGCCACCTGCTCACCCCAGAAACAACAGAATATCCCAGGAGAAGCTGGACAGGGTCTCTGGAGAAGGAAACCAGAACCATAGCACTCCCAGGGTTGAGCCCCAGACCACTTACTGTGTGGCTTTGCATCACGGCCAGTGCTGCAGCAACCCTTACGTAGCGCAGGGTTGGCGGCAGGAGGAAGACAGTGAAGTAGGAAGAGAGAATGATGCGGCTATGATGTTCCAACTGAAAACAGGCTCTCAATTATAAAAAAAAAAAAAAAAAATCATGAACTAAGTAGATTTTGACTATTCCCTCCTAAACGGGAGACCCTCGGAGTAGGAGCGACATGAATGCAACTTCAGGGAGCCCATCCCGCCTGACCTTTGTCAGAGCAGTGCTCACCCAGGGCCACGGAATCCACAGCCTGAGAGCCAGGACGTGCTGCTCTGCTGGGAGACCCAGAAGGTCAGGTCTACACGTAGAGGAGTCAAGAGGTGGAGAGCAGCATCCACACGGGCCGCCTCCACACCCTGTGCTCAGGCGCCTGCTCAGCCACACCTCTGCTCCTGGCCAATGATGTCATGAGATCTATGGCTCCAGGACAGCGGGGTTTTTGATTATTGTTGCTGATGTGTTTGCTTGTTTTCACTATGTGCAAAATACAGCCATTAAAGACACAACGCTCTAGAGCTCTTCAGAGGAAATCTAGACTGTCAATCACAAAAGTTCATCCTAACAGAGAAAAAGGGAAAAGACCAGTGCTTTCTATTAAGTCCACCATTTTCTAGATGACGACTGAGAAGCTGAGAGAAGGCCACAGGAATAATTTAAAGTCACCCAGCAGGTGGAAGAGTGAGGAGGAGCAGAGGTCAAGACCCCCACTCTGCTCCCCGGGCCAGAGCTAAGGCTACAGCAATGCCAGGGTCTCCGGGGCTTCCTCACCATCTACTCTCAGATGCCATCTTTGATGTGTGGAAGGAGACTTCCAGCTCAGTAACATCTGACGCGGGGTGAACATCACTCCCTCCCTCATGCTTACCCCTCGGGGAGGTTTGTAGGACTCCCGCAGCCACGGTACACAAGGCCAATCTGTCTCTGCTGCCCCAGAAAGCAGAAAAACCCAGAGGAGGCCAAAGGAAAGGTCGTGCTGCTTTGGATTTGTCGAAGGGAAGGACAATAGGCATTAAAGAGAGGCAAAGCCATCACAGGAAATTCAATTTAACATCCTAGGGAGATACACTACACACCTATCAGCATGGCTAAAAGCAAAAACAGTGTCAACGGCAAAGGCTGGATGCGGAGCAACCGAATCACTTACATGGCTGGTGGGAACGTAAAATGGTACAGCCATAGATTGGCAGTTTCCTACGTCACGAAATGTGCAATTACCCAACAAGCCAGCATTTGTCCAGGAAGGCATTTATGCCACAGAACCGAACTCATGTTCACCCAAAAACTGATGCACGAAGGCTGGTGGCAGCTTTATTCGTAAGAGCCACAAACTGGGGATAGCCCAGACGTCCTTCAACAGGAAAATGGTTCATCACACTTGGTCCAGGCGTACCATGGGACACTACCCAGCAATAAAAAGGAATAAGCTATTGATACAGGCAACAACCTAAATGGATCTCCAGTGAATTAAGCAAAGTGAAAACAGCCATGCTGAAAGCTTATATACTGTATGATTACACTTATGTAACATTTTTGAAATGAAGCAATTATACAAATGAAGAACGAATGAGTGGTCGAGAGAGCTTACGGATGGTGGAGTGGGGAGGGGAGAGGTATATGTGGGTATAATTGGGCAACAAGAGGAACATTTGTGGTGATGGAAACACTCAGTGGCTTCACGGTGGTGGTGGAGTCCACAGTATATGCATGTGCTGAAACTACACAACTCAACACAAACACTAATGAATACAAATTAAACTGAGGAAATCTGAGTAAGATCAGTGAATCGCATCATCGACTCCCTTATACACAAGATCTCTATGACTTCCTACAACTGCACATGAACCCACAATTATCTCCATAAAAATTGCAATGAGAAAGAAAAACAGAGATGAACAGAAAGTTCTTTTTAAAAATCCCACGTGATTGAGAATTCTATGGTCATTGTTAGTGCTTACAGAAATGATAAAACCCAATGTGCTAGAAAATTAACCAACAGCCCTCACTGGAGATTATAAACAAGGCACAAGTTCAATATTTAATGAGTATGAAGAAAATGCTCATGATTAAAAAAACTGAAATATGTGAAATGTCAACACTTTGCAAAAGCCTCTTGCATGGAGCTGACAGTGCCTAGGGCTGATACAAATATGTGGGTAACATGAGAGCGCAGAGCGACGTCGAGCAGAACCCCTGTGCCCATGATGACAGCTAGGGGAGATCCAGCTTCAGGCTGTTTTTCTCCAGGGGACGGAGCTCAAGTTCTTAGAGCCAGAGCCCTGTGTTGTCATAAGGAAGTCACCACAAACTCAGAGTCCCTGTCTCCCTAGAACTGTCTGCAGCACAGAATTAGGAACAGCGTTTGCAGAGCATTTTATTGAAGCCAGCTTGGTCTCCAGGCAACACCACTGTTCCCAGCAGACATGAATTGGGAGCCATAGAAAAGGTGAGAGCCGTTTTCCCCACACTTACTTATTTTGCACCATGTTCATGATCACCCAGTCGAAGGGGTAAACGTTCTTTCCAATGAGGTTCTTAAACATGATGAATGTTTCCATTAGGAAATCCTGAAATAAAAAAACAAAACACTGAAATGGCCCACAAAGAAAAAGGTAAACATGATACCCTCCTGTCAATTAGATTATAAAATACCCCATTTTAAAGGCTGAATGAACACATCCTGAAAAGTAATGAAGATATATTTCATAGGAGCTGTGAATTAGACCTGTCTTTCTGTTTACCTGAGCACCTCCTGTCTGAGACGGCTTCTTCAAGAATATATTCTGAAACAGTCCCTGAGCATGTCTCTCTAATAGTTAAAGAGTAAATCCCCAAAGGTTAGGAATAGGCATTCAAGCCCTTTCTGCTTCTAGGAAAACATGATTTTAACAAACAAGGCTTGCAGGTTACAGCTTTTTCTTATGTTTGCTCTAAATCAATTTTTCATGATGAACAGGACACATCAGATTGAATACGGGATACTACTGTCTGTTCCTTTCTCTTACGGAATTTCAAAACGAAAGGCTCCAACAGGTACTCCTGACCATCTGCACAGATTTGGCATGCAATAAACCATTTGAGTGTGCAGCCGTGTTGCCAAACTCTCCTAGATGGCAGCTACATCCCCAAAAGCTACCGAGTTATGCTTCTGATGTCTTAGATGATGCTGTGTACTTCGCAGGGCAACTGAAAAGAAGCAGGGTTCCGTACACACCCAGCTGCTCTACCCTGCTTCCATGGAATGTGCCTGACATCAGGAAGGGGTAGCCGGTTCCTAGGGACTCCAGTATGTGTCTATCAGAATTAGAAGGTTTCCTACTTTCCAGAGCTTGACAGGTGCTCTGAGCTAACCTGAACAAAACAAGTGGCTATCCCAAAAAGCACACATCCCTGGTAGCCCCAAGCTCACTCAACACTCAAGGTAGGAAATGAAAAGACAACCGAGAACTGTCTTAGAAAAATGAGGCCATGGTCAGGGATTGCCAAATGAGTGGATATTTCTCATTTATTTAATCTCCTGAATCATAATTAGGTGCAATGGCTGTGAAGGCCAAGGTGGTGAACAGAATTTAAGCAGCCAAGAAAGCAATTCCCAGTACGAAGTTCTAAATAAGCAGCTCCTGCAAAGAGGCACAAGTTAAAATTGATGACACTAACAAGCTAATGTTCAAAGTTAAGATACTTTCTCTCCAACTCTAATGGCAAAGTCAGGTCCTAGCAGGTGAAGTCTGTAGTGTGAGGAGTTTGGTGTGCCCCCACCATAAATAAAATGAGTGATCCTGATCACTCTATTAGAGCAGATGCCTCCAGTCTAGGAGACATTAGTGACCCAGACAAAATCAAGTTGGAAAAGTCAGTCCAGATGTCCTCCAAACTCTGTACGTGGGCACTGTGTCCACCTGCTCTCAGGAGCGGGAGCATCCCAGTCCTCCCTTCCGACACAACAAATGGCTTCTTTTCCAGTTTAATTATTGAAATTCATATTTCACTACTGAGTTTCCTCACTTTGTCAAGAGTTTCCCATTTTAACGACCAGGCTGCATATTTTGTAGGCTGAGTACCGTAATTCAGTCACATCTCTATTTGCATGAAATTGCTGGCTTTCTTGATGATTACTTCTCAAAGCCTAATAATTGAGCTACAGCCTCTCGTTTTTATTATTCTGGAAGAGAAGCATATTTTCCCAATTCTCTTTCTTTTCTAAGAGACACAGTCCCATACTTCATTAGTATGGCTCAGCTGTTAAATTTTGGTACTTTGCTGATCAAACAAAATGCTGCATCTAGTGGGAGATGAGGTTCTGCAAGGCGTCCTTGTTTTCTGCATAATTCACTAGCCATGGCGGTGGCCCCTAACAACTGTGTTTGCCTTGAGCAGCTGATGAGGCTTACCGGACTGTTCCACTAGGGTCTCCAAGTCAACAAGGGATATTTTGTGAAAATTTCATCATTCAATGTGGATTTATTCCTGTTGCATTTTTTGTTTTAGTTTCTATTTATTTTATTTATTTATTTCATTCCCTCACCCAGGCTGGAGTACAGTGGCACGATCTTAGTTCACTGTAGCTTCAACCCTGGGACCCAAGTGATCCTCCCGTTTCAGTATCCTGAGTATCCTGGGACCACAGGTGTGCATCACCATGCCTGGCTAGTTTTTTTATTTTTAGTAGAAATGGCATCTTGCTATATTACCCAGGCTGGTCTTGAACTCCTGGGCTCAAGGAATCCTCCTGCCTCGGCCTCCCAAAGTGTTGGGATTACAGGTGTAAGCCACTGTGCCCGGCTGCATGTTTTAGTTTGACTATTCACAGGATGTCTTATACAATAAGCAGGCTGCTCTAATAGCAGCCATCCATCTGCTTCAGAGGCAAAATCGTGTCATACCTCTGTCTGCACCTTTCCATCCCTGTGCCCACCCACTAGAATAAAACAGCCATCCTCTCGCACCTGGACTGCCACAGGGGACTCCAAATCCATCAACTTAGGTCCATCCTTGTCCTTTCTTGTCCCCATGCTTCACTTTTCAAATGACAAATCTCATCAAGGCATCAATGCTTTCCAGACATCACACTGAACCCATTTCCCCAATGGCTTCCCAATGCTCTTAGACTAAAGACAAAGCATCTTCACTCTTAGACTTAGGAAATTTCCATTCTGCTCAGCCAAAGGAGTAACCATTATGGACAAGGACCAGCCACAGATTTTCAACCCATCCGATGAAGGATTGTTAGGGAAATAGGACATGGCCACATTTTTGTGGATTCAAAGTTTTATCCAAAGATTATCTGACAATTGCAAAGGTAGGAAGAGGTACATACTTTCACAATGGAGGGATCTGGAAGTTACCAGCTTTGAACCCAGTGGTGAAATTCAGCATCGCCAGTAGTGGGTCAGCATGACAAGCCCACTTCCTGTGTTACTTCCTGAAGTAACACAGCAGGAAGCTTTCGACAGCAATGCTGAAACACTCTTGCCAAGGAGTTGAGCTTGAATCTCAGAACAAGCTTCTGGTTTGCAGAACATACAGGGGGATAAAGAAACCAGTCGAAAGGCATATTACAAGGCAGCACAAAAAAAGTCCAGAATGGGAGATAGTCTACAAAAGCTAATGGATTGGTCTCTTCAAAAAAACTGAAAAGCAATGCTATGAAAAGAAAATAAAACAGTGTGATGGTGATGGATTTATTTTAGAAAAAGAAAGATTAAAGAGACACAATCATCAAATGCAATGCGTGAAAAGGACAAAAAAATTTGGAAAGAATGGAGGAAATCTGAATACAAATGGCATGAGGGGTTGTTGCTGAATTCTCATGGAGCAATATGACCAATAGAGAATGTCTTTAGTCCCCAGAGACGTTTGCTGAACAGCTTAGGGCAGGTGCATCCCTGTCTCTCACTGACTGAAAGGGGTTGGCTGTATAGATAGAGACACTTGGAGACACATGACGGAAGCAAATATGCCAACGTGCTTTCAACGGATGAATTGAGGTGGCAGGAATCATGGTTTCCTTTTTTTTTTTTTTTTTTTGAGACAGGGTCTCATGCTATCACCCAGGCTGGAGTGCAGTGGCATAATCTTAGCTCACCGCAGCCTCAAACTCCTAGGCTAAAGTGATCCTCCTGCCTCAGCCTCCCAAGTAGCTGAGACTACAGGCATAAGCTATCATACCTGGCTATTTTTTTATATTTTTTGTAGAAATGGGGTCTCACTATGTGGCACAGGCTGGTCTTGAATTTCTGGGCTCAATAGATCTTTCTGCTTCGACCTCCCAAAGTGCTGGGATTACAGGCATGAGCCACTGAGCCTGGCTCCATTGTATTATTCTTTCAGCTTTTCTGTATTTGTAAAATTTTTTGTGATCCACAGTGGAAAGAGAATAAGTAAAACACTGGTGAAATCTGAGTAAGGTCAGATAAGCCCTTTTCCTTGCAGAATCTGATGCTAACTCCAGGTAGATGGTGTCAGAATTGAATTGAATTGTAGGACATCCAGCTGGTGTCAGGGAATGGGATGCGGTGGGAGAGACCCACACACTTCTGGTCACAGAAGTGTGAGAGTGTAGGAAAATGTAGTGTGTTTTCCAAAGCCACAGAGTGGGAATTTGTGACAAGTGGCAAGACAACATTCTCCGCTAGAAGTACCAAAGCCGTCATTGTTCCCTTCTAGCTAACTACAGAGAATCGGGGCACATTCTCTGCTTCTGTTACTGAGACGTGGACACGTGGCAGCCAGCAGCCCCTTGGGCAGGTCAGCATCTCCAGTGTAGAAGATTCTACAGATTCTTTGTGGTTCGAATCCAAAAGGGTTGGGATGGTCTCTGTCCTCAGAGTTCTGAGCTGAACATGTCTATTGTTTTTCTCTTCTGGATCAGTCATTCCGCTTGTGCTCTATATGCTCACTGTCACTGGTGTTGATAGTAAGTGTGATTTTGTATGAAAATGACTCACTCAACCAAAAAGGGCTAAATTTGAGAACCTGAATTAGTACTTGTTAAAAGGAAATAGTCTCAAGAAAATAGAACCAAAAAAGAGCCCGCATCGCCAAATCAATCCTAAGCCAAAAGAACAAAGCTGGAGGCATCACACTACCTGACTTCAAACTACACTACAAGGCTACAGTAACCAAAACAGCATGGTACTGGTACCAAAACAGAGATATAGATCAATGGAACAGAACAGAGCCCTCAGAAATAACACCACATATCTACAACTACCTGATCTTTGACAAACCTGAGAAAAACAAGCAATGGGGAAAGGATTCCCTATTTAATAAATGGTGCTGGGAAAACTGGCTAGCCATATGTAGAAAGCTGAAACTGGAACCCTTCCTTACACCTTATACAAAAATTAATTCAAGATGGATTAAAGACTTAAACATTAGACCTAAAACCATAAAAACCCTAGAAGAAAACCTAGGCATTACCATTCAGGACATAGGCATGGGCAAGGACTTCATGTCTAAAACACCAAAAGCAATGGCAACAAAAGCCAAAATTGACAAATGGGATCTAATTAAACTAAAGAGCTTCTGCACAGCAAAAGAAACTACCATCAGAGTGAAAAGGCAACCTAAAAAATGGGAGAAAATTTTTGCAACCTACTCATCTGACAAAGGGCTAATATCCAGAATCTACAATGAACTCAAACAAATTTAAAAGAAAAAAACAAACAACCCCATCAAAAAGTGGGCGAAGGACATGAACAGACACTTCTCAAAAGAAGACATTTATGCAGCCAAAAAACACATGAAAAAATGCTCACCATCACTGGCCATCAGAGAAATGCAAATCAAAACCACAATGAGATACCATCTCACACCAGTTAGAATGGCAATCATTAAAAAGTCAGGAAACAACAGGTGTTGGAGAGGATGTGGAGAAATAGGAACACTTTTACACTGTTGGTGGGACTGTAAACTAGTTCAACCAATGTGGAAGTCAGTGTGGCTTCTAGATCCTCAGGGATCTAGAACTAGAAATACCATTTGACCCAGCCATCCCATTACTGGGTATATACCCAAAGGACTATAAATCATGCTGCTATAAAGACACATGCACACGTATGTTTATTGTGGCACTATTCACAATAGCAAAGACTTGGAACCAACCCAAATGCCCAACAATGATAGACTGGATTAAGAAAATGTGGCACATATACACCATGGAATACTATGCAGCCATAAAAAAGGATGAGTTCATGTCCTTTGTAGGGACATGGATGAAATTGGAAATCATCATTCTCAGTAAACTATTGCAAGGACAAAAAACCAAACACCGCATGTTCTCACTCATAGGTGGGAATTGAACAATGAGAACACATGGACACAGGAAGGGGAACATCACACTCTGGGGTCTCTTGTGGGGTGGGGGGAGGGGGGAGGGATAGCATTAGGAGTTATACCTAATTCTAAATGACGAGTTATTGGGTGCAGCACACCAGCATGGCACATGTATACATATGTAACTAACCTGCACATTGTGCACATGTACACTAAAACTTAAAGTATAATAATAATAAAATTTAAAAAAAAATGGAAAGTGTTTTGGCCACTTTCATATTGAAATACGAAATAACATCAAATAATTCTGTACAAAATAATCTTTTATTTAATAGTTGTCAGAGTAAGCCGGGCGTGGTGGCTCATGCCTGTAATCCCAGCACTTTGGGAGGCCATTTGGGAGGCCGAGGCGGGAGGATCACCTGAGGTTGGGAGTTGGAGACCAGCCTGACCAACATAGAGAAACCCCATCTCTACTAAAAAATACAAAAAAAATTAGCCGGGTGTGGTGGTGCATGCCTGTAATCCCAGCTACTCGGGAGGCTGAAGCAGGAGAATCGCTTGAACCCTGGAGGAGGAGGTTGTGGTGAGCCGAGATTGCACCATTGTACTCCAGCCTGGGCAACAAGAGTGAAACTCTGTCTCAAAAAAAAAATCGTTGTCAGAGTTGAAAAACAGTCATATACTCGGTATAGTTAACAAACAGAAACACATTTTACAAAAGTTCTGTCAGATTAACAACAGTAAAAAAGTTCACATACTTTCCAGTCTAAATTTGTGGTATAAAAAACCACAAACGTCATTTTTTTTTTTTTTTTTTTTTTTTTTTTTTTGAGACGGAGTCTCACTGTGTCGCCCAAGCTAGAATGCAGTGGCCCGATCTCGGCTCACTGCAACCTCTGCCTCCCGGGTTCCAGCCATTCTCCTGCTTCAGCCTCCCCAGTAGCTGGGATTACAGGTGCCCCCCAACCATGCCTGGCTAATTTTTATATTTTTAGTGGAGACGGGGTTTTGCCATGTTGGCCAGGTTGTTCTCGAACTCCTGACCTCAGGTGACCCACCTGCCTCCACCTCCCAAAGTGCTGGGATTACAGGCGTGAGCCACCACGCCCGGCCAACATCATTTCTTAATGGAAGTCAAATTGTCTACAAATCATTGATTTTTCTAAACTGTTGTGTCTATGGAAAAACATCCCCTGGGAAATTGGGACCACAACACACAGTAAACATCTGATCCTGGGATGTGAGCAAAGACAGAGGGCACACACTTGGAATTCAGCAAGCTACAGTAATTTTTAAATGCCATTCGGCATCATCGCTTTTCACTTACCTTGAAGGATCCTTATCAATTACAGCACTTAATAGTTCAGATTACATGTTTGCACGTGGGGACTTTTATGAAGTGATTGTTCTGAAAAAGGGCAAAGTACTAATTGGAGTCCTGACTTTTCCAGGTGAGTAATTCTTCTATTTCTGAAGACTTTATTATTCAACCTGGAACGTTATCTGCAAAACTGTTCCTCTAGCTTTAAGCTACAACTATGCTTTACACTGACCAAAGCAGGGGGTCGGGTGTAGTTTAGATTCAATTATGGAATAAAATGTTACAAATGTAAAATTTGATTTCGCTATGCCATGATTTCCAAAGAGTCATGGGATATAAACAGGATACAGGTTACACATTTGAATATACTCCTACTATCAACTACTTATTAATATTCAGGGAAAACCAGACACAGAAATACAAACATATACATATTCTTGTTCCCTTACTTTTATTTAGAGGAAACTGCTAGAGCTTTAAGGTCTAGATCCATTTTTGTTCTCCTTAGAAATCTTGAAGTACAGTCACGTGCTGCGTAATAACATTTTGGTCAATGACAGACTGTGTATATGTCAGTGGTCCAAAAATTGTAATGGAACTGAAACTTCTTATCACCTAGTGACATCATAGCCATTGTATTACAACTGCCTATAGTATTCAGTGCAGTCACATGCTGTACAGGTGTGTAGCCTCGGAGCAACAGGCTAGACCATCTAGCCTAGGTGTGTAGCAGGCTCCACCATCCAGGTTTAAGTAAGGGTACACACTATGAGGCTTGCACAATGATGAAATTGCCTAACGATGCATTTGGCAGAATTGTTAAGCAACACACGACTGCGTGTGTGTGTGTGTGTGTGTGTGTGTGTGTATATATATATGTACATGTATATATATATGTATATATGTGTGTATATATGTACATATGTGTATATATATGTATATATAAGTATAAAAATATTATTTTTTCAAAGGATCATTTCTAATACATAATTTGCTTATTGCTGCCACTATAGATATATAAGAAAACTATGCATTATATATATAGTGGCAACAATAAGAAAATTATGTATTAGAAATAATCCTTTGAAAAAACTCATACAGATCATTCTCTTCTTCCCATTTCTTAATAAGGTACATGTCAAGTGCAACAACCCCTGTTCTAGAAACACTAGTACACTGCCATGTTCTGCAGGTATCTATGAGTATTCTTTTACAGCGGTCCCCATCCTTTTTGGCACCAGGGATCAGTTTCGTGGAAGATAATTTTTCCATGGACCAGGGGGTGGTGGGGCAGGTTTCGGGATGAAACTGTTCCACCTCAGATCATCAGGCATTAGATTCTCATAAGGAGCATGCAACCTAGATCCTTCGCATGCACAGTTCACAATAGCGTTCGTACTCTTATTAGAATCTAATGCAGCCACTGATATGACAGGAGGCAGAGCTCAGGCACTAATGCTCCCTTGCCCACCACTCACCTCCTGCTGTGTGGCCCAGGGATTGGGGACCCTGTTCTACAGGACCTTACAGATCCTTAGAAATGGAATCTTAGAGTTCAAGTCAACATGTAATCACAAAGTCTGCCAACAAGTTTGGTTGCAGCTTTGCAGAGGATATTTGCCATATGGCAATGTAATTTCAGGTCATTAGGGAGGTAGTTCATAAGCAATAAATTCCCCTCTGTTATACTTTTCCTAATTAAGTTGTATCATAGTTTTACTGAGGATGACTAGAGAATTATTTGGAGAAATGCTGATGAGCTTCCATGATTACAGCTAATTAATAATGGAGTACAACTTAAAGCTGAAAAGTCACTCTGGCTTCTGCTATTAAAAAGTCAACCAATAAATGAATAGGAGTTAATGGGAGACTATCCATGGATAACATCTCCAAATTTCCAATTATCCCAAAGCACAGGAGAAGAAACTGTCACCAAGAAAGACAAGAGATTTCCCTGGGCTCAGCCCCTGAGTCATTCTCCATTCAGCCCTAGAAGCAAGTCTGCAAGTCCGGACCCTTGTCTTGTTAGAAACAAGGCTTCAGTCAGACCTTCCCAGGAGGCATTTGAAATCAATCAGAGACAAGTTCTCATGCAAAATCCTATTTTAAATGAATATATTGATATCAGGCTTTTGTCTAAAGTGCTGGCCCTAAAACATGGTTATGTGAACAGGGTGAAAGGGACACTTACTACCACATCAGTCCTCATTTTCCCAAAAGTCTTGATCAAGTGGGCATAATGGTAATCTTCCATTTGTCGTAAAATAGCTGTCATGCAAGCCACGAAGTTTCCCTGTAAATGAATCAAAAGATAGAATTAGATGAGACAGAGCAACACTCATGGGAAAAGCCGAAATCATCCCAGATTCTGGGACTTGAAACTGTCAGGGAGAAGCAACGGGGCATGGGCAGGGAGCCCTGGGTTCTGCTGCCCCTCTCTCAGGGAAGATCAGCATAAGGCATGGGTCACTTCCAACCTCAGGAATGTTTTTTGGTAGGGGGTCCTTAGAATATCAAGTTGAAAGTAGAAAGAAAAGCAAAACCCTTGAGGGGGTCTCACAATGCTGAGGACATGAGTACACAGTAACATGAATGAGAAACACTGGTGCACTCACACTCAGGGCTGTATTTTATTCTCTCTAACTATTAATACCTCAAGTGTTTCCTGATACAGGGTTGTCCAGACTGGAAAAATAAGCTTGAAATACTTTTGCATTAAATACAAGAAAATTAAAGACAGGATGGAAATCATGGGAACTTCTGTTTTGTGCTCTCTTGGAAACTTGCTGCCCTTATTATCCGGCAAAATGTGTGTGCAGCCTCTCCTCTTGGGCCATGGCAAAGAAAGGCCTCTAATTTCTCAAAATCAGCCTGTATCCCCCTGTGCCCGATGTGGAGGCAATCACCACAACTCCACAATGAGTTATGGCCCAATTCTCCTCCCCGAGAAGAAGGACAGGAGGAATGTGGGCTCATCAGAATGTCAAGTGGGAGAGCTGGGAGTTTCTCAGACCAGACGGAGCTGGGTGGAAAGGAAAAGAAGGAGGAAAAAAGAAAGCAACACAGAAAATCAAGAATGGGGAAGGTAAAGGGCCAAAGCTGAAACGTCTCTCCGGCTGTTGCAAATGGAGGCAGCCAGTATGTGTGTGGACGTGGGTGTGCACACGTTTGTTTGCGTGCCCTGAAGGGTGTTTGCTTTGGTGGCGGGTTGTGAGCTAGGCAGTTCTGTTGCCATTAACTGCAATTGCTCACTGCTAGGCTTTGTAGCTAACAACATTGTAAAGCCTTCCTTGCTTTTAAATATTGCCCCCTAAGTTAATGACATTTTAAGAAACACAGGATATATATTTTTTCCCATTAAGCCAGTACAAGTTTGGTAAAATTATAGCATGAAACACACTTTGAGACATGTCCCTATTTTTTCTCTATTAAATGAGCTCTCAAATTGCATTCTTTTACTAACTCTCCTTTTACCAGCAATATATCAGAATGCCTAAATGTCTTTTATATTAATTTGGAATACAGGCTTTACAGTGAAATGTTAAAATCCAATATTTTCTCCAATCCATTTTATACCTATAGTACACATATCTACTTCCAAATGAGTCCTCGAAGGACGCATTACTCAAATTGAACAAACACAATAATGATGATATGATATCTTCCATTTGCCCAGAAATATAAATTATTTGTGAATGATGATAATTGCTGAGATTTAGATTCCAAGTTGGTGTTCAGGGAAACAGCTAAATAATGCTTGTTTTCCATTGAGGCAATGATTAGTAAAATGGCAAAATTTGTGAACTTTTGAAACATATAAATATTTGGCATACCATTCAGCTCAAGAAAGGCTGCCTTTGTATCTTGTCTACTCCTTATGACAATGAGATGTGTCCCGTGGATAATCGTCTTAATAACAACACTGTCACTTTAATAGAATACGACCTCTTTCAATCACACACAAATTTCTCTTCCTGTGCCACTTTACAGGCAGTGAAACTGAGGCTTAGAGGTTTCACTCTCTGAAGGAGTGAATGGCAAAGCTGGGTGTGGAGGCTGTACTCTAGGACTATAAGACAGGTACTTACTGGCTGACCTCATTTCTTTACCCCTCATCCAGATGCACATTTTAACTCTTCCTCTAAGGAATCTGAAGCCACTTCTGATGACCAACACAAGGTAGAGATTCACTTTCCTCTACGCTTGCAGTCATCAGAGAAAGCTGGAAGAGGGTGAGGAAGAAGAGGCTTCGAAGTACTCTGCCCACAATTGACCCTGATGCAGTCGCTGACCCGGACTCTTCCCCTTGAGAGGAGGAGCTTTTCCCGCTGAAGAAGAGGCCTATATCAGCCTAGGTGAACCTAGTAGGTGCTGAAATCAATTTTCTGCAGGTCAAACCAGTTACACAATGGAGACTTACACATTAGAATAAATGAAATCACAAAGTCAGCTATTTATCACCAGAAGCAATGTATCAATGTGCTTAGCTTAAATGATCAGGCTGAAAGTAGAAAGAAAAGCATAATCCTTGAGGGGGTCTCAAAATGCTGAGGGTATGAGCACAGAGTAACACTAATGAGAAACATCAGTGCAGCCAGACTCAGGCCAGATGACGTGAACAGGTGACGTGGACATACTGAATTCAGGCAGCAGACTGTCACGTCATGCGGAGAAATTCATGCAAGGCAACAAATGCCAAAACCGTTGTAACACAGAAAACGAAAAACTGAAGCGAACACAGCAATTTCCATAAAACAAGTCCTGGGAGGATGTAAATGCCCCGTGGGGAAGTCTCTCTGGAAGAGCATATCAGAGAAGGCAACCACGCGGCCCCTTGTTTAACTGCGATGGGGATTAATTACAGGAGGCCCAGAAGGGCCAGAAGGATGGGCCATCTCCACAAGTTAGAGGCGGTGCTGCCGGGCACTGTGCGTGCCCTCTTTACCAAACTTAAGGAAATGTTCCAGAAGTCATGTGCATCGTTCAGTCTTTCCTTTCTTAGCGAAAGTAAGTCTTGCTTTTTCAGCTCTAAGGTGAAGCATGAACTCCATTAGGAAACGGATGATCTGCATATTAAAATTCACTGAAATGCCCCTCCCCTTCCTCCCTGCCCTTTGGGAATGGAGTCCCATCCTTGGGTTATCAGTATTTTTTTGGGCAAATACTGCAGATACCATGAAGCCTTATGGTTTCCATGAACACAGCAGAACCCTGCAGCATATCTGTGGGCTTATAAGGGTGGATAAAACGGGTATTTATGGAAGCCTTTTGAAACCAGTCATTTATTAGGAACAAAAGTGAGCGAGCTCTGTGAAAATAAAACTTTAATTCTGTGTGCTCAGAAGAAAATTACTATTCTGTGCTTTAACTGATTTATTTTAAATGCATTTGGGAGATGACTCCTAAATGAAGCTTTTATCTTCTAGACAATGGGTAGGCTAGCAGGTAGGCTGGGAGCAAAAGCCACTGTGCAGAACCATCCCTGAGCCTGAACATAGGGACTAGGCTCCAGCACCAGCAGCTGAGTAAAAATAAGTCAATAAGTAAAAATAAGACATATTCCTTATAACTTCAAAGCAATGCAAAATGGGGCCACAGAAGTCAGGATATACTTGCAGAAAATTTAAAAACCAGGACACTAAATGCCTAATAAACAACAAAAAAAAGTGAACCTCATTAGTAATCAAAGATGAAAATGATACATCATTATTTGCCTGCCAAAATAGCAAAGAAGTATTTCAATGATGATAATGTGAGCAAGGGTGCAGGGAACGAGGACTCTTGTGTGCTGTTGGTGGGAACATAAATTGCTATAACCTTTTTAAAAAGTGATTTGGAGATAGGTTTGAAAAGTCTTGAAAATAAATACTCATCTCCTAAGTAATTCTACTTCTGATAATCTACCAAAGGAAGTAATTCAAAATAGAAAATTTCATACCCAAAGATGTCCATAGCATTGCTGAAAATTCTAAACATCCACCACAAGAAACTGTGTAAATAATATGATATTTTGTAGGGTTGCAAGATAAAGTACAGGATGCCCAGTTCCATTTGAATCTCAGATAAACAAAGAAAAATAAATATGTCCCAAACGTTGCAATGAAATATTACATGAGAGATACATATACTAGAAAAAAAAAACTGTTGTTTACCTGAAGTTCAAGCTGAACTGGGGGTCCTATATTTTTATTTGGCAAGTCAAGCAATCATAACTTGTGTTATGATGAAATATTGTGCAACCATTAAATCAAGAAACATTATGCAAATATGGAATATTTTAATAGCATGAGAAAATAATTGAAGAGGAAAACTGCAGTAATTATGTATACACATTTGACCAATATAAAGAATATATAGTACAAGAAAAACAAAAAATGACTAGAAAAGATACCAGATAGTCATGAGTGGAGGGAGACTAAGCCCAGATTGTTTTTATAAAGAGAAAGTATGTTAATATTTTTAAAGGTGGTCCAGAAAGAAAAGGATCCATCTGGCAGGAGGGACAAACTCTCCCTGCCTGCCCCTGATCTAGTTCCATTTCTTAAGCTCCTGTCTTAAAAAATCTCTCTCGCAGGGCTCCCCCTGTTGGTGTGGCCTTGGCTACTGCCTGGCACTGCTCCTGGAGGGAGCCCTGGACAGAAGTCGTCCCCGCACACCCCCAGCCCTCCTGGAAGTACCTCAGTGCCCCAGTTTTAAATGTGTTTGGGCCCCCATTTCACTAGGTAGGTTGATAGGAAAAATGGAGAACAGGTAGAACTGAGCACAGGTAGAAGGAAGGGCAGGTGGAATTGAGCACAAGTAGAACTGAGGCTGGGTAGAAGGAAAGGCAGGTGGAACTGGGCACAGGTGGAAGTGAGTCTCAGTAGAAGGAAAACAGCACAGGTAGAATGGGGTGCTGGTGGTGGAGCAGGGGGACATTCAGTGACAGGCAAGTTGAATGCAGGATGTCATTGCAGGATATAAAAACAAAAGGCTAACAAAAGCACAGACTGGTGAATGGAAACTCAGGATGAGACATATCTTTTAAACAGTGCCTTTGTCAACTATGCCTAGTGGAAGGTCTAAGTATGAATTAGAAGAAAAAAATCCAAAGGGTTTTAATTCATATTCTTGAGGAGCTGTGAAGGTGTAATAAAAATGGACTTAGCCATGTGACTTGGATAGCAGGGTATAAAATTGCTCCTGGTAATTTCATCAGCCAGACAAGAGCTGTCTCAATCGACCCTGGAGCTCACACTTTGTACAAAGCACAGATTTGCTCTCTGGGACACACAACACAGGCAGAAATTTTAACGTTCTTCTAAGTTCTCTAAATTCCAAAGGATCTCTGGGCAGTTCCCAGCCTCAGAAGCTGTTGGAGCTGTAAACAGAGACACAGGAGTGACGAGTGTGGACGGTAGGTGCCCGGTTTCAATAAAAGGAGAACCCTGAAGACTGAATCCGGGATTATGCTTCATGATTTCAACTGAGGTCTTGTTACAAAGTTTAACCGTGTTTTCACTAAGGCAAGGACTTTGAAGAGGAAATCTCACTCAAATGCTTAAATTTCAAATATATTAATGAAAATAAACCCATCTTATAATCATCATAAAAAGCAATGAAAATGAATTATCCAGTAACATTTTAAAATATATTACTAAACAACAACAACAAAAAAAACATAATGGTGATGACTTCTGGATGATTTTTCTTTTGGGGCGCATTCAAGCCAAAGAATCAATACTGTAAAGCAATATTATGAAGAAGAGAATATAGGAAAAGGGAATGTAACTGAGAGTCAAGTCCTTCTTTAAAATGATTTGAAATAAATCCAAGTATGAGTGAGTTCTTAGAGCTGATAAGATAGAAGGCCAACAGAGCACAATGGCTTTCTCTTTTGTAGAGGGAAAGCCAATGGCAAAATGTTCATAGGTGGTATTTTCTGTGAGAAAATATGAAAGAGAAAAACAGGGAGTCCAAAAAACAAACAAAACCTCAAAATGTTATAAATTAGCCCCAAACTCCTGCAAAGTCTGCACAGAGCTGAAGTTTTTCAAAATATACTTAGGGGTTGCCTACATCACAAATTAGAAACTATTTAAAACATGCATTCCCAGTTCCTCACATTAAATGACAGTAAGGCACATATTAAAACTGCACAAGCCCACAAGGACCAGGGGACTCTGAGGAGATGCAACTAAAGACAAGAGAATTCTGGAAGCAGGAAAGAGGGTGATGAGTGGGTACCAACTGCCCTCAAGGCAAGAACGTGGTGACATTTAACAGGAAGTCTGTGAATCCCTGGTGCAAAACCCAAGGAAGGCCCAGAAACTGGAGGGTGCCAGGTACTCAGGAGGCTACATGTGAGATGAAAAACAACAGTGCTGATGGCTTTGAAATGTGACCCTATATCCAGTCTGCCTATGCCCAGCATGTCCAGTGAGGGGCTCTCCAACTCACTCCTGGGGAGAGGACCACATGTTTACTCTCTGGACAAGGGAGGTACCTGAAAAGCAGAAGAAAATGACAAGAACCACCTGGAAGAAACACCTGTTTAGTTTGATGTCAAACCAAACAGTATACTCCCCTCTCTCTTTTCTGCTCAGCTCCCAGCATATCAGCAAGGAGGCTTAAACTAACCCCTCCTAACCTTAGTCCCAAACCAAACCTAGAAAGAAGACCAGAAGAATCCTCTTTGGTGAAAATGACCAGCCAAAGAGAACATAAGCACTAATACTAAGCATGGAGGTTCCAAAAGTATGACAGCTCAGCCCATCCAGGCTTGCCATGCAGGAAAGCCCATGCGCCTCCATGCTCTGTGCACAAACTTGGAGACAGAGGGTCTGAGCAAGAGTACTGGGCCTTGTGAAAAAAATTCATCCAGCATTAATAAAGGAGGCCCAAACAAACAAAAACAGAACCCAGAGGAAAGGAAGAACATTTAGAAAATGTAAGAGAAGTAAAAAAACTACAATAATAATAATTATTATTGTTATTATTTTTGAGATGGAGGGTTGCTCTGTCTCCCAGGCTGGAGTGCAGTGGTGCGATCTCAGCTCACTGCAACCTCCGCTTCCTGGGTTCAAGTGATTCTCCTGCCTCAGCCTCCGGAGTAGCTGGGACTAGAGGTATGCCACGCCTGGCTAATTTTTTGTATTTTTAGTAGAGACAGGGTTTTGCCAGGTTGGCCAGGCTGATCTCGAACTCCTGATCTCAGGTGATCCACCCGCCTTGGCCTCCAGAGCATTGGGATTACAGGCGTGAGCCACCGCGCCCAGCCAAAGAACTATAATTACTATCCTCAGGTAGATATGAGATTATATTCATGATCATCATATCTTCCTTATATTCCTCCCCCAGCTTAGTGATTTTCAGGACAAGTCAAACGATTTGCCCTTATAACTATCATATTTCTCAGATTTAAAATAATAACATACTTGGAAAAATCTTGCAAAATTCTATAATCCTTGTAACATTGTTCTTTCACTTATATTTGTTGAAATAGAAATGAGATAGCTTCTCCTTGTTGCTTTGATTTTCTCACACATGTGTTTTCATATTATATAGAATTTCTTTAAAGCTACCTCAAAATCCTTTTAAGATTAAGGGGGCGGGGAGTATAAGAAAGAAAGAATAATTAAAAATATAGAAAGAACGATGTTGTAAAATGAGGACAGAGGATAGTGTGCAGTGCCGCATACATTGAATGTCAGGAGTCATCGCTGTGCCCTCAAAAAGTATGTCACGTTTTATTAATTAAATATTTGATTAAGCATAAGACATAATAAAAAGGCTGATTCAGGTATTATTGTTAAAACTGAAGCTCACCGGAAAATGGGTGTCCATTCTCATCAGTGAACTCATAAAACCTTTCCCATATAAACAACCCATGGTGAAATTGTTCCTTTTTTCATTTAAAGATGAATTCATTCCCATGATGCCTTTATTCAATATATAATTAATTTTTACTCATTTAATCTCCCAAATATTACAATTTCTTTATTTTATAAAGAACTTTAGAGTGAGGAATGTTTGTTAAAAAAAAAAAAAGCCAAAACTATATAAAACAGAAAATAACTTACACTAATGTCATCTTTTAGCTATTTGGAACTACTAACAACAAAATTAAACCTGTATCTTAAATTTAAACTGAGTGCTTAGTTGAATTTATAGAGTACTAGTATCTCATACCATTCCAGGCACTATAAGGAAAGAAATATAATTTAAAAACAAAATCGATTTCATTTTTATAGTGGCAGTAATTGCAGAAGATGTTTATTGGACAAATATACCAAAAGGGAATATCTGGATCTTAAATTACCCATAACAGTTATTTGCTACTTATAAAGTATAATAATTTAAACACATATTCACATTTGTTATGAAGTATAAAAATAAATTATAATCAAATATTACATACAAAATTATAGTTTATGGTGTAATGAGGACTATATACTTTGTTTGCAGCTTCTTAATATAATTCATTTGATCCTAAAGCAAGACAGCAAAGCAGAAAATTTTATACGTTATTTTTATATACTCAATATATCACGTAATAATAGAGCCTTAGAGAGTTTAGAATTTTCGAAGTCTTATCGCATGATATAGAGGATCTGAAAACACACTATAATAGAAACGAGCGTAACTCGGTCTTAAAAAAACTCTTATTATTGAAGAGAAGATCAATATGTCTATACGTGTTTTTAAACTGACTTTCATAGATAAAGGACACTACAATTATCATTGTTATAAATGAAAGTTGAAACTCTTTCTTAGCTAAAATGGAATGCCTTACATAAATCATAAAAGGATACTGTCCTCAACATTGTTAACATTGGTTGGATGATGTATTAAGGAGAAATGTCACACACATCATTAAATATTAAGTATTAAATGTTTATGATGATACTTAAGTATTATAAAGTATTAAAACATTAAATAAATGAATCGTAAGGAGAATAAAAGATACTTTGAAATATGAGATTATAGTAAATAAAAACATAGATAATCTTTTATGGTATTTCTTATAAATATGTATGTACTCATAATACATACATATGTTGTATGCGGTTGTATGCTCAAACACTGCACATGACAAGTGATCATCCAATAGCTTATCTACTTACAACTACATAAGCTACCAAAGTGATTTTAGTCATAAATGCCTAATGCTTATTTTCAAAATCGCCTACTGTGGTGGACTGAGACTCAATTTGTGGGAACCCACGAGGAATTCTGCAGTAGCCCTGTACCTGTCCAGCAGGGTGTGCAGGAAAGCATCAACACAGGAAGCACAACCCACTGAGGTTCTACTTCCACCCCTTGTCTCACTTTCCCCACACCCCAGGGGAAATTGAAGCTTCCCTAAATGGGTCCTTCTAGAATGGGTCATGAGAAATGGAGGGGATAAGGCTAAAATGACAAGAAGATTCAAAACCATGAAGAGCACTGCCAAGTGCAACACTCAACCAACATTCAATGAGTGTGCAGTGTGTTGACATCATTGAGTTCCCAAGAGTAGGTCAGCAGGAGATAAAAACAGCCCCTGACCAGAATGACCTCAGTGGGAGGCTGGGTCACGTCTTTCTTCTAGGCTAGTGGGGCCATGTCAAAAGGACACAGGAGGTGGTGTGGGGAGGCTCCCCTGGCCACGTGTGGGATGCTTGAGACAATCTGAATATCAAAATGAACGATGACAACAAACAAATGTAGCAAATTGAATGAGAAAAAAATCCATGTGTCTACACAGACATATAGGCGACGTGGCAGGGTTGAGGGCAAAAGTAAAGCTGTGACCTACGGAAGACTATGAGCCAAAAAAACACGGAATGAAGAAGAGAACTTGATAACTGAAGGTTTCAACTCCTAAAGGAATGGTTGGTCCAGAGGAGGCTCCTCAATGGGCACTGAAACCTCGAGGTAAAAGGTCTTTGGGGACGAAGACACTCACTCAATCTGAAAACAACACCCTATAGATTCTTCCTAATTATAGTATGGGCCTTTAGGTAGAATGCTAAGCACACAGGATCACTTAAGTAGTTACTTTTTTTGCCAAAAATGTTCCATCATGAGGAAATGAATAGACAGATTCAGAGTATACAGCATTTGACAAGACAAATGGTGGGGACCCTTAAGGTCAAAGGGAAAACCTCACAGGGAAGAGATCTTACATTCTATTCGGGAATCATTGTTCATTTTCATAGGCATCATAATATTCCTGTGCCTACAGAGCAGTTATTCATAGGAGTTGCATGAAGCGAGGAATGATGTGTCCCTGTGTCTGTGACCAACTTTTTGGTATGTCAGAAAAGAAAGTTTACACATGCAGGGATAATGCAGACATGGCAAAATGTTAATATGTAGTGAATTTAGGTGGGTACGTGTGTTTAACACTAATACTGATTCAACATTTTTGTACATATGAAACATCTCAAAAAGCCAAAGGAAAACAGCTTCTACTCACAATCTAGTGAGAAGACTTATATGACAACAATTAATTAAGACACAATGTTACAAATATTATAAAAGGGAGTTATTACAGACTGCCAGGGAATTCTAAAAAGGAGGTATTTCTTTTCCAATCAAAGGAACTATTACTGAATACAATAATAGAACTACAACCAATGATTTAGGTATTTTAACTTGGGCAAAAGGGAGTAGTACAGAGATTTAAGCAGCAGGAATAATCACTCAGAAAAGTATCTGAGGAGCTAAAATATAACTAGAGGGCTTTGTTGCTTTTGCACATAAAGCTCCACCATATGCATGCTTCTTAAGTACGGGAATGGCTTATTTATTTGGACTGTCCACTGTAGAGGTGTATTCAGGTCTTAACAAAATACAGTGGAAGTTGTAAGAAAGAGTACAAATATCTTGCTTCCCTGCCAAATATGGATCCCAACATCACCCTCGCTCTTTTCATTAGTTTATAATACTCTTTGTCTTTTTTTTTTTTTTTCCTGAGATGGAGTTTTGCTCTTGTTACCCAGGGTGGAGTGCAATGGTGTGGTCTCGGCCCACTGCAACCTCTGCCTCCCGAGTTCAAGTGCTTCTCCTGCCTCAGCCTCCCAAGTAGCTGGGATTACAGGCACCCGTCACCATACCCGGCTAATTTTTCATATTTTTAGTAGAGACAGGGTTTCCCCATGTTGGCCAGGCTGGTCTCAAACTCCAGACCTCAGGTGATCTGCCCGCCTCGGCCTCCCAAAGTGCTGGGATTACAGGCGAGAGTCACCGCGCCCGGCCAATATTTTTTGGTCTTAAGGCAAAAGTTATATAGATAAATGATACAAAATTAGTTTAGGAGTCAAGAGTAAAGGTTTCAAAGGCAGACAATTTGGAATAATCACTTGACCAAGGGTACGTTTGCTGTATAAATTTTAACAGGCTATTTAACCTTTCTGAGCCTCGTTTTCCTCATCTGTAAAACTCGGATCATGATTCTAAAATCTGGAATTCTTGAAAAGTTTAATTAGATATGTATTTAAGGATATTTGCACAGTGGCTGGCTACATAAATGAATGGTGGTGATGATGATGGTGATGAAGAATAAAACACAAAACCATATACAGAAGAATATTTTAAAGTCACAAAATTGTATACTGAAACACACAAAACATTGACACGGGAGTCAAATAAGACCTAAAAATTGGAGGAATATACCATATTCATGGAATGGAAGACTCAATATGGTTAAGACTTATTATAAAACTACAGATATCAAGACAGTGTGGTACTGGAAAGGACAGACAGACAAATAAAACAAACTGGCTGCACACATAGGGTTAACTGATTTCAAAAAAAAAAAAAAAAAAAAAAAAACCCGTGTCAAGAAGGATCAATGTGCAAACTGTACTTTCAACAAATGGTGCCGAAACAGTTGGATACCCAAATACCAAGGAAGGAAGGGAAGGAAGGAGGATGGGAGGGAGGGAAGTAGGGAGGGAGCAAAGGAGGGAGGGAAGGAGAGAGGGAAGGAGGGGAGGGGAGAGGGGGAGGGAGGGAGAAAGAAAGGAG